>NC_000011.10:113536060-113839091 GCF_000001405.40 Homo sapiens
GTTGAATAATGAGAATACGTGGACACAGGGAGGGGAACATCACACACTGGGGCCTGCCGGGGTGTCGGGGGCAAGGGAGGGAGAGCGTTAGGACAAATACCGAATGCATGCAGGGCTTAAAACCTAGATGATGGGTTGATGGGTGCAACAAACCATCATGGCACATGTATACCTATGTAACAAACCTGCATGTTCTGCACGTGTATCCCAGAACTTAAAGTATAATAAATAAATAAATATATACATACATGTTGTCAGTTCCTTCCTGTCCATATATATATATATATATATATATAGAGAGAGAGAGAGAGAGAGAGAGAGAGAGAGAGACGGAGTTTCACCCTTGTTGCCCAGGCTGGAATGCAATGGCGTGACCTCGGCTCACTGCAACCTCCGCCTCCCAGGTTCAAGCGATTCTTCTGCCTCAGCCTCCCAAGTAGCCGGGGTTACAGGCATGTGCCACCAAGCCCAGCTAATTTTTGTATTTTTAGTAGAGACAGGGTTTCTTCATGTTGGTCAGGCTGGTCTTGAACTCCCAACCTCAGGTGATCCACCCGCCTCAGCCTCCCAAAATGCTGGGATTACAGGCATGAGCCACTGCGCCCAGCTCTGTCCCCTTAATATTAATGATTTAAAGTTAACAAAAAGCAGCCCTCTTCAGCCCCTATTTTGTTTCTACCTGTCTGTCAAGGACAGTGATTCTCAAATTAGTACATTTAAAATAAACATCGGTAAGGAGAATTTAAGAATCCAGGTAACACACCGATTGTTAAAATGAGGTCAAGGCTCTTGACCTGGAAGAATTCTATTCAACAGTTTGTGGATATCACACAGGATATGGACCTGCTGTTGGAAACCCTTGAAGAATCATCATGGATGTAGAAAGGACAAGTACATGACAGGAACACAGCAAACACTCAATTAAAATTGGTTCAAATGTTGAAAAGGGACTAGAAAAAAGCAAACGCCTTCATTTTCCAAAAGAGATACATTTGCTGGGGGCCCATCCCAGGTACAATTCTCATTAAGTAGGTGGTTTGCATGCCCTCAAGGAGAGATTCTGTGATCCACAGGGGCCACCATGGGTCCATGAAGAGCCCCTTATACCTGACATTTCTCGTTTTCTTTTCCGATAGAGTTGTCGGATGAATAGATGAAAAACAGTACCTATGGGCTCATGATCCCAGGCAGAGAAATGTGACTCAGATGATCATACAGTCAGGGGCTTTATAACTGGCAGAATGACCACATCCAAGGAGAACAATCACTAGATCAATTTAACTGGATCAATACTTGGGGTGAGGACCCTGGAGTCCTAGGCAGGGCTCTCACCTCCCCATAGATGAATTGCTGATCAGTTATAAATTGAATAAGGAGGGGCCGTTCATGTGTTGAAGAGCAGAGTCCAGATCCTGTTATACCTGCATCAGGTAAACCTGAGATCACAAAAGCAATGTCTTTTCTATAACATCTATGTTTCTCCAGGCTCCATAGTCACCCAGGCTGAAAGCATCTTCCTCTCATTCGTTCCTGGGACCAATTTGCTCACCAAATTCACTGGTTTTACCTCCTAAATATTTATCAGGTATTTCCTCTACTTTCAATCCCACCATCCCTGCGTAAATGTAAGCCCTTGTCATACTAGGTAATCATGGTCAGGGATTTGGAATCTGGTCAGAGAAAGCTGTGTTCAAATCTCAGTTTATGCTCATAGCTTATGCTGTGCAATCCTGGGCAAGTTATTAAACCTGTTGAAATTTCAGTTTCTTTGTATGTAATGTGGGCATAATAGTGACAGCTGCCTCAGAGGTTGATACAAGATTTATGAGATAATCCTTGCAAAGTATTTAGCACTGTACCTGGCACGGGATAAGTACTCAGTAAATATTGATTAATATTACTAGACAGTTGCGATAACCTCTCATCTGGTCTGTCTACCTCCAGCCCCACCTGCCTCCGTATTATCTGCCTACCATTAAAGGGAAGATAAAATCCACGATGATTCTTCCCAGAGCAAATGCCACCACAGGTACACAGATACGCACATGCACACACATACATGCATACAAACACATGCACACTCAGCATTGCCCCAGCTTAAAGACACAACTCTTTTGCCTGGTATACAGGGACCTTCTTAGCTTTTCTAAACTTGAAAATTAGCTGCTGGCTATTTCCATGGCACAGTATTTATTTCTGATCTCTGAGCTTTTGAGTAAGATGTTCCCTCTTCCTGATGTGCCCCTGCCCCTCTTGTCCTTCCAGTGACCTCCAACCCATGCATGAAAATCCAGGCAAGTGTCACCTCCTCTGGGAAGCCCACAGGTCCTCTCAGGGTGTACATGCTCTGCCCCTATTATGGACATCTCGGAGCCTCAGTGCCCTCACCTGCAAAACGGTACTTAAAACACCACTCCAGACAGTGTTGTATGAGGATTAAATGAGCTTAAAATTCATGACATTTCTGGAAGATTGGAATTCAACCAGAGTGCTGGGAAGAGCTCAGACTGTTTCATGTGATGGATGGTAGGTAGAGCTGGTATTGTTTACACAAAGGGAAGAGAGTGGGGACTTACAATGTGAGCCCCAGGAGGCAGGCACCAGATTCTATTCATTTTTGGACTCCCAAGCAAGGAGTGCTTTGCTCACAAAAGGCAACAATTGCTTGCTAAATTAAAGCCTGAATTAGAAAGTAAATAGATATCTCAGGCCACCTCTCCCTGCAATGAATGTGGGTGGTGTTTGGCCAGGAGTTATGCCACCATCACACATCTTTTCCTCCAAGTGAGAAAATCACTTTCTCAATGATTTTCCCTCATTCTGGCCAGGCAAAGATGATCACACCACCTTTATCTCTGGTTCCCAAAAGAGGAAAACAATGGGACTTGGAGGTTAGATGCCTCTCTAAGGTGGTCCAGCCTGTCACCAGCAGCCCCTGGCTTTCACTAAGGCTTACCCCGACTCGCTCACACTCTTCTTTCTGTGGACCCAGAGAGCTGTGTGGACAAGCAAGAGAAGCAGGCTCATTGCTTGTGACAGCAGAGGGGGCACAGAAGCAGCCTGGGCCATCCCAGACAGACCAGACCAGCCTCTCTCCCTCATGCCTATGGGACATTTCATAGCTGTCACCGCCCCAGGGCTTCCATCATGACCAAAGCAAAGAACCCTTTTCACCTCAGTAGCTTTGAAAAGCAGCGTCGCTAAGGCTGCCAACAGGGATTCAGCCCTGGAGATTTCTTGGAGTTGGTTTCATGGATCCAGCAAACCCTGCATCTGCTCACAGTTAAACTCACAGTTGGGTCAATGCATGCATTGCCTATAGCCCTCACTCATTAAGCTAACCTGGGCATCTCCTTTTTCTCTCTTTGGAAGCATCTCCCCAGCTCCCTATAGTTTTCAGACCGCACGAACCAGAAAATACATCATAGCAAGGCTGAAAAGGGAGACACTTGGTTAAGATCACCCAAAGTCAGCCCCAAACCCAGGCCCTGACACTCAGCCTAATGTCCTCGCCCTGCCCCACACTACCTGCCTGGATTGGCACTTGTAGTGCCCACCCCCTGAGGATAGGCTGAAACTCAGGCTTGTTTTTGAAAGTCCTGAAACCTCTACTAGCCAGGTCAGGAGCTCAGCAGGTGCCAGGGCTGCAAGTTTTAATCATGATAACTACATCTCTCTTTCCCTCCCTTTTTGCCAGGTCCTGTACATTGACTATCTCTTTGGACTCCACAAAACTTTAGGAGGCTGGTGTTATCATCTCCATCTTACAGATAAGGAAAGAAAAATTCAAAAAAGTTATGTAGCATGCCCAAGATTCCGCCTGGAAAGTGGACATCTTTCATTTCAGGGCTGTGGATGTGGCTGGGTCAGGCACTGCTTATAGTAGGAGGGGAAGAAGTCAGATTTCATCCAAATGACAAGAAGAAAACATCATCCACAAGCCCAGCTAGTGAATATGCTGCAGGCAGGGAGAAAAGAGGATCCGGAGTCAAAGACATCTCCAGGAGAAACAATGTCTGCTGCTCAGAGGAGAACAGCTGGAAGCCCAAGGCCTACTTCTATAAGGCTACTATGCCCACAGCAAAAGCATGGGTCAACCCAAGAGATCTAGGACGGCTGCAGAGAGATACACACGTCACCATGAGGCCAGAATGCACATCTTGGGTCTTCACCCAGAGGAGAAGCAGAGAAGCAGGGCCTGACAGGGCCTGAATATCCCTCTGAACCTGGTGATGAGGAGGGGCAGCTGTTCTCACATCCCACCCAAGCAGGGCCAACCAAGACCAGTGTCAGCCAAGATGCCCATGAGGCTTTAAGTCATCTTAGGATACAAATGAGATCAGCTAGTCAGCTTTTGAAATCTGTGGAGTTTTCCTTCTTTGCCTCTTAATTTTTCTCTCCAAACATGTCAACCCGTATGGGCTAAGCTAATATGAAAACATTTGTCCCTCTGAGAGAGCAGAGCTAGAGAGATCAGAGCTCCCCTAGAGGCTGGGAAAAGCCCAGCTAGGGAAGGTTCAGCCCACACACCCTGAGCACCTGTGGTGCATCAAGCCTCACTCCAGGTGCCGGGGAGTAGCTATTAGCAAGATAGAAAAGGCCTCTGATGTCATGGAGCTGACCTTCCAGAGGAAGGGACACAAATGACACAGGACTAAACAAAGACTATAGAGTGAATTCAAAGGAAGAATTGCATCCTAGGGTGGCCGTAGTGGCCTCTCTAAGGTGGTAGGGAGGGAACCTTTGGGCTGCACAAGGAGAAGGTGCCACTCTAGGAGAGCTCTAAGGAAGAGAACTCCAGGCAGAGGGAACAGCAGACACAACGGCCCTGAGACAGGACTGAGCTGGGCGTGCTGGAGGAACTGTCAGAAGGTGGGCTTTGCCAGCACCTGGGGCATATGGGGGATGGGAGCAAGATATAATAAGAGGGTAAAGAGGCAGGTAGGCTCCATGAGCACAGTGAGATCCCGAGAGAAACATCTGCTGGCTGCACCCTCAGTGCCTAGCTGAACTGAACTGGAGAGTTCAGCTGAGATTGACAAACACATGTGGGTACAGCCAGATAGGGGCCAGGCACTGGACTGGCTTGGGGCTTGAATGAACAGCCCAGTGGGGAAGACAGCCACACACACAGAACCCAAAGCCCTGTCAACATTGTCAGACTGATTGATACGTGTCCGGGGCTTTTCTCCCTCAGAACCTCAGAGCCAGACATCAAAGAGCATTTCACTGCAGAGCCCCTATCCTGGCTTCTTGCTCTTTTGTTGGTTTTTCTTTACCTGGGCCAGAACACATGGAGAGTGAAGTTGGTATTTCTCTAAGCTTGCAGTAGCCAACAGGAGGATGAATTATTGAGGTTCTATGCTTGTTAATAGCACACTCCAATCTCTGGTGTTGACAAGGCTACAGGCCACCAGGGGGTTTGTCCATTCAAGCCAAATACTTTTTAGGGACTGGCCTGGAATGCATTATAATGCTTTTGGGAGAATAGAAATGCCCTCGTTCTGTGCCAGATATTTAACCAGGAACAAAGGAAGAAGAGTGCTTGGCTCAGACTCTTTTCAAAGTATTGGACAGCCCCATGCAGGACTCCTGCAGCCTCAAGCAGACTCATGCAAACTCAAGGGGACCTACCCGGTTGTAGAGGCCCTTACAGCATCAAGATGCAGGATTCAGATGGAGGCACCCAGCATCTTTCTTCTGGGATCCACTCAGTAGTTGGTACCCAAGGTTCCTAGCCATGAAACTCCTCCTTCCCCTTTCTGGAGGCCATATAGAGTGAACTTACTATGGCTCTGCTCCCCACAGTTAAACTGAAGATTTCCTGATTTGAAAGTAATACATGTACAATGAATTTAATAATTAAACAATCAACAAGTATTCATTCTATGGCTACCAAGGGCACTTTTCTAGGCACTTTGCATACTGATTCGAACATACTGTAGAGCATGTGGAAATTAAAGAAACCTACAAAGAAGGAAAACAGTTAAAATGTTACCCATTTGCCTATCACCTAAGAAGCAGCAGAGTTAACATTTGATTTAGTACATTCCTTTCCAGACATTTATCTATACATTTTAATATGATTGAGATCATACTGTCAACCTAATTTTGTATCATGACTTTTAAATTTAACACTACATCATAATCATTTTTTCCAGCTAGGATTTCTGGCATTAACACATAGAATTTCAAGATATCCAGTTAAAATGGAATTTCATAGAAATGACAAATAAATTTTAGTATAAGTATATCCCAAATATTACATGGAATAGACACCAAAAAATTATTTCTTGTTTCTACTGAATTTCAAATTTAACTGGTGTCCTGGGTTGTATCTGGCAACCTTTGGTTAAATATTCACAGGAGGCTTCATCTCTAGCCTCATCTTTGCCACCTGACTCCTTCTCTCATTCTGTTCAAACACACAGACCTTGAACAGGTCGCGCTGCACCTGCCACAGGGCCTTGACACTTGCTCCCCTTCTGCTTGGATGCCCATCCCCTTGATATCTAACTCCCTTATTCACTTCCCTCAGAGCTCTGTTCAAATGTCAACTTATCAACAGGTGTCCTCTGGCCACTCTACTGAAAATAACATTCTCCATCTCTCTCCATCCCTCATATCCTGTCTAACCAGAATAAATGCTTTGTTCACAGCATTTGTTCCTGCATGTAACATGCTATATTTAATTCCCTACTGTCTGGCTCTACCTCTTAGGGTAAAGATCCCTGAGAACAAGGACTTTATCTGTTTGAATTTCATTTTTCTTTTGTTTTACCACCATATCCCCAGTGTGTAGAACAGCACCCGGCACATCGTAGGTGCGCTAGGAATACTTGTTAAATGAATGGACACGTGAGTGTGCATGCATGTCTCTGGTTATTGATTCTATCCGATTGAATCATCAGTCTATTCCTGAACCATACTGATTTAATTATTGTGGCTGCATGAGCACTTTTTAATATCTGATAGAACCACTTCTCTCAGTAATCTTTTATACTTTTTCTCCTTGGTGATTTTTGAGTGATTATTCTCCCACCTAAATTTAGAGTCATAAAAATGGCAAACAATTATAGATATGATAATTTGCCACTTAGCAAATATAGCCTGCACTATGCACCAGGCCTGCTCTAAGCACTTTCTATGCATTAACCATGTAATCCTCACAGCAAACCTGTAAGGGAGGTGCTATACTTACTGCACTTTCCAGATGAGGAAACTGAGATGTAAATAACTTCTGTGAGGTCACACAGCTGGTAAGTGGCAAGGCGAATATCTAACCCCGTCTGGCTTTAGAGGCCATCCTGTGAAGCACCCTTCTTGCTGCCTTCTTATTCATTTTATTTTGCTGCCGTAACAAATTACCACAAACTTAGCAGCTGTAAAATAATACATGTTTGTTATCTCACAGTTCCACTAATCAGGAATCTGGGCTCCAGGTTAGGTGGATCGGCTCAGGCCTCACAAGCTGAAATCAAGGTGTCAGTTGGGCTACAATTCTCCTCTGAGGCTGGACTCTTCTTCCAAGCTCACCAGTTCCTGGACACATGCCCCTCAATAGCATAGCTACTGGCTGCTTCCTAGAAACCAATAGGAGCGTAACTCTCTCAGACTTTCTCTCCTGCCACTGGCCAGAGAAAACACTCTTCTTTTAAAGGGCTCACCTGATTGCAACATGCTCACTCAAATAATCTCTGTGTTGGAAGTTCAGCTGACTTGGGACTTCGTTTGCATCTGCTAAGCACCTTCACAGCAGTGTCTGGATTCAACTGATTGAATAACCAGGTGCCATTTTTAGAATTCTGCCTACTACCATCTTTTCGTGGGGGTGTTATTATTATTTAGGTATGGCAAGGCCAACAGATGAGGAAACAACCACCACTGAAAATAGTTGATTATACTCAGAGATGCCACATGGGAAGTACCAGGGTTGGTCAGGAGGCAGAGGGAGAGCTGGGCCTAAGAGCAAGAGCCTTGACCGTGATTCCTGTGGAAAGGAATGGGTGGGGCAGGGTAAGCAGGGTTAGGATTGGCTATTTTGAATAATTTCACAGGTTCTGGGAGCATAAGAACTGTCCTGAGTTGTCCAGTACCTGGCCCTGGGGTGATGAGGGTGGGTGGTTAATGACCCAGAGTGTGAGAGTCCAATAAAGAAGGTCATTTGGTGTGAAGACTCTGGATCAAGTTGGTTTACACTTAAAAGCACCCTCTCAACCATGTTGTTTATTATCTTGAGGAATTGGCTAACCTTGGGAGGAGGAATCCCTCCAGGGTCAGCAAGGCTTCAGAGGTCAAAGAATACCGGAAATGAACGGCACGGTTAACACACACAGCTGCCTCATTTGGTCAGGTTGATCCATCCCTTTCTCCCATCTCCCATCCCCAAAGGAGAAAACAACTCTTTGTCCCTTTGGTTCACATTGTTTTAAAAGTACAAAGCAACTTAGGAAGAACTGACACCTTTATGACAGTCTTTCCTTCCAGGAACATAGTATACCTCTCCATTTATTCAAATCTTTTATGACTCTCAGTAAAGTTTTGTATTTTTCTCTAAATAAATTCTCACTTCTTTTTATGGTTATCCCAGGTATTTTATGGGTTTTACTGCTATTATGAATGGAATTTTCTCCTATATTTTCTAGTATATTCTACTATATTTTTTACACTTTACTACATTTTCTGTACTTTTACTCTGTTTTCTAATTATTAGTAATTGCTGATATATTGGAACTATAATAATTTTTTACAGCTTTATGGTATATAATTGAGCTACAATAAACAATGTGAGATTGTTTATCTGTCCCTACCACCTTATTTTATTTGCTGCAATTATTTGTGTGTGATCAAAGTACATATTTAAAGCATGAATTTGATAAGCTTGACATATGTCTACACCTATAAAACTATCCCCACATGAGGACAGTGACCAAATCTATTACCCCCAAACCTTCCTCCTGCCCTATAGTAATCTTTCCCTCCCAACCCTCCCACATATTCTCAGGCAACAACTGATCTGATTTCTGTCACTACAGATTTTCATACTGTTTCAGATTTTCAGCTACTAAATTGTGACGTTATTTTTCATCATTTTTCAATTTATTCATGAGTTTTCTACTATGCAAACAGATCATCAATATATAATAACAATTTCATCTCCTCCTTTCAAAATTATATGATCTAATTCTAGTTCGTGCACAGTGGATCAGCAAGAATTTCCAGAATAATGCTAAATCACCACAGTGATTTTTGTGTCCTCCTTGATTTAATTAGAATGATTTCAGTGTTTGGGTGCCTGTTAAACTGTTGGTGTAGTTTTAATGAAAAACAAGCCATTATCCAGAATGAGGTCTTGGAACACAGAGAGCAAGTTATGTGACCAGACAGCATCACTCCTTCTAACCCTGGATTCATTTACTTACTTGCCTGGTCACCTGTCTTGTCATTTCCAGCCTGTTTTAATCATTCACCCCTCTGTGTTTGGTATATATATTTATTAAGGCACTGCTCACAGGTATAACTAGTTTTTACCTGTGTTCCTTCATCACCAGACTACGAACTAAAGCAGAAATGGTACCTTTTTCATCTGATTGGGCAAAACATCTTGCATATTCTAGGTACTTCATAAATGTTTATTAAATTGAATGCAACTATAGTAATGTTTACCTAAAAACATATCTCCCAAACCTGCATATACAGCAGTCCCCCTTTATCCATGGTTTCGCTAGGCAAGGTTTCAGTGACTTGCAGTCAACCGAGGTCTGAAAATATTAAATGGAAAATTCCAGAAATGTTATTCCTAAGTTTTAAATCATGCGTCATTCTGAGAAGCATGATGAAAACTCATGCTGTCCCTTTCTGTCCCACTCAGGACTACATTAACCCCCGCAGCCCACCCCATGGTTCCCAGGTTTGACCATCACAGTATCACAGTGCTTGTGTCCAAGTCATCCTTATTTTACTCTATGGCCCAAAGTGCAAGAGTAATGATGCTGTCAATTCAGATATGCCAAAGAAAAGCTGTAAAATGCTTCCTTTAAGTGAAAAGGTGGAAGTTCTCAACTGAATAAGGAAAGAAAAAAATCGTAGGCTGAGGTTGCAAAGATCTATAGTAAGAATAAGTCTATCTTTGAAAATGTGAAAAAGGAAAAAGAAATCCATGCTAGTTTTGCTGTCGCACCTCAAACTGCAAAAGTTTGTGCATAATAAGTGGTTAGTTAAACTTTATCATAGGTACCTATGTACTTATAAGAAAAAAACATAGTATATATAGGGTTCGATACTACTTGCAGTTTCAGGCATCCACTGGGGTCTTAGAATATATGTACTCCCGAGGATAAAGGGAACTAGTGTACATCAGAATCACCTTACTAAATTAGTTGGGGGAAGAAAGCAAAAAGAAGTTTTATTTTTAAAATATTAGTCAATGAAGAAAAAAATAAGAATACATCTTACTAGGTTCCATCATATACTCCTTAAATCAGAATTTCTATCCTGGAAGCCTGGAATCTGTATTTTTGATAACCTCCCAGATGATCCTTATCCAGCCAGCCTTGCTTGGGCTAATAATCAGTTTGGAGAATCATTGTCATAAAGAAACCAAGGAAAGCTAGGAGCAAAGCCCCCTTACATTATGAAATGCTAGCGCTAAAGGCATTCTAAAGCTCTATTCCACCCCTACATTTTTCAGTGGGTGAAACCTCTGAAAAGCAAAAAGCTTTGCCTAAAACACTTGAAGTCACCCTCGTTACTCAGACAAAAGCTGGGTCCCAAAGGATCTGTTTCCTCAGTACCACCGGTCCTCCCAGGAACTTCACCACCCTTGGCAGGAATTAATGACCCAAGATCTTGGGAGAATCTTCATCTTCCCAGCCCCAGCATACATAGCCATGAGCAACAGGGACAGCCAGGAAGCATGTGGAGAGTAATTCCTTTTGGAGGGATACAATGACTATAAACCAAACCAAAACTTTCAGCCAAATGGTTGAATTTGAGTTCTGAAATAATTCAAACTCTTGAGAAAGTTATAAACAAACATGAAGCCAGACAGCAGGTGATAATTCTCTGGGCCACCTCTGTCAGATGCATTATTTATAAGATGGGGAATATATTTTGTGCATTTTTCTTCCTAGATAATTCAGTAAAAACCACAAGGCAAACAAAATAGTTCCTACCATTGGGTTTCCAACATCATCAGCCTTGCAATCCATCCTGACTCACTTCCCTAGGTCTTCCAGGCGTGCCCACCACAGGGAAGATTCCCAAGCACTACTGGAAGGCAAAGACCCTCAGGACAGGAGAGGAAGTTGTGAATCATCTGGTGTAGCCTCCTTTGCTGGCAGTAAACCAGCAAAGCAGTGGCTAAGCTGAGATAAGGGCAATCTTAGGCTCTAAGCAGTGCTCATGCCACCCCTTACGATTGTATACTAAATTTTATACGCTTTATTTCTGGGGAAAGGTCTTTGGGTTTCATCAGACTTGCGAAGAAGCCCCTGCCCCACAGTGGTTTTAAGAGTCACTTTCCGGAAGCGTGTAACTCCCCACCACTCCTATCCTCTCCCACTGCCTCCACCCAGCCTCCCTCACCTGTTGGCTGAATCCCACCTTCCCACTTGTCCTACTGGCTCTGGGTGTGATCTGCTCTCCATGCTGATGCCAGTAGGCTGTTTCTAATATGCAAACCTGCCGGCATCACTGTCCTGACTACAGGACCAAACCACTGGGATAAAAACCCAAACTAAGTATACCATACACGGTCCTCTACATCCTGGCCCTTTGTTGTCTTTGTGGCCTCAAATCTCACTATTTTGCTACTTTTCTCACCTAGAGTGAAGGCTTGGGCCTCACTGGGGAGATTTGAATCCACATGTGCCTGGCATCAAAGCACAGGCTCTTTGAATGACAAAAGCATGTCCCATACTAGTGAGGAAAGCCTCTTCATGTCTGTCTCGACCCACAGTATATACCCAGCAGATGCTTTTTTTTTTTTTTTTTCTGAGACAGAGTCTCACTCTGTCGCCCAGCCTGGAGTGCAGTGGCACAATCTTGGCTCACTGCAACCTCTGCCTCCCAGGTTCAAGTGATTTGCCTCGCCTCCTGAGTAGCTGGGACTACAGGCACACGCCACCACACCTGGCTAATTTTTGTATTTTTAATACAGACGGAGTTTCACCACGTTGGCCAGGATGGTCTCGATCTCCTGACCTCGTGATCCACCCGCCTCAGCCTCCCAAAGTGCTGGGATTACAGGCGTGAACCACAGCACCCAGCTACCCAGCAGATGCTTTCTTAACCCCAATGAAGACCCTCAGCTCTGACGGTACACACAGGCTTTCTCTAGCAATGGGAACTTGATGTGATTCATTCTAGTACTTAGAATTCAACTGTCATGTGTTAGGCATGAAGTTTGCCCCAGCTAGTGTGCCAAGTGCTCAGACATGCTAGTTTTGCTGTCGTACCTCAAACTGCAAAAGTTTGTGCATAATAAGTGCTTAAACTTTATCATAGGTACCTATGAACTTATAAGAAAAAACATAGTATATATAGGATTCGGTACCATCTGCAGTTTCAGGCATCCACTGGGGGGTCTTAGAATGTACATACCCCCAAGGGTAAAGGGGGACTAATGTAAATTAGAATTACCTTACAAAATTAATTGTGGGAAGAAAGCAAAAAGAAATTTTATTTTTAAAGAGGCTTTTAAACTATTAGTCAATGAGGAAAAAATAAGGATACATCTTACTAAGTGCCATCCTATACTCCTTAAATTACAATTTCTATCTTGGAAGCCTGGAATCTGTATGAATAAAGCATAGCCCCCAATTATTAGCCACCAGGAAAATCAAAACCACAATGAGATACCACTTAACACCCACTAGGGTGGCTATAATAAAAACAACAGAGAACAACACGTGTTGGTGAGGGTGAGGAGAGCCTGAGACACTGCCAGTGAGAATGTAAATGGCACTTCAGTCACTTTGGGACCGAAGGTCCAAAAGAGGTATCATATAACCCAGAAATTTCACTCCTGCCTATACAAGAAAAATGAACATGCATGTCCATACAAACACTTGCACATGAATAATATAGCAGCATTCTTCCCAATTAAAAAAAAGTAGAAACAATATCAATATCCAACAACTGATGAATGCATAAGTCAATGCAGTATATCAATACAATGGAATGTTACTCAGCAATAAAAAGGAATGAAGTATTGATACATGTTAAGACATGAAAGTACCTTGCAAACATTACGTTAAGTGGAAGAAGCTGGTCATAAAAGACTACATATTATATGATTCCGTCTACATTAAATATCCAGAATAGTCAAATGTATAAAGATACGAAGAAGATTAATGGTGGTGTAGGTCTGGGGAGGGGGCAGGAGGATTATTGGTCAGCAATTGGGAGGGACTGCTAAAGAGGATGGCATTCCTTTTGGGAACAATGAAAATATTCTAAAATTGATTGTAATGACGGTTTCACAACTCTGTGAATGTACTAAAGATCATTGAATTACACCTTTGAAATGAATGAATTGTATGGCATGTAATTCTATCTGTGGTTTTAAAAACACCACCCAGCTCCCACTGTCAATGAACCCTTAGTCTAGGCAGCTCCCCAGGGTGACTAGCTTGTTTGGTTTGCCCAGGACTTGCCCAGTTTTAGCACTGAAAACCTCACACCCAAGGAAATCTGTCAATCCCAGGCAAACCAAGACAATTGGTCACCCTACTGGAACTGCACCCACCCATTCTCAGCAGGGACTTCAAGGGCAGAAGACAGCCAGCTAGCCACCCACAGACACTCTGAAGCCAAATGTGGCCACGATCTCTACACAGAGGAGACGGGAAGCTGAGCATGTGGCCCTCTCAGGGAGGAAGGAGAAGTGACTCCTCCCAGACCTGGGCTGAACTGACCCCACAGCAGGCTGGTCACTTGGAGTGAACTTGTGGCCAGATAGTAACACTGCCCTCCCCGCCGACCCCACACACACACAATCCCCCTTAGGTGCTGGCATAATTGAGGGCACAGGGCAGCTGGTTCCCACTCTCTCTGAGTCCTGATTTTTTAAACTCATACAATTATTGTAATCCCACACTCTGCTTTGTCATGCCTTTAGTCCTTCCTTTGAGAACTCCCCTCCTACTCTCAACAGCCTGGGCTGAGGGCTTTCCAAACAGCAGATCTCGGAGGCTTAATGGTGTTTGGTCTTTCTAAAGCACTTGTAATCACCTCTCCTTTCTATGATCCAATTTCAAATGTGACAAATGTAGTTCAGCCCAACCTGAGTGCCTCTAATTGCTACTAAAGGCTGACAGGGGGAAGGCTGGATAGTCTCATCAGCCATGGAAGATAGAGCACTAGCCAGAGGCAGGATTCCATCCCTTGCATCCAGACAGGACTGGCCTGCACCTGAGCCCCTAACCTACTAGGGCAGAGATCACTTGGAAGTTCCTCTCTTTCTGCCACCTTTCAGCAATGCGGCCATTTTCACAACTACTGTCAAATTGTCTTATGACAGCACCAGGTAATTCTCTCTAAATGGTTCTGGGGTATGTATTATTTATTGTGAGTCTACCATGAGCAAAAAAAAATAACAGCCATCTTTAAAATTTTAGTTCACAGTTACTCTTCACACGACAGCCAGAGTTTCTTTTCTTTTTCTTTCTTTCATTTTTTTTTTTTTTAATTAGTGACAAGGTCTCACTCTGTCACCCAGGCTGGAGTGCAATGGTATGATCACAGCTACACTGCAGCTTCTAACTCCTGGACTCATTGGATCCTCCTGCCTCAGCCTCCCAAGTACTGGAACTATAGGTGCATAGCACCATGCCTGGATACTTTTTAAATTTTTTGTAGAGGTAGGGGTCTTGTTATGTTGCCTAGGCTGGTCTTGAACTCTTAGGCTTAAGTGATCCTCCTGCCTTGGCCTTCCAAAGTGTTGGGATTGCAGGCATGAGCCACCATGTCTGGCCCCAGAATTGTTTTAAAGCATACATCAGATCCTGTTACATCCCTACTCGAAGCTCTCCATTGGCATCCCACTACCTTTAGAACAAAATCCTGGGTTCTCTTCACAGCCCCAACCCTGGCTGTTCCTCCAGCCTCACATGCTACCCGCTTCCTCAGCTCCAGCCACCCTGGCCTACAAGTCTTCTTTGAACATACCACACATGCTGCGTCTTCAGGGCCTTTGTACATTCTGCCTCTCTGATGCTCCAGATTTGTTCCCCCAGAGATTCCTGTGTCTCTTCCCTCACTTCCTTCAGGTCTCTTCTCAAATGTCACCTCCTTAAGCAGGCTTCCCTGACCATCCCACTACATTAAGTAGTCCTCTTCCATTATCCTTCATCCCTTTATTCTGCTTTATTTTTCTTCATTGCATTCATCATTATATTAAATATTTGTTTGCTTATTTGCCAACAACTTCCTGCTGCCAGAACATAAGCTCCATGAAAGCAGGGATACGTCTGTCTATTCTGCCCAGAATAATGCCTAGTGTCTATATCACAAGTGCTCAGATAATATTTATCAAATGACCAGTTACTCACCCTCCTTTATGAGGTGTCAACCTATCTCCACTTTACAGGTGAGGAAACTGAGGCACAGAAAGGTTCTATTACTAGTCCCAAATCATGTAACTAGAATGTGGCAAATATAGACTGTGAACTAAAATCTCTCTGACGCCAAACTCGGTGTTCTTTCTATCGTACCACACTGCCTCTCTTCTGAAACACAGTCCTTTGTGAAACCATGTGGGAAGGGAGCTTAAAAAGGGAAGAGACTCCTCGGAGAAATAAGGAACCTGCACCCTCCTTCTCCACCTCCAGTTCTCAGCTGATGTTTTGTGACATTGAAATTGGGGCAATACCAGCTAGAAACATTTATTGATTTCAAAGCCAAGAACACTCTAAGTGCAGTATTAAGGCAATTCCATCCTAGAATTGAAATTTCTGGTGGCAGAAAAAAAAGTTAAAGCAAATCTCAAGGTGACAGCAATTATAGTATTTAGAGTTTAAGTCCTTTTTGGAAGAAGGCTGGAAAGTAATGGAGCAATGAATGAACCATTAGTGTAAAATTCAAAACCAAACAAAGTCAATTCATGGCCTAGTACAAAACTTCAAAGAAGTTCCAGAAAATCAATTAGCTGTTGGTTATTACACAGAGCAGTAAACCTCATGTGAGTATTTCAGAGACAATTAAAAGTATCAGGAGTATAAACAACTCAGAGTTCAACCAGACCAAGAATTAGCAAACTTTTCTGCAAAGGGGCAGGTAGTAGATATTTTAGGCTTTCAAGCTATATCATCTCCACAACTACTCAACCCTGCAGTTGGGGTGCAAAAGCAGCTGCAGCAATATGTAACCAAGTGAGCATGGCTGTGTTTCAATAAAACTTTATACACAAAAACAGGTGGTGGGCCAGATTCCACCCATGGGCTGTGTATAGTTTGCCGACTGCTGATCTAGAACAATGTGCTTCTGTGACAAATGAAGTAACAAAGACATGGACAGATGAAATGACTGTCGCAGCCAGTTATGAAAGAGAGAAAAGAGAAAGTCATTTAACATTCATTCAACAAAGCTTTATTAAGCATGTATTAGATCCAGGCTATTCTAAACACAGGAGAGGCAATGATAAAAGAAAGAAAGAAAGAAAAAGAGGTTTTCTGGGTGAGATTCCTGAGACTTCACATTCCAGCAAGGGCAGCAGGCAGTAAAACAAAACAAATAAATAAATAAACATAAATGAATGAGAGGCCAGGTGCATTGGCTCATGCCTATAATCCCAGCACTTTGAAAGGCTGAAGCAGGCAGATAGCTTGAGTCCAGGAGTTCGAGACCAGCCTGGGCAGCATGGCAAAACTCTGCCTCTACAAAAAAATACAAAAATTAGCCTGGCATGGTGGCACGTGCCTGTAGTCCCAGCTACTTGGGATGCTGAAGCAAGAGGATCATTTAAGCCTGGGATGCAGAGGTTGCAGTGAGCTGAGATCCTGCCATTGCACTCCAGCTTGGGTGACAGAGCAAGACCCTGTCTCAAAAAACATAAAAAAATAAAATAAGCAAATGAATAAGATACCATCAGGCAGCAATAGTGCTATGACTATAATGAAAACGAAATGTGGCAGGAGGCGGTTTTGGGCATGGGGGTGGGGTAGCAATTAAATCGGTTGTCAAGGAAGAATGGAGCCCAAACATAAATGACAAAAAGTTGCCATCCATGGAGAGATCACATCTAGTAAGCTCATGGCACGTGCACTCAAGCTTCCCAGGCTGTTTCTTGCAGATGTGGAAACCGAAGCTACAAGAGCAGCAGGATTGGTGTGGTCCGGAAGGATTCCTGTGGTGTGGCATGGTCCGGGAGGATTCCCAAGTCAGTTCTCTCTGGCTCCAAAGCTTAGACTCTTTCTTTCACACCCGCACATTCCAGTCGTTTCACAGAAGGATGACTCAGAAATTCCCTCAGAAATTTAAAACACCGTCTTAGTCTGAAGTGTTTGGTTTGGGGCTGGAACACATACTAAAATTTTGACTAGATATTACAGCATCAAAAACTGCTCTGATGACCAGATGACTGAAATTATTAAATTTTGCACTTTAAAGAATGAACTAGTCTTTTTTCTTAAAATATTTCATATTTTATTTCTAAAGGAGATAAAAGAGAAGCTTTCAGCCTGCTACTTTCAAGCATCTCATCTGCAGACAAAATCTTCATGCATAATATTTATTCCCAATAAATGAAAAACCAAAATGAAATGCACTTTTTCTGTTTTAATATTGGTTTTTGAAGTACTAGAGACACGTTGATATGCTATATGAGAATTTTGAGTAGCTACATGCAGCTTGCTGATTTGTTCAAGGTGATTGTGAGGCAAACAATTCTCATTGTCTTTTTTTAATTTCAATGTGAGTGTTCCTTATACTTCCTCTCTTCAACCAGTGATCCATTAGGAGTAAAAATTAAACAAAATATGACTAATCATAGGAACAGTTCCACCCACTGGGGGGCGTTCACACCCACCAGAGCATGGAGTGGTGTTTAGCTGAAGGACAGACCCCTACATATGCTCACTCCATATGCACCTGCAGCAACCCAACTGTTCCTTTTAGAGGGAAGAGAATATTTAAATAAGCATTCTGTTCATTGACTGTTATGAGCTAGGAGACAGGGACTTTAAATGTCTTTAATGAGAAGGCCCAACCCTATTGCTCAGGCCCAGGCCCAGCTGGCGGTGAGTGAGGCTTAGAGGATGAAAAATATAAAGAGGCACCACTCTCAGGGCTGACCCCACACAGGAGCAATTCTGAGAGTGGGTGCTGCCTTAAGATATAGGAGTTAAAAACAAATTATTTAGGCAGATAGTGAGGGTAAGGAAGTCCTCACTAAGGTTTTCCTTTTAATGAAAAGCAGCCCCAAAATCATTTTCTTTTCTAACAAAGAGCAGCCTGTAAAATCGAGCTGCAGACATAGAAAGGGAAGCTGGAAGTTTGCACGGGTGAATGCCGGCAGTTATGTCAATAGAAATAGGCTACCTGGGACTAGGCATGATCAAAATTTGGCTCCATCTTCCTGTCTCTTTGCCAGCCACATGTACAATAAGGAGCAGGCAAGATCCTGGCCAAGTGGAAAGCCCATTTGCATAATAAGATCAGGGTGGGGCTACCAGCCTTTCACTTCGTGCTATGTATATGTCACACCTTGTGGAACTAATCTGTGGGCCCTATGTAAATCAGACACCACCTGCTCAAGCCTGCCTATAAAATCTGCTGTGGTATGCCTCAGGCCAGTTTTTCCCTTTCAGATGCCCAGATGTCCATCTCTCTCCTTTCTTCTGCCTATTAGACTTTCTGCTCCTTAACCCATCCATGTGTGTCCGTGTCCCTAATCTTCTTGGCGCCAAATGACGAACCCCAGGTATTTACCCCAGACAATGATGCTGCTTCACTTATGTTTTGTACCCTACTCACCTCCCCCAGGGCCTGGTCCCATCCCCCTACACCTCCCCACACCACCCCCCACCCCCAACACACACACAAACTGCAACTCAATCTTTCCATAAGTCAGTGGTTAGAAATAAAACAGCTGCTTGCTCCTAAAACCTCCCAAACCAGAGCTGCATTGAACTTGCTGGGCCTGTGATGGGGGTTTGTGCACTGGGTGCTGGTGCTCTTGGCTTGTGTTGGCTCATGTTAGTCACCACCACCTGTGTCTCTCTGATGTTGGGTTTTACTGTATCCTTATGATAACTTGGGTGTTAACAAAAAAGTTTTCTTTTTTTTTTTTTTTCCAAGAAATTCTCTTTTATCTTGCAGAAAGAAAAGCACTTTAGGAGGAAAACTCAAAACAACAGACGTCACTGATGGTTGAGACTCCCCTACAACTGAAACCAGTTTTTAAATGATGGCTCTCTTAAGCCAGAAGGAATTCCCAGAGGCCCTCAGGTCCAGCCTCCAGCATCCAGCTAATTGTAGCTCAGCAGCTGCATCTCGGGCTGGGCAGCAGGGAGCTGCTGCTTCCTCCTTGCAGTATACTGGGAAGTCTGTGTCACTGCAGAATGCAGGAAATAATATTTACCTTATACATTTGACAGGTTGTTAGGAAGACCTGAATAAAGTAATCTACATTGTACTACTTGAGCGCTATAAAATGAAAGAAGTTACTTAAAATCTCTAGGAGTAGGCGGGCGCAGTGGCTCATGCCTGTAATCCCAGCACTTTGGGAGGCCAACGCAGGTGGATCACTTGAGGTCAGGCATTCAAGAGCAGCCTGGTCAACATGGCAAAATCCCATTTCTATTTTAAGAAATTACAAAAAATTAGCTGTGCATGGTGGCATGTGCCTATAATTCCAGCTACTTGGGAGGGTGAGGTGGGAAGATCGCTTGAGCCTGAGAGGTGGCAGTTGCAGTGAGCCAAGATAGCGCCACTGCTCTCCAGCCTGGACAACAGAGTGAGACTCTGTCTCAAAAAATATATATAAAATAATAAAATAAAATCTCTAGGAGTAGTTAAACTTTACATCTCTTCATTACTATTTCAGCATATAGTCAACTGTGTGGAGAAAGTTTCTCCCTACTTCTAATTAGCTTCCCGTGCTGCATATCTTATCTGTCCTCTGAAGGTAGATAAAACCATGTTTGAATCCAAACTCCACCATTCTTAGCTGTGTGACTTTAGGTGAGTCGTCTAACCTCCCCAAGCACCCCATTTCCTTATATGCAAAGTGAGAATGCAATGTCTCCTTCAAAGGGCTATTATGAGGGTTGAGTGCAACAATGCAGATTAAGTACAGGGAACACTGGCATTGTTCATAAACAGTCTCGCTGCCAAAACAAAACATCAGAGTTACTCAAGATCCATTTCATCCTCTTGTTCTTCTCCAGAGTTAACACTCCTGTTGCCTCTAGCTCTTCCCAATTCTCCAATCCCTGATTTTTAAACTAGTGATTCTTGAGTTCTTTAGGGTTCTCAACGTTATTAAGAATCAGATGAAAATTTCAGACCCTCTCCACCGAAAATTTCAATGGCAAACTTTTGCATACAATTTCAGGAGGCTCAGGAACCTTTCAAAGCCCATCCATGTGCCCCTTCCCTGGTGAGGAGAGTGGACCCCAGATACGAAACTCAGTTTTGAGAATCCCCCTACGGCCCCCACCCCCTCAAAGGCAGCATCCCAGAAGCCGCCCTCTCTGCAGTTTCTGGTTCCTGCTGGCCTCCTACCCTAAGGATGCAAATTATCAGCAGGCCAAGGCATCTTGGAGGAGCCTGAGGTTTAGGAAGAAAGAATCAAGCTAAGAAGTGGACCTCAGCACAGCCTGAACCTGGCAGAACGAAGGCCCAATTACCAACTTCAGACTTTCAAAATGTCAGGTCCAGTTTATTGGAAATCTTTCTCAGCTAAGAGGCATTCACAGAACCAAGAGGAGAAGTTGAGACAGAGGCAGGAGCTACCATGGCTGGCAGATGGGAGGCATCCTGGAACTTACAACTGATGCAGGACAGGCAAGCCCCAAAGTAGGGCTTGGCCCGCCAGGGTTCTTGGCTTCACCCAGGAAAGAACTCAAGGGCAAGCCGCTGGCAGGGTAAAAGAAAACAGCTCTATTGAAGCGGCAATGTTGCAGCTCCAGTGGTGTTACTGCCCCGTGACTGCTCCAGCAGAGCAGGGCTACCCCACAGGCAGTGTGCTGAGGGTAGCAACTCAGGGCAGTTTTGCAGTCATATTTATACCCATTTTTAATGACATGTAGATTAGAGGGTGGTTTATGCATAAATTTCTAGAGAAAAGGTAGTAACTCCTGGGTCATCCGGTCATTGCCATGGAAAGGGGCAGTAATTCCCTGGTGTTGCCACGGCAATGGTAAACTGACACAGCATACTGGTGGGCGTGTCTTATGGAAAGCTGCTTCCACCCTGTCCTTGTTGTAGCTAGTCCTCAACTTGGTCCAGTGTCTGGTATTCGAGCCCTGCCTCCTGAGAAGTCCCTTGACAGTATCGCAAAGACCCCAAAGGACAGGTTTAGGAACTCTTTCAAAAACCTATTCTCCCCTGATGGAAAAAGACCTTTATGGTAAAATACACATCTCTTCTACAAACAAGCTGCTGAAAGCTGGCTATCACTATCTCCAGCCATGACCATAGAGAAACCATTCATTTGGGGGCGCTCAATTAGACATATTTTGAGTTCAGACAGAGGTCCAGATGAAAGATCCCCTAGAACAACCTAGGAGAGGTGATGGAAGTCAGACAGATGGCTGAGTTGGCATTCTACTTTTCTGGAGGTTACTTAACTTTTCTGAGCCCAAGTTTCCTCATCTAGGAAAGATGGGTAACTCCCATATCCTGCGGTTGAGTTGAGCATTAAATGAGGTGATATACGTAAAGAGCCTGGCATATAGTAAGCTCTCAGTGAATGACAGCTGCCATTATTATGGTTATTAGTGTTACTCATGGGCAAAGGGGATTGCAAAAATATTCCCATTCACTAAACATGTGTTAAAAGCCTACCTTGTATAGCAGTAACAGGCAATATGCATACAGGATCAAAGGAAGAATGAACCACATTCAGATAATTACATTCTTTATTTACCACCAATTGTTGAGATGCTATTTGTTCTTGTAGGCCTCTAAGGACCTCCCTCTTGCAGAGAACATTTAATGTGGTTACCCCGTGGTTGAGAGATTACAGCTACTTTGGGGCCAGATGAGAAATTCTATAGTTAGACTTTCGTTCATTCAGACCGGCCTTTGCCCTTGTTAATCCTAATTAATAAGAGTTTGCTATAAAGAAGGAAAACCAAATTGACTGGACACCTGTGAGCTAGAAGCTTTCACAGATACTTATTTTTGTTTTGTTTTGTTTTGAGACTCTCGCTCTGTCACCCAGGCTGGAGTGCAGTGGCATGATCTTAGCTCACTGCAACCTCTGGCTCCCGGTTCAAGCGATTCTCCTGCCTCAGCCTCCTGAGTAGCTGGGACTACAGGCACATGCCACCACACCCAGCTAATTTTTTGTATTTTTATTAGAGACGGGGTTTCACCATGTTAGCCAGGCTGGTCTCGAGCTCCTAACCTCGTGATCTGCCCACCTTGACCTCCCAAAGTGCTGGGATTATAGGCATAAACCACTGCACCCAGCCTTCACAGATATTTTATTTAAGCTTTGCAACTCTGCTAGGAAGGTATTATTACCCTCATTTATGAAATGAGAGATTTCAGCTTAAGAGAGAACACTCTTTGTTTGAGATCACAAATAGAACCTCTGGGATTTAAACACAAATCACTAGGACACACCGTTCAGCAAACTGCCTTAGCCTGTTTCCCTCAGAAAGGCCACTTAAGCCTCCACAGCCCTGGTAACAGCTGGAGAGAGTTCAGGCCATTTCAGAGACACTGTGTGAGGAGGCTGAGGGGGACAAGAGAGCAGAAGACATTTCTCCACCTCAGTGGTCCTGTTAGAGAGAAGTTGTATTGGACACTTTTAAAATGGCAAAGAAGACTTTACTCAAGACTATTACAATAAGGGTCAAGACTATTGCAATAGGAGAGAGAGGCTGAATCAACTCCAAATACAATAGGGGCCGCTGAAGATTTCTAGCTAATAGGCAGGGTGGGGGAGAGGATGGAAAATCACTAAGAGAAACTCTGTCAGGTATCAAGGGTAGAGGGGAGGAGAAACTTGATTGGCCACAAGGATGCAGGGATTCTCAGTAAACTGGCTTAGCAGGATTCTTGCCAAAACTGGAAAGAAAAAAAAAGTTCCAATAATATCAGAAAATAAAAAAAAATTAAAAATAAAATAAATAAATAAATAAAATAACTGGCCTCAACAGGCCAAAGATGGGGGCTAAGGATGAGGCCTAGACAAAAAGATGGCTTGGAGGAGCCTGACTAAAGTTTGGTCAAGGAGGGAGTTGTTGTCCTTCCAATGTGTTAGACTGCAAAAATGGCCACAGGTCTCCACTCCTCCCCGTACCCATGTCTTTTGTAATGTGACCCAAGCAATTCCCATCAAGAGCGGAAATCTCTCTGCACCCCTTGACTCTGGGCTGGCCTTACAGCTTGCTGTAACTGGTAGAAAATGGAGGGAGCAGCACAGTGTCAGTTCTGAGCCTAGATCTCAAGAAGGCCTGCTTTTGTCCACGCTTGTTCTCTCTTTCCCTCTCTCCCGCTCTCTCAGCAGCAACCAGAGGAACCGAATAGCAGATCCCAGCCCAAAGTGCTAACCTATAGAATCATGAGCTAGATAAATAGCTATTATTTTAAGCCACTAAATTTGGGGGCTGTTTGTATGAGGCAGTAGATAACTAATACATTCTAAAATGTGTCCACAAATTGAAATCATTTGAGAAGCCTTAAAACATACATTGATGGGTAGGTTTCCCCCACCCCCACCCTGCAGAGTTTCTCATTTACTCGGCCTTGTCTGCAACCTCCACCCTGGGGGTAGGGGGGTCTTAAGGTCCCCCAGGTGATCTCAATGTGTAGCCAAGGTTAAACACCACTGCCTTAGCTCCCCTGGCCTGGGCCATCCTGAAGCAACCCAGTTGGACTCTCCAGCTGTGCAGAGGATTTGCAGGAGGTACACAGGTCAGTTACAACGTGAGCTATTATCAGATGCAAGGGCCCATGGATCAAAGTCAGTGTTTCTCAAATTTTAATGTGCATCCTGATCACCTGAGGCTCTTGTTAAATTAAGATTCTGATTCAGTCGATCTGGGGTAAGGCTTGAGATCTTGCATTTGTAACACACTCTCAGGGGATGCTGAGGCTGTGGACTCTACTTTGCTTGGTCTATGAGATCTTCTTTACACTCACTCCTTCCAAACACCCTTTGTAGGCTTGGCAGCTGCCTCTTAGCTGAACTTTCTCAGATGTACTGTTGTAGCCTAGAGGAGAATAATCTCCAAAAAGTTGCCTAGCCTTGGGGTGGGCTGCTCAGCAGCCTCTTGGAGGGGCACATAGACAGGGCCTAGGGCTCTTCTTGGCTATTTTATACTCCCATGGAATTGATTCTAGAACAGGGGCTTCTGACAAATCTAAAGAAGAGTACTGTATTGGTTTGCAAGGGCTGCCATAATGAAATACCACAGACTGAGGGGCATAAACAACAGAGTTATTTTCTCACAGTTCAGAAGGCTAGAAGGGCAAGGTCAAAGTACCAGCAGGGTTGGTTTCTCCTGAGGCCTCCTCCTTGGGTTGCAGATGACTGAATTCTCATTGTGTCCTCCCATGGTCACACTTCTGTGTGTGTCTGTGTCCTAATCTCCTCTTCTTACAAGGACGCCAGTTATATTTGACTAGGGCCCACACTAGTGACCTCATTTGAACTTAATTACCTCTTTAAAGACCACATCTCCAACCAAATACAGTCATGTTCTGTGGCACTGAGGGTTAGGATTTCAACATATGGGCCGGGCATGGTGGCTTACGCCTGTAATCCCAGCACTTTGGGAGGCCGAGGTGGGCGGATCACCTGAGGTCAGCAGTTTGAGGATTTCAACATATGAACTTTGAGGAGATACAATTTAACCCATAACAGGTATGCACTTCCCATTCTTCCCGTGTGGAACTAGCAGCAGGACCAATCTTACCAGTTGCAGTCCTGCCTGGCAAAGCTATGGGTGGGAGGTAGCTTGCAAGGCTGTGAAGCACTTTCAAAGGCAGAAGGACCAGTACAATAAAGCTACATTTGAAAATGAAGAATAAGCTAGTGTGGCCAGAATGTATACAGAACACCTGAAGTAAAATAGGATTTTATCTCCAAAGCAACCATGCCATAGCCTGAATCCAGAGTGTTCTAGGCAGACCAAAAGCATGGAATAAAAATTGATTCGGACTGAGGAAATGGTAAAGAGATACTCACAAAACACCCAAGACCACACCACGGAGCCACAGAATCATTTGGAACAGGACTCCTGGGAACAAAATGCTGCCAAAACTTAAGGAGGAAAGTGGGGAAATTCTCTGAGTGCCAATGCAGCACCTTTGTCATCTTACCTTCTTACTGCTTTGTCATCTTACCTTCTTACTGACCTAGTTAACCTCCTTTCCTCACTTGAAACATGAAGTTAAATCCACTGCCTCAAAGGGTTACTATGAAGATTAAATCACAAAATGTATGTGATGGAACCAGGCTTATTGATGTGCAAATGTGTCAACATTCCCAGCCTCCATCCAACTTTCTCCACTTTCCTAACCCTCATCATACCCTGTCTGAAGAATTTTGCTCAGCTTTTCCTCACCCCTGGTCTTTCAGGGGAGTTCTATCTCTGCCCCATTATCTGGCTTTTTGTGGTACAAATTGGGAAGGATGAAGGGAGAGAGAGAAGCAGGAGAGAGGGAGAAGGCAGAGAGACAAGGTTCTTGTCTTTTTTTTTTTTTTTTTTTTTTTTTTTGAGATGGAGTTTTGCTCTTGTTGGCTAGGCTAGAGTGCAATGACACGGTCTCAGTTCACTGCAACCTCCGCCTCCTGGGTTCAAGTGATTCTCCTGCCTCAGCCTCCCAAGTAGCTGGGATTACAGGTGCCTGCCACTACGCCTGGCTAATTTTTGTATTTTTAGTAGAGACAGGGTTTCACCATGTTGTCCAGGCTGGTTTCGAACTCCTGACCTCAGATGATCCACCTGCCTCAGCCTCCCCAAGTGCTGGGATTACAGGCATGAGCCACTGCACCTGGCCAAAATATTTTAAGAGAAAAATCTGAAGCCACCAGGAGTGGGGTTCAAACCCACACAGACATATGTCCATTGGCTCTTAAGTCCAGTGCCTTTAACTACTTGGCCATCCTGGTACAGGTGGTTCTTGCCTATTGAGTCAGTCCCCGGGACAGCCCTTTGGTATGGACAGTCACATAATTAGCAAACAGAGGAGAAACTAAAGCTGATGCCAGAGGCTTTAAGTCTGTCCGCCTGGTAAAGATCTCAGGGACAGGAGATGCAAGGAAGAAAAGAAAACAGCAGCAAAAACACTAAAGCTAAATGCCAGGGAGCACTGTGGAGTAATTGCCAAGTAAGAGGTTCTGAAGTAGGCTGCAGAGTGTGGGAGACCAAAGAAGGAAAGGCAATGTTGAGAGATCTACTGCAAGGCTTGAATTCAATCATTTTAATGTTCTTTGAGAGATGGCAGTAAAGACTGAAATTTCTGCTTAATTACTTTTGGTTGTTAGAATTTGTTTCTTAAAACATGACTCAATGCAAGAGGCTGGTATGCATGAGACCCTGGGTTTTGTTGGAGGGAGGTGTATTATCTCTGTATCTAATCTCCCTTTGCAGAGTCTCTTCTTTTGCACTTAGTAGCTACTTAATAAATGGTAGATTACCATTGTTATTATTATTATCATTAGCCACCAACCTCATGCTCTGGGGCTGAGATTCACATTCTTCTCAGACATAACTTGATGTTTTGGAAATCCTCCCTCCTGCCATCTCCTGAAAGACTCACCCTACAGACAGTTGGTTTTAGAATGACTGGAAGAAAAACTGGTTTGACCGCGTTAAAGCGAAACAGGCAGGAAGCCATTAGCATGGGGTTGTTTCTGTACCCAAAACCTTCTTACAAGCAGACTAAAACTTAACTTAGAGGCCTTCCTTATAACTGAGTAATTCTGAATTGCGCTTCAGCCAATCACAGATGGTCAACCAACCGACTGGTTATATAACTAGGGGATCTCCCATTCGACCATACCCAGGTAAGGCAAATGCTGCTATAACCAATCAAGTCATTTCTTTATTTCTGCATTCAGCTTATAAAACCTCGCTGCCGTGATGCTGGAGCAGAGTTCTCTGAACCTCATCCAGTTTTGAATGCTGCCTGACTCACGAATCCTGTAATGCTCAAATAAACTGTTAAATGTATCTTGTCTAAAGTTTTTATTTTAACAGCTGGTTACCACTTGTCTCAGCCTCCTGAAGAATCCCAACAACAGGCTCTATTCCAGAGACTTTCGAATCCAAGGCAAAGATATCTCTACTCTAACCCATAGACTCCTGGGCACAGTAGAGTCATTGGAGAATCCACAAATCCACTGGCTCTTTAAACCTTGCCTATGTGCTGAAAAAATATTTTAGCCAATGTACAAGCTATTTTTGAAATGTATGTACTGCTACTAGAGTCAGAGTACTTTCTGTCATTTTCTATCTTCTTAATATATACTTTTATACAATTGCATTGTGTTAAAAAGAGACCCAAAATATTCTTCATGTAAAAAGTGTTCTGATAAACAAACAAAAAATGCTAGTAATCTCTGATATAGAGAATCTAATCTCTGATATAGAGAATCTACAGAGATTCTCTAGGCTGTGGAACTCTCCAGCCCTCACGTGGTAAATAGCAATTGAGTTTGTACTTTGAGTTGTTTAATAACAGCACCTTGAGCCTAAGTGATACAGTATAATAATGATAGCCTGAGGGAAGAAGGCATCTCTGATTAATCACTACCTCACAACCAGCTCTGGGCACTCTCACAGAGCTGGCTTCATTCTGGATCCAGCTTTACTACTTATTTAGTGTAGCCTTAGACAATTGATGTCTCCACTGAGGATCTCAGTGTCCCCAGCTGAACAATGAGACGGTGTGGTTACATGTTCTCAGAATTAAGCTATTAAGCATGGACAGGGCTTGGGAGGACAGTGGCATTTTTCTGGCCTCCAGCTTACAAGGAAAGCACTCTGAATGAAAGGTGTGGACAAATGCAAGACAGTGACCCAGCCCTGACCTGAGGCTATCCACTGAGGGGCCAGTAAGGGAGCAGACAGTAGAATAAGGAGGACTTCCTGGGAGAAATGTCTCAGATCTTAGAGCAATTGTTTACCTAGAAGCGTAAGAGAACAACACATGCTGTGCCAGACTCCCAGGCAGGCTTAGATTACATAGGATGCATACAAGGTTTTCAAGTTTCACCCCAAAAGCCACATTAGTAAAGACTCCTTTTGCTTTTTCCATTATGCAAATCATCTTAGCATCTATTGATTGCATCTGCATGTGAAGAGGGACACTGGGTTTGTAACTAATGTATTTGCATGTGCATTTTAATTAATCCGCTTGCAGGAGGGAGGTGATTAGAGGGGTAGATATGGAAATATTGCTCTCTGTGGCTAATAGAATTTGGCACCTCTGGAGTGCTGTCTGACGAGTGGAATTATTGCAGGCAGGTGGGAGCTGGAGCATGCCCTTCCTGACATGCCCACAGATAATTCACGCTGTGGCCACCATGCACTGTCTCGCCAGCCTGAGGAAGGCAGAGAAATGCAGAGAGCAGGAGAGTTCTTGGATAGACAGATTCTGGTGGTCTGCCCAGGTCTGCATGAAGAACAGCTACTTTATGTTTACATCATTATGTTCTTACATCCATGTGGCTTGGCAGAAGCCATCAGAAAGCTATCACATTATGTCTCTGTGTTGGCAATGCAACTCCTAGGCTTGCCTAGTCAGAAGAAAGCCTCACAGCTGTTTAACTATCTTCTCTGCTCTTTGAAGCTAACATTAATATTATGCCTAATTTGCATCCAACATTTAAATGTACTCATTAAGCTATAAAAGCCACAGCACCTCTTGACAGCCCATTCTCTGATGAAGACTGCAGTCTTGTCAGAGGAATACGGAATATTCCCAGAATTTCTAGAATATAACTTCCCAAAACACATTTTACCCAAATACAAGGTTTTCGTATTAAAAAGGACGAAGTGACTTCTCTCCTGACTGTCTTCAGGGAGATACTGGGGAAGGGCACAGTAGCAGGGGAACCCTAGGGGCTGCCGTAATTAACTGTTGTGGAAAAAGAGTCAGAGTTCTGAAATGCCTTTGTCTGTTTGTTTGTTTGTTGTTGTTGTTGTTGTTGTTTTATCATTTACTCAAGATTCACGTGCAGAAAGAAATGAGTAGGACTGACAGCCAGCTTGAAGCCAGGAACTAAGCTTCAGTTCTTACAGCATCAGTTGCATGAATTCCCTTTTTCCTATGGGAACAACTTAAGATTCCCCACATATGTACTTTTCCAGTCATTGCGTTGGGCTCAATAGGTGAGTCAGGCCTTGTGCTCCAAGTAAACAAGCTCCAAAAGATAGCTAATATACATTTGGTACACCTGGTATGATAGTAAACAAGGCAAAACATGTACTTGGAAAGAGATTCAAATCTACGTGTTTAAAACACAGGGAAGTCTTAGATACAATGTAAAGAATGCAACTGAAAGGAAATTCATAAATAGATGAGAGACAGAGAAGTTTGAAAAGAAAGAAGGTGCCAGTATTTGTTCAGAAGAACAAAGAGGGAGTTTGACATTGAGAGAACAAAACGTTATAGATATTTGTTACTTGAGTTATTGACTTTTAGAATATGTGGCACAAAATTCTGTTGGCTGAGGAGAAGGTTGGTTTCCCTCACCATTACCCAAAGTAGAGCTTCATTCCAGCTTGGAGTCATCAGCCTATGCATCAAGACATCCCCCAGAAACAGATAGGGTGGTCCTGCCTGGAGAAACTCATGGTTCTCTCCTTGGACTTTGAATTCTAGATGGAAGTTTAGGGAGCCCTGCACAGAGAAGGCTGCTGAGAGATCAAATCCTAGCTGGAGAATCCAGGGCTCTGTCCTTGGTCGTCATCTCTAGTCAACCCACACTGAATCCCATGGGCATCTCCTTCATCCTCCCAGCTTGAAATCCCATCTCTATCCTATGTCTCCAAATGTATGGCCCTAGCCCAGGTCATTCTCCTGAGCTCCAGACTCAAGGGCTTCAGTGCTTGTACTGGAGGAGGCTAAGGCAAAGTGGGGTGACTTCAGACAAGAGCATAGGTGCCAAAGTAGAAAATCCCAAGGCATGTTTGCAGGAGGGTGAGTGCCTAGTGTGGCTAAAATTGAGGCCACACACAGGAAAATGGTGGGAAACATGGGAACAACAGGGTCACAGCACACAAAGCCTTCTTTCAGGGGGCCATTGGGAAACACAGCTGCATCTGGATGAGTGTTACAATCAGAGCTATATTTTACACCAATTAACCTGGTAGCAACCAGTAATATGGGTTCAAAGGAACTGAGGAAAGGGGCCAAGAGACTGGATCAGAGGCCAGAAGCAGGATGGTAGCAGAGGTGAGGAGAGAGGAGGTTGGATGTGAGAAACACTTTGTTCTGTTCCTCACAGACTCCCAGCTCCCCCTGCCTCAGGGCGTGAGCACCCAGTTTCCTCTGCTGGAGCCTCCCACCCAGGCTGCCTGCTGTCTCACACGTTCCTGTCCTCATGGTCTCTGTCATGACTTCCAAAGGCTAGTCCAGGCCCCAGCTTCACACTCTCCTTCACCGTACTTCTCGCCACTGCGTTGGCCACTGATGTGTGAGACTGGGAGTGTGACTATCCCTCTGGCCACACTCTCTCTCCACTCCACTGCTCTGCTCCCAGAAGCTTCCAGCCACTCCCAGCATGGCCCAGCAAGGCAGGCAGAGCTCCCAGGCCATCTCCAACAGCTCCAATGCATTCTCTCCTTGCTATTTTCAAAGGCAAATGGTCCAGAGGTTCATTAGATGCCTCTACTCAGTTGGAGAGGTGGTGACCTGTTCAGGAATATGGGGACATGGTGGACAGATTAAAAACCGGGAGCTTGTGCGTGCCACCTGCCCTCACTCATCTGTCTCCTCATTGTCTCTCGGGAAGCTCATCACTTCCTAAGCCACGATCTGCCACAATCCTCAGCAGGCTTTCAGAAGTATTTATCATGCTTCCAAAGTGATTGACTTCTGATGAGAGGTTCGGGAGCTCAGGAAAATGCTCCTGGCTTACAGTGTATTGTGAGTAAAAGAAAAGAAATAACAGGTACTCTTCAAGTGTGGGAGCTGGAAAAGATTCTAATTAAATGTCAGGGCTGGAGTTTAACCCACTTGAATTTGGTGTTTCTATTCTGGAGTCGTTGAGTTTCTCATTCGTAAACCTGGGCTCTGAAGCACCCAACCACAGATATCAAAATCATCCTTGTCATGTCCAGAGGAGACAAAAAAAGAGATCAGAGGTGAAGGGCTCATTTGTTGAGGTGGGATTGAAAGGGGACATGTTTTGAATTCCATCTTGGAGGAAGGTGGCTCTGAAGCAGAGACCACCATGGCTGAGGCGGGGGCTGGAGACGGATCTGTCCCTGGCATCACATACTCAGGAGAGCTGGCCTCACCTGGCCTCAGCACCCACCAAGACCCAGCTCTTGTAGTGTCCCATTCCCATACCTGTCCCAGAGACAAAGCCTAATTGAGGGCCCCATGGAGAGAGCCGGTGCCATATCAGAGCTTTACCAACGTGCTCTGGCGGGAAAGGCTGGCAGATGGGGGGCTCCGAGCCTGCACACATGTGGAGCCACAGGTCCTAGCCTCTCAGATGCCACAGTCACTGGCGCGGGACTCTGGGGTCCTGCTCTCCTGCTACTTGTCCCCAGGACCCCTCATTATCGCTACCATTATGAGGAAAGCAGGAGGGGGTCCCCTTACTGCCCCACCAAGCCAACCGTATTCTCTAGAAGAGCAGGGCTTGCGATCATAATGATAATCTCCATCCACATGTGTTCCCTGCTGAACAGTTTTCAAAGTGCTGCTTTTCCAAGCATTAGAAGGAATAAGTTCCTCCTTATGCTCACTCCAGCCTTGTGAGTACACGACTCTATATTCCTGTTGTGCAGCTAAGGAAATGGACTCCCAGAGGTGACCTGCCTTGCCTAAGTTCAAACCACAAAAACTGGCAGAGAAGGACTTCTCCTCCAGTGCTCTCTTTTCCACCAAGCCTCCAGAGCTGTACGACAGAGTGGGGGACCCGGATTCTCCCTGCAGGTGGAAAAACCAGCTGTGCACACTGGGCTTAATACCAAGAACTGCTCACCAGATCTGCAAATTCCTTTTCCTCCCCGGGAAGCCCAGACTGTGTGGGGGCTTAGAAACCAAGTCGAGAGATGTAAAGAAACCCAGGCAATGAGGTCTTAAAAAATAAATCCTTATTTTAAATATCCATTTAAACAAATGGATGCTAAGTATCTTTCTATTTTTTTTTTTTTTTTTTTTTCCTCTTGCCATCCACAGGTGCAAGAGGAGGGGCGGGGATGAGGGGAGGAGGGAGGAGGACAAGAATGAATGAAAGGCAAACAAATTCCCCCACTCCAGGCAGCAGCATAAACCACTTATTATTAACAGAGGCCCCAAGAGAGTCTTGTTTTTAATGTAATTTGGATTAAGCAGAGAAGGAACACGGGCTCCCACACACACCTTGGCATGATTAAATCAGCTACAAAGGCTGCTAGCCTCCCCTCCCCCGAGGGCTATCACTGGGGCTGGAAATAATTCCAGCTTCTAGACAAGGGATTTGGAGTCCAGGCCATCTCTGTGCCCCAAGGAAGTCCAGCACATACACGCTTGGACAGGGCCAGATAATGCCACCCTCCAAGCAGACCAGCAATCACCTGTCATCTCACTACCCAGGGATTCAACCTCAAAATTGGTTTTCTGTGTTCTCTGAAGACAATGAAGAGCACTTACCCAGAAATCAGCAAGCTTGCCATCAGGTCCTAGCTCTGTCACTCCACTAACAGGGTGAAATGACATTCCTTCTCTCTGAAAAGCTGGCCTGCAAGGGCACTAAAGCCTCACTCAATGCTGGCATTTCATGAGATAAAAAGTGTGCTTTTTCAAGTCCTGCTGTGCAATGTTTTATTCCCACCCTCCCACCCCAAGGACCCACAGAGTGTCCACCACTGAAAGATATCTTTAAAATGTTTATTAAATTAATAAAGAAAGGAACTTCCCCTTTTATCCTGTAAGCTCAGCAGAAGATTTTTGTGTCTGAGCTCTATCACATTTCTTCTTCAGAGTTCTCTGTGGATATGGAAGATCCTAGCTATTGAACTATCCAGTCCCAGAGGAGGGACTGACATGCCAGGTTAGAAAAAGGGTAAATCTATAGCTTGCATTTATATATACTCAGGGGGTAGTGCTTAAAATACTTAAAAACTGGTATGGCAACGATAAATCAGGACAGATGCCTGTTTTGGCATCCAGTACTGCCTCACCAGGGATCTGTGAGTATAGGGAACAGCAGGCATGCATTTATACATGCTGGGTGCTTGGTCTTTGGGCTACTGTGAAGCGTCTTAGAATACATTGCTGTCAAGCTGGCAAACCCCTAGAAAATAGGTTTGAATGTTGTCATTATCCGGAGATATCTCTGTGTCTCTCACTGTGCTTGACTGTATTACTGCTCAGCAAATGTTCATTCTTTTAAGCCCCCAACCCCCTGGGAAGAGGTGCCTCCCACACATCAGATATTGAGTTTGACCATGCCACTTGCTTTGGCCAATGGAATGTGAGTAGATACAGAATACAGACCCAAAGCTTCTAGAAGGGCTGTATGATTATGGTAGACCTCTTGACAGTCTGCTCTCTACCATAAAAAATATATATATATACTCCTTCAGCATAGTCCTGGAATGAGAACATACATAAAGCAGGCATGAACTTGACTCTCAGCCCAATACCAAGTATAGCCAGGCCCAGCAGAATGACAGCTGACCTGCAGAGCATAAGTAAAAACTGTATGTTAATTGCTATGAACCATGAGGTTTAGAGATTGTTATCATAGCAAAAACCAACTCATATACTCACTTCCTTGATCCTTGGCAGGTCCATTCAAATGTGATCCAAATGTTATCATTCAGGTATCATGAAGTAAAGACATGGATGAGCTTTAGAGGCAGGTAGACCTGAGTGCTAATCCCAGTTCTGACATATACTAGATGTGTGATGTTAGGAAAGCTACTTTAGTCCTCGGAACCTCAATTTCTTCTTCTATAAAATGAGAGTGATGGAAAGCACCTCATAGGATTTTTATTAGCAGTATTATGAAAAATGTACACATGTGTATTTGGGGGACCTTTCCCTTATGTCTCTGAGCCTCAAGGTTGCCAACTGTTAAAAAAAAATAATAAAATGTAGCTATAAAGCTACACAGTCTCTAAGTTTCCCCCTTGCTCTAACAATTTCTGAGTCCAAGTGCATACACATTTGCTCATTCATTCATTCATTCACTTGCTCAACAGCTATACTTTGGGCAGCCTTTCTATGTAAGCACTGTGTTAATGCCATGGGAACACAACACTAAAGACCAACAGGTTCCCTGGCCTCATGGAACCCACCTGTACATCTCCTACCTCCAGCAAAACTCACCACCAAAGCTAAGAGCTTACACATTAGTGAAGGACGCAGGCATCCAGTATCTACTTGGCTTTCAATGTATGTATAGAGGGCTGCTGGAGCATGTAACAGGGAACCTGACTTGGTGTGGAGGCAGGGTAAGTGTCTCCAAAGAAGGAAATTAGAGACAAGCACTGAATGATGAAGAAATTAGCCAGGGCCAGGGCAGTTGAAGGAAGAGGGGTCCAGGCAGAAGGAATAGCATGTTCAAAATCCAGCCTGGTTGAAGAGTAAGTAAAGGGAGTATTGTCTTGAGAGAGAAGAGGAGGAGACAGATCATATAGGTGCATTGCAAGCCATGTCAAAACTTTGGACTTTCATCCTAAAAAAAAAATCAGGGGCCTTGAGGATTTGAAGACAAAGAGAGATAAGATCAGGCTTGCCATTTGCAAAGGTCACTCTGACACACCTAAAACAAAGTGATTCAAAAAGGGTGGAAGTGAAAGCATAGACCAGTTCCAGCTAAACATGAGCTTTAACATATTTACCTCTGTTTCCTCCCAGATGTGACTAAAAAGGTGACAGTAAAAGGATGAAAAAAGGCATAAAACTACAACAAAGAGAATGGGAGACGAGATAAAAGTATGCAAGAGATGTAAACAAAATTTTCAAATTTGGGAGGAAAATGGAAAGAGCACAAATAAGTTTTGCAGACTAAAAAGAGCTGGGCCTAACTGCCTGCATGAGTAGACTGGAGAAGGCGAGAAGCAAAATCTCAGAAGTCATCACTAAAGAACTTATCCGTGTAACCAAACACCACCTTTTCCCCAAAAACTATTGAAATAAAAAATAAATTTAAAAAAAATTTCAGAGATGATAATTCTCAAAATTTGATTCTCCACACACCCTTTCCACCCTTTCTCAGAAAGCCACGGGAAGATAGCTCCGCCAAAACAAGAGGAAACAAAGAGAAAGCTCTGGGATCCAGAGGACACAGGAGTCAACAAATAAGAGAGCACAGGAGGTGCCTAGGGGAGTGAACAGAGCTCCCAGAGTGAGTCTGTACAACAGAATAAGAAGGTGGCCCGTCTGGATTGGAGCAAAAGGCAGGGCCTCCAAAAGAATATCTTACTGGAGTTTTTTAATATCCCGAGAAAAGAATTATACTTTTGCCAGAGAGTTGGGGTAAATTAATGATAAATACAGAGAAACTAGGCAAATGAAAACCAGAAAAAAAAGGAAAGAAAAGAAAAAACAAAGTTAGTAGTAACAAAATAGAAAAACAGAAAATTATACCTAAAAGGAATTCTAACTATGATTCAGCACATGGCTTAACTATAAATAACATTCATATAATCATAATAATATAAACAATGAATAATTATTTAATCCAACAAACTGTGATGTAGCTATATTAGAAATGAGAGAGGAAGTGGGAAGGAACAGAGTGAAAGAGCCAAGTCCACATTTTTTATTACGGAAACTCTATAAATAATATGCAACACTTTAAAACATTAAGAAAAAGCAATGCGAATGTGTTGTTTAGAAATTAAGAGAAAAATGCCCAAAAAACTAAAGAAATTCAAAGTGGTTGCTTTGTCTGAAACTGAGGCTGGAGAGGACTGGGGAATTTTGCTTTTCAGTATTTTAAAATATAAATCTCTTAGGATGTTTGACATTTATGGCTGTACATTTATATTTATACACATGTGTTAGTAATAAAAACAAAAACTAAGTGAAAGGGAAAAAAAACAACACAGTAAGTAGCTACACAGAGGAGCTTATGAATAGATACCTACAAGACAAATGGCTAAAACAGGGGAATGTTAAAGAAGGGGTATTTGCGGTTTGGAATGAGTTTTGCAGTGACGTTATTACACATACATGGATACAAAAATTGTGGTATCTCAACTTTTTGAAGGAAGTGAAGATGATGTGTTTTGGAAAATTGGGATAAATGACTCAGAATATTACCTCTAATGATGGGGAAGAAAACACTAATGTTGAAAATGCATGAAAAGAGTTTAAATGAAAAGATTTCATGAAATGATGAGGGTGGGGGAAACTGCATTTCTAAGTTCACATGTGATTTTATATAATATATGACTTTAATAATGCATATGTAAGTGAACTAATTGATAAGCTAACTTTAAGTTGGAAAAATATGAGATGGAAATACACAGGAATATGAAGGAAAAGCAGGGTCAAAAACACACCATGCAAATGCATGTTTGAAGCTGAAATGCAGGGTAAAAAGTGTTAATCAAACCAAACAAAAAAGTGCCTTATGTAAAAGGTACAGTTCACATTGAAGGTCTAACATCCTTGAATATCTGTTCAATAATAATGTAACATCTCAATTCATAAAATAAAAACTAAAAATATTAATGAGAAATGGACACACATTTGTTGACTAATACCCACTATTGGCAAGGGTGTGGAACAACAGACACTCACATTTTAGGGTTGACAGAGTAGGCATTCTATGAAGGGCAATTTAAAGTGTTTCTCTAATGTACCAGAATACAAATCTTTGGCCCAGAAAGTCTGTTTCTATAAATTTATCCTTCAGGATAGACTTGTACATTGTGAAAGGCCATTGCAAAAAACATTTATTACAGCATTGTTTATAATGAAAAAACGTTGAAAACAGTCTAAATCCTCTCTACTCAAAGGGTGGTCAAGAAACCAGAAGCACCAGCATCACATGAGAACTTGTCAAAAATGCAAACTCTTGGGTCCTACCCTACAGAATCAGCCTCTACGTTTCTTTTTTTTTTTTTTTTTAAGTTCTGGGATACACGTGCAGAACGTGCAGGTTTGTTACACAGGTACATATGTGCCATGGTGGTTTGCTGTGCCTATCAACCAGTCATCTAGGTTTTAAGCCCCACATGAATTAGGTATTTGTCTTAATGCTCTCTCTTGCCTTGCTGCACACCCCCCGACAGGCCACAGTGTGTGATGTCCCCCTCCCTGTGTCCATTTGTTCTCCTATTCTTGCCCCAATTAAGTCAGTGTTTTTCCTCCTTCTCATTCCCTGGTGATCGTGGTTGGCACTGATCATTTTCACCTCACTCAGCTCCTGGAGGAGGTAGTTAAAGAAAGGAACTGGGAAAGAAGTTACTCCATAGTCCCTAGGTCCCACTAAAAAATAAATAAATAAATAAATAAATAAATAAATAAATAAATAAATAAATATGCAGCCCAAAGCAGCCCTTACCTTGTCCATATTTCACAGCTTTGTCTGATCTGATGCCCACATAGGACATAGACATGGAATGATCTAATAGGTCAGAGTCCTCCCCAAACTCTCTCTCTCTCAAACATATATGCTCACACACACACACACACACACACACACACACACACACTTTGTGACATTTTCCATCCCTTCCCACCACCATTTATTCCCAGACTAATAGGTATCAGTGCCTCCCCACACCCAGACACAACATATACACACAGGAGGCACAGCAGCCCTGCCAGGTCCCCATAGAGGGCTGGATGTCAAAGTCAGCATTTGTCACTTGCAATTATCTTCTCCTGGGTCAATAAAATAACAATCATTTTGTAAATGACCAGGAGCTAACAGCCCCTAAGAGCTGGCTCAGAGGCAAGTATTAATTACGCTCCAGGGCCCAAGTCTCTTCCCACAGGGCTCAGCGCTGAGCCCTGAGTCCTGGGAGCAGCCCCCTTCAGACAGTAGGAGGGAGGAAGGAGAGTAAAGAGTGATTAATGGCACAATTTACTTCTTCTTTTAGCCAAATGATTGACAGGAGGGAAAGGTAAAGTGACCCAGCTCTCCCATGCAGGCCTAGCAATCGATCCCACAGGCCAATCTCTGCCTGCACCCCGGAAGCCTACGCCTTGTTATGAGTGATGAGGAATTAAATATTGGGAGACTGAGAAAGTGATTTCACATAACCTTTTAGTCCGGCATAATGTTCCAATTATCTGTTGCTGTGTAACAAACCACTCCAAACTAAGTGGCCTGATTTTATTATGCTCACAGCTTCTATGGATCAAGAATTTGGACAGGGGACAAGATGAAAAGTTTACCTCTTCTCCATAATGCCTGGCATGAGAAATTCAAACAGCTGGGGGCAATGTGAACAGCTGGGGGTTGAATCATCTGGAGGCTTCTTCACACTCATGTCTGGGACCTGGGCTGGGATGACTTGAAGGTTGGGCCCAGCTAGGACTGTTGCCCTGGTACCTACATGTGGTTTCTCCATCCGGCTTGGACTCCCCATAACATGTTAACTGGGGTCCAAGAGGGAGCATCCCCAGAGAACGCACCCAGAGGGTAAAAGTTCCAAGACAGCCAGGCAGAAGCTGCATGCCCTTTCATGACCTACTCTCAGGTCTTCACTTCCTCTGTATTCCATTGGCCAAAGCAGTAACAACCCCATACAAATTCAGACAGAAGGGGACATAGATGCCTCCTTTTAATGACAGTAGTGTCTAAGAATTTGAGGCTTTCATTTTTTAAATCATGGAACATGGGATCCTTTAAAATGGGGCCCTTCTAGAACAGCTGTGTGAATTAGCTGAGACTAAAGAAATAAGGCAAGGAGCTAAAATATAAACCAAAGTTTTTAAAAGATTGAATCAGCCTAACCTTTCCTTGAAGCAATCAGACCTTGATCTAAGCCCCCTCCATCTGTAAAAGGGAATAATAGCCCTTTCTCTACCTACCTAGGAGTAGGAATACATTGAAGCAAGTTAGAAATTCAGTCTAAGGCCAGCTCACCAGTGGAGTTCAAGCAAGCATGCTGGGCTCTGGTAGAGTCAACATGGCAGTGTGCAGCCTGGCTTTGCAGTATTAGACCAAATAAAGAAATAGATGAAGGCAAGCTGATCTGGTTTTTGGGGGTGGGGCCTTCAGACCCAACCACCACCACCATCTTCCCTATAACTCTTGTCTCTGCCATTTGGTTAGCAACTATTCTTTCAGATTGCTCTTTCCATTTTGACTAGCTCTCATTTAGAAGCTTTTGGACCACCCCACCTTTCACCTGGCCCATGGCAGAGTCAGAGAGCCTTCTGTACTTTTTTTTTTTTTTTTTTTTTTTGAGACTCTGTCTCTCTCTGTTACCCAGGCTGGAGCACGGTAGTATGATATTGGCTCACTGCAACCTCCACCTCCCTGGTTCAAGCAATTCTCCTACCTCAGCCTCCCAAATAGCTGGGATTACAGGCGCCCACCACCATGCCTGGTTAATTTTTGTATTTTTAGTAGAGATGGGGTTTCACCATGTTGGCCAGGCTGGTCTCCAACTCCTGACCTCAGTTGATCCACCTGCCTCAGCCTCCCAAAGTGCTGGGATTACAGGTGTGAGCCACCGCGCCTGGCCCTTCCGTACTTTCATATCCACAGTGAATGCCAGCACTGAGCATTTTGGTTACTGTATTGCTTGTGACTCAACTAGGCCAGATGCTCCTCAGCAACAGGGATTGGTTCCTCACGGTGCACACAGCCCAGTACTTTTAAATATTTGTGTAATTTAGTGCACAAAACAAAAGATGTTTCTTTTTGGTCCAAGCTCCACTCTCAGGGAATATCCAGCATAAGCCTGACTCTTCTCCCGCTAAATGGGCCTTTGGGGAATGCACTTTCACGTCAGGCTAGCCAGTCCCTGTTCCTGAAACCCTGGCTTCAAGTCCTCTTCCCTCCTGATCTACCCCTACTTCAACCTACACAGCCATCCCATGCACTTGTTTCCACATAGTCCACTTGGGATCTCATTCATGTCTTGCCACACTCCAGATTCCCTCTACATGCAGCATTCCCATGGCCAACACCCCTAGTGACCTTAGCCCTCAACTAAAGCTGGACTAGGAAGCGTGATGCCATAGCAAGATGGATGAAGGGGAAACAGAAGACAATGATTACCTCTGGGACCTTGGATAAGTCACTTTGGCCCTTGGGACTCAACTTCCTAATCAAGAGCCCTTCTAGCTCTAAGGTTGAGTGAAGCCAATAAATATGAGACCTTCCCTCCATGTAACAAACTGTTATCATATGCAACATGCCAGGCTCTGGGCTGGGAGCTGAGACCTCATGGCAAACCAGAGACAGTTCATATAGGGAGAAGCATCCCATACCCCTTCCCACACTCCTGCCAGCCCATGAAATAGGAGCTGATACCTGCTTATAACTACTAAACAGAGACTGCTACTTCCTCTTCACTTTCCCTCACTTTTTCTGCCCTCAAAAAAAAGAGTGGCTATCCAATCATTTTGAGATTGGAAAAAGGGTTAAGCAGATATGTGATGGCCACATTTTGACTCACTTTTTTGGAATCGCCTGCTGGAGTCCAGACACATCCTTCCTTCCCATTTAGTAACGCCTCTGAGGCAGACTTTGCCCTGCACCTGAGGCCTGCAGTTTTCCTGCTGTGCTGCTCTGTCTAGGAGTCTAAACTCAATCCGGGAGGAAAGGAGTAGGAATCTCATTTTGTCTTTGGACCAAAGTCACTCTCTCCAACATAGTTCTATTAATAATAAAACTGGCATGGCACGGTGGCCCTATCCAACTCTGTGCTTATCTCCCAACTCAAAACTCACAGCTAGATGGCATGATTCATTATCATCTCCTCTTCCCCCTCAATTCCCAAAGCCTTCATTCTCATGGCAGGAAAGCCAGACCAGCCAAGGCAGCTGTAATCCAGCATAACCAATGTGCTGTTAGGGATCAGCCCACGCTGCTGTGAGAACACAGAAGGCTCACCCAGCCCAGTCCGGCAGGTCAGAGAAGGCTTCCTGGAGAAGCAGAGGTCCAAGAAACAAGACAGGGAGCAGGAGCTCAGCAGGTGACAAGGGGGCAGGGACTGTACCCAGAAGATGTGCATGGGATGGATGCATGGTGCCCACTCTGGATGGGTGCTCAAAAGAAACAGCAAGTGCTGCATCTGCTTGTAGGGTAGAGACAGGATCTGACGAGGGCAAGGCTGGGCACAGAGAGCCCATTCAGAAGCCACCACAATCACCTAGGTGGGAGCCGATGGTGGTGTGGACTCAGGCAATGATCATATGGAGGGAGAGCTGGGGAAGAAGTTGACACATAATCAGGAGGTTAATTTATGAGACTTGGTGACTGACATGCTGAAAAGGTGAGGGAGCAAGTGGAGCTGAACCACAGTGGGGTGGCAGGGCACATTTCTCCTTGAGCATCTGGCCGTCAGCCAGGCACCTCTGCGGGCAGCCTGTAGGGACCCAGGGATGCTCCACCCCTCAGCCACTACCTGTTTCTGGCTTGAGTCTGCTCTTCCTGTTCTGGCTGGGGCTGAGAAGGGAAAAGGGGGGAGAGAGGAGGGTGCAGCACCCTGATACTGAAGGTGCATTTTTATTACCTCACTAATGCTCTCCTAATTAATATACCTAGAGGCTGCGCCTGCCACTTCACTACTTTCACTGCTGATTTGCCCCTTGAGACAAAAGGAAATTGGAATTAAGAGGAGACAATGGAATTGCCAGCAGGACTATTAGCTTCAATGAAGCTAATGAAGGGAGTGGGAGGGGGAGGAGAGGAGAGCCTGGGGGGCACTATGACTCACTCTAGGAGCTGCCAGATGGACAGATGGAGACTAGGGGAGGGCTGTGACTGGAAGGACTCTGCCTTTCTGGGCTCCAGAAGTCCTGGGGGTACCCCAAGGTCAGGGGTTCCCAAGGTCAGGAAGTGTGATCCGATGGGAAGAAAACAGGAATTAGAAGTTGGACGGGGACTTCCTCCAGCAAAGGGAGCACAGAAGGGTGACAGAAAGAATGCAGGAAGATATAGAGGGGCTGCTTCATCCCTGAGCCCCTGGAGAGCAGTCCAGGTATTGGGCAGTCCCCAGTACCCTCAGGCAGAAGCAGACCCCAGTCCTCTGCCCCTTTAGGGGCAGATAAAGGGGTTGCATTTCTCCAACAGGGGGCCCAGCTGAAACTCTACCTGCCCTCTGGTAGGTAGCAAGCTCAGTCTTCTACCCCAGGCACCTGTCCATAGACAGCCAGATTTCAGGACTCAGCTCAGGTCCCTAAAGCTCAAAGGATACAACGTGGATGGAAAAAGCAAAAATATTTGCAGCCCAAGCCAAAAGAAAAAAGAGAAGCAACATTCAGGTCAGGGCACATCTGCAGGATTGTGTGCACACACACACACATATATACAGGCTCTCACACACTCACTACATGCCCACACAGCTAATCCACCCACATGCACACATACACCCAAACTCAAATGCATGTAGGCACACACACGCACACCTGTGCACTCACACTTGCAGGCTCACCAATCTGTCTTAGGAGGGGCTATCACTAATTTGGTAATGACTGTCTCCTCTGCACATCTTTCACAGGCCAGCTCCCCTTCCCCACGGCTTCAGGCTGGGTTTGTTGCCCCAGACATCTGGCTGGTGTTCAGCCCTCCCTGCTTTCTGCATCGCTGGACTACTTGGAGGAAAGGCAGAGGAAAATGGTCACTCCAGCAGTGCTGCCAGGACACCAGGACCCTGCTCCATACACCTAAACCTCAGCTTGCCCTTCCCGTGGAAATAAGGAGATGAAGCACTCAGAAAACACAATGCAGTTTCATTTTCAGGGTGGGATTTTTTCCTTCTATGTATCTCATGAGTCACTAGATTAGCACCTTTCCAATTACTGGGAGGCAAAAGCCCTATTATCATAGAAACCCTCCTGCAGAGTGACGGCTCTATTCTTTCTGACGGCAGCAGCCAGTCCCACAGAGAGCTGCAGAGCTCAGCAAGCTGGGAGCCTGAAGTTCCAGGTAACTTCATGTCCTCGTTTCAAAAGTGAAGTTTAAAGAACTCACATCACAGCCTTAGCAGACTTCTCACACTCCACAGAACACGCCAGGACAGCCCAGGAAGGAAGGCTGAGGAAGGTTCAGGAGCACATCCCAGAGGCTGCACACAGGGCCCGGGGCTGCCTCGAACACACTCTGCAAGGGTCTGCAGCACTGAACGTTCTGTCTGAGCTGAGGGAGAACTGCATGACACAGAGAGCATGTGGCTCTAAACTATTCTGGGAAGAGTCACTGGAGATCCTCGAGAGGCCTCGAATTAAAGTAGTCGGCCTCACAATCAGGTGCCCTGTCCAGAAGGGGTCAGATGAACAACTGGAGAGGCCAGACTTCAGTCAGGTTCAAGGCGTTATGCATCTTAAAGCCACACCATGGGCAATGTGCTGAGTAGAAACCTTGACCTGAAATCAAGATGTTGTATACTCTCTTCCTGCCATACTGTTCTCTTTTCTCAGTGGAGATTACATACGGATCCATTAAGACAGCCAGCTCCACCCAGCTGGTAGCTTCAGGCAGGGATGGACCTCTCAGCTGTGCAAGGAGCCTGGCTTCTTCCCCATTATCCTGATGCCCATGTCCCCAACACCCTTCTCCCATGATCAGCCCTGGACCCCAGTAGCAGGTGAACAAACGTATCTGGACAGTTTATTGTGTGCCAGATGTGATACAAGATGCCAGGTAGATGAGATGAATAACAGTAGCAATAGACACTCTATGTGGAGCACTTAACCTGAGCCAGGCATTGCATCTAGATTATTCCATTACCTCCTCCCACAGTCCTGGAAGGGGATGTTGTTATCTCCACCTTACGAACGAAGAAACTGTACCTCAGAGAGTTTAAGGAATTCGACCCGCAGGATTCAAACCCAGGAAGAGTTTGAATTAAAATCTGTGTTCTTACCTCTAAGATATGTCACTTTCCAACATATAAGTGCAGGAATTGGCCTCCCAAAATCTCAGATTGCTGGGCATCTTGATGGTAGCACCCTTCCTCAGACTGCTGTCCCTCTCAAGCTGTAGGTCATCTAGGTTGACAGGTGGTTAACCTGAGACCATGACCCTCCAGAGTGTAAGGGACTTCCTGTTCCATGGGTTTCTGGAGCCTGGGGAACCTCAGCCTCACTGAGGACATAGCCTTCGTAAAGAAGGGAACATCTGTATGAGAGGCAGGGACAGCTTGCTTCCTTGTCCTGTTTCCTCCCTTTTTCTCAAGGCTTAAAAGATGTGCAAGGTCAGCTCAAGAAGGGTAAAAGGACAACAGCCTGAGGCAGAGACACAACTAGGAGCCAGGAGAACTAGGAGGGGTCTGAGGCTTCATGGCACTCATGAGCCACAGACCTTGATAGGCCCCTGTTTATCCCACATTCCCCCAGTTTATATGTTCCAAAGGGAGTTTTAGTAGCAATTTTAGTGCAGTGTTGTCCTTTTGCTTTGGGGCTTGGTGTTTGCCTGTTAACAACCTTCTTCCCACCCACCCTCTCCCCTTTTAATCCATAACTGAATTCCATGCTGGAATTAGGAGGGTCTGCCTCTTTCTGCTATCACCAATGTCTTTGGGTGCTCTGTCTAGGTTTCTCACCAGCTCCAGGGCAGCAGACCTGTGTTGCTCAGTAGTTTGCTGTTCCCCAGCAAGACAGTCACTGCCACTCTCCAAACTCAGGTCAGAGATGGACATGGGGATACTAAGCTACTCAACACAGAAAGAGATCAATTTTTTTATTCTCTATGTAGTGATTTAGCAATGAAACTCCTCTTTTCAGAGACACAAATAAGACCCCAAAGATGTACTGATGGCCACGGTTTCTAACATTTTTCAGAACTAGTTTTCCCTTATGCAAGAAGGCCATTTATTAATAGTAACATTTAATTACTTTGTATAAATAGCCGACTCCATTAAGGAAATAAGAAATGGCAGCAGTGCCTACCACATTAATTGTTTTGGTTGGTTTTTGTTGTTTTTCGTTTTTTTTTTTCTCTCTCTCTCTCTCTCTCTCTTCCCCCCACACCCCCCGCCAAGCTATAGCTTCTGTAGCTTAGTGGATGTTAATTGCATAATTAGAATTAATTGCATTAATTAATTAGTTAGAACATTTAATATTCCCCCAATGGTTCCTCTGAAGTCATTTGTGCTTAAGTCTAACTCTACCAAGGAATAAAAGATCTCCATAAATATTGTGGTAAAAATTTTAGTTATATTTCAATCACTCAGTATTTATTTGCATTAGTTAGGAAAGCCTCCTATTCTTGATTGCCTATCTCAACTTCTCAGCTCTTTCTTAGAGCATTCATTAGCCAAATAACCATGTTGCTACTTGACAGACTTTAGATTGCAGCTTCATGGAAGCCTGAAATGTCTCAGGGACAGGCCAAACCAGAGAGCAAGTGTTACACAATCGCTCCAGCTAAATCGGACAGTCTTCTCTTTCCACCATGTGATGGTTAATACTGAGTGTCAACTTGATTGGATTGAGGGACACAATGTATTAATCCTGGGTGTGTCTTTGTGGGTGTTGCCAAAAGAGATTAACATTTGAGTCAGTGCGCTGGGGAAGGCAAATTCACCCTTAATCTGGTGGGCACAATATAATCAGCTTCCAGCAAATATAAAGCAGGCACAAAAACCTGAAAAAAGAAAGATGGGCCCAGCCTCTCAGCCTACATCTTTCTCCTATGCTGAATGCTTCCTTCCCTCGAACATCAGACTCTGGGTTCTTCAGTTTTGGGACTCAGACTGGCTTTCAGCTTGCAGACAGCCTACTGTGGAACCTTGTGATCGTGTAAGTTAATACTTAATAATTATATATATATATATGTCTATATATATAACCACGAATACTAATATATACTATTAGTGTGTGTGTATATATATATACACACTAATATTTGGGGAATGCACTTTCACTTCAGGCTAGCCAGTCCCTGTTCCTGAAACCCTGGCTTCAAGTCCTCTTCCCTCCTGATCTACCCCTACTTCAACCTACACAGCCATCCCATGCACTTGTTTCCACATAGTCCACTTGGGATCTTGTTTATGTCTTGCTACACTCCAGATTCCCTCTATATGCAGCATTCCCATGGCCAACACCCTTAGTGACCTTAGTGTGTGTGTGTGTGTGTGTGTGTGTGTGTGTGTATATATGTATATATATGTGTGTGTGTATATATATATACACACACACTGTTAGTTCTGTCCCTCTAAGAGAACCCTGACTAATATAGATTTTGGTACCAGGAGTGGTTCTAGAGGAACAGTATATTAAGGATGGAGTTCTTTCATTGGTTTTGGGGTTTCTGGAGTTGGCTGCTTAATATGATTAGGCCCCAAAATGCTAAGGACTCTACTTCTAATAGTATGGAGAACACTGATAGTCCTTGGCTATCTGTGTGCCAGAGGTTGGGAAATAAATCTGACTAAAATTCAGGGAACTTCTACCTCAGTAAAATTTCTAGGGGTCCTGTGGTATGGGGCCTGCCAAGATATTCCTTCTAAGGTGAAGGATAAGTTGCTGCATTTGGCCCCGCCTACAACCAAGAAAGAGGCACGATGCCTAGTGGGCCTATTTGGATTTTGGAGGCAACACATTCCTCATGTGGGTGTGTTACTCCAGCCCATTTATCAAGTGACCCGAAAGGCTGCCAGTTTTGAGTGGGGTCCAGAACAGGAGAAGGCTCTGCAACAGGTCCAGGCTGCTGTGCAAGCTGCTCTGCCACTTGGGCCATACGACCCAGCAGATCCAATGGTGCTTGAGGTGCCAGTAGTAGATAGGGATGCTATCTGGAGCCTTTGGCAGGCCCCTCTAGATGAATCACAGTAGAGGCCTCTAGGACTTTGGAGCAAGGCCCTGCCATCTTCTGCAGATAACTATTCTCCTTTTGAGAGACAGCTCTTGGCCTGTCACTGGGCTTTGGTGGAAACTGAACATTTGACTGTGGGTCATCAAGTCACCATGCGACCTGAACTGCCTATCACAAACTGGGTGCTTTCTGAGTCATCAAGCCATAAAGTGGGTTGTGCACAGCAGCATTCCACCATCAAATGGAAGTGGTGTATATGTAATGGGGCTCAAGCAGGCCGTGAAGGCACAAGTAAGTTACATGAGGAAGCGGCTCAAATGTCCATGGTCTGCACTCCCGCCACCCTTCCTTCTCTCCCCCAGCCTGCATTGATGGCCTCACGGGGAGTCCCCTATGATCAGGTGAGAGAGGATGAGGAGACTAGGGCCTGGTTCACAGATGGCTCTGCACGATGTGCAGGCACCACCCGAAAGTGGACTGCTGCACCACTACAGCCGCTTTCTAGGACATCCCTGAAGGACAGCAGTGAAGGGAAATCTTCCTAGTGGGCAGAACTTCAAACAGTGCACCTGGCTGTGCACTTTGCATGGAAGGAGAAATGGCCAGATGTGCAATTATATACTGATTCATGGAGTATAGCCAATGGTTTGGCTGGATGGTCAGGAACTTGGAAGAAGCATGATGGGAAAATTGGTGACAAAGACATTTGAGAAAGAGGTATGTGGACGGATGCCTCTGAGTGGAAAAAAAAAAAAACTGTGAAGATATTTGTATCCCATGTGAGTGCTCACCAATGCGTGACCTCAGTGGAGGAGAAGTTTAATGATCAAGTGGATAGGATGACCCATTCTGTGGACACCACTCAGCCTCTTTCCCCAGCCACTCCTGTCATTGCCCAATGGGCCCATGGTGGCAGGGATGGAGGTTACGCATGGGCTTGGCAACATAGACTTCCACTCACCAAGGCTGACCTAGCTACAGACACTGCTGAGTGCCCAATTTGCCAGCAGCAGAGACCAACACTGAGCCCTCGATATGGCAGCATTCCTCAGGGTGATCAGCATGCTACCTGGTGGCATGGTGATTATATTAGACCACTTCCATCATGGAAAGGGCAGAGGTTGTCCTCACTGGAATAGACACTTACTCCGGATATGGGTTTGCCTATCCTGCACGCGGTGCTTCTGCCAAGACTACCATCATGGACTCACAGAATGCCTTATCCACCGTCATGGTATTCCACACCGCATTCCTCTGACCAAGGCACTCACTTTATGCTTAAAGAAGTGCGGCAGTGGGCTCATGCTCATGGAATTTACTGGTCTTATCATGTTCCCCACCATCCTGAAGCAGCTGGATTGATGGAACAGTGAAATGGCCTTTTGAAGTCACAATTACAACACCAACTAGGTGACAATACTTTGCAGGACTGGGGCAAACTTCTCTAGAAGGCTGTGTATGCTTTGAATCAGAGTCCAATATATGGTACTCTTTCTCCAACAGCCAGCATTCACCTGTCTGGGAATCAAGGGGTGGAAGTGAAAATGGCACACTCACCATCACCCCTAGTGATCCAGTAGCAAAATTTTTGCTTCCCTGTTCCCACTACATTACGTTCTGCTGGCCTAGAGGTCTTAGTTCCAGAGGGAGGAACACTGCCACCAGGAGACACAACAATGATTCCATTAAACTGCAAGTTAAGATTGCCACCTGGACACTTTGGGCTTCTCCTATCTTTAAGTCAACATGCTAAGAAGGGAGTTACGGTGTTGGCTGGGGTGATTGACCCGGACTATCAAGACGAAATCAGTCTACTACTCTACAACGGAGATAAGAAAGAGTAAGTATGGAATATAGGAGATCCACTAGGGCGTCTCTTAGTATTACCATGCCCTGTGATTAAGGTCAATGGGAAACTACAATAGCCTAATCCAGGCAGGACTACAAATGACCCACACCTTTCAGGAATGAAGGTTTGGGTCACTCCACCAGGGAAAAAAAAAAAAAAAAAAACACAACCTGCTGAAGTGCTTGCTGAAGGCAAAGGTAACCTAGAATGGGTAGTAAAAGAAGGTAGGCATCAATACCAGCTATGACCACGTGATCAGCTGCAGAAATGAGGACTGTAACTGTCATGAGTATTTCCTCCTTCTTTTGTTAAAAACAAAAGAATGTATACACTAGTACTAGAAAATATCTTCATTTTATTTCCTTTTCCTCTATCATGTGATATAAGATTTATTGACTTCACGTCAACATTTAAGTATTGTTAACTTTATGTAATAGTATTTGGGTTGGGGATTGGTGCATTTCTGGTTGTATGAAGGATAGTTGTATTATGTTAGTGTAATTATGACCTTATTATTGTCTTTATTTGAAGATTATATATGATCTCAGGAGATGTGTAGGGGTTCAAGTTGACAAGGGGTGGACTTGTGATGTCAACTTGATTGGATTGAGAGATACAAAGTATTAATCCTGGGTGTGTCTTTGTGGGTGCTGCCAAAAGAGATTAACATTTGAGTCAGTGAGATGGGCAAGGTAGATCCACCCTTAATCTAGTGGGCACAATCTAATCAGCTTCCAGCAAATATAAAGCAGGCAAAAAAAAGGTGAAAAAAGGCAGATGGGCCTAGCCTCTCCTACATCTTTCTCCCATGCTGGATTCTTCCTGCTCTTGAACATCAGACTCCAAGTTCTTCAGTTTTGGGATTCGGACTGGCTCTCCTTGCTCCTCAGCCTGCAGACAGCCTGGGATATGGTATATATATATCCCATATATATCATATATATATATGTATATCCTGTTAGTTCTGTCCTTCTAAGAGAACCCTGACTAATACACACCATATTTGCTGTGAACCAATAATAATAATAATAATATGAAATAACTATGTAATGCGGATATATAACTTACCAGGAACTATGCTGAGTGTGTTATATACATTATCTAATGTATTTCTCACATCAACTCTGGGAGAAATGTATTATTATGGCAGTTTTACTGGTGATGAATCTGACCAGTAAAACTATGTATTTTAAGGCAAATTGTATCATTTGCCTTAAAATTATATCATTTGCCCTGAAATGCATAGCTAGTAAACAGCAGAGCTGAGATTCAAACCCAGGCTGGTCTTGTTCCAAAGTTTATTTACTTACCTATGCCCTTCCATCTTGCTTTCCAATCTACCACAACCTAGGCCTAGAAGGGATGGCATATTGGGTCAGACCATGGTTCTTCCCAGGAGGTTTCAAGTCTCTAAAGATCACCCCCAATGGTTATTTTCTGAAGAAGGTACTCTCATGGGGTGTATTCTCTAAGCAAAATGCATGGAGCCTGCTCTGTCACCACTTACCTCCCTTATCAGCCATTCCGGCCAGTCTGGCCTTCTCTCCGGGTCCACTGAAGCCAAGATGGCGCCACTGCACTCCAGCCTGGGCAACAGAGAGAGGCTCCATCTTGAAAAAAAAAAAAAAGAGAGAGAGAGAGATTAGGGGTATATATTACAGGTAGAGAAAGACACTAGACACATGCACCCATAGAGAGATGACCAGTTGGGCATACACCAAGAAAGTGACCATCTGCAAGCCAAGGACAGAGGCCTCAGAAGAAACTAAACCTGACAACATTATGATCTTTGACTTCTAGCCTCCAGAACTATGAGCAAATAAATTTCTGCTTTTAAACCACCCAGTCTGTGGTATTTTGTTATAGTAGCCCTAGCAAACTAACACGGTGCTCTTCTATGGAGAAGGACTTGTTGAAGGTCTGGCATGATGGAGAGACCAGCTGGGACGCTCACATGCACAGATCAGATGCAGCTGCTACTACAAGTTATTTATTTATTATTTCCTCCCCTTTACCCAGAAAGCTCCAGTGCTCCTGAGGGGGTTGCATGGGGGTGAAGAGGAAGGGAGGTCTACAGGAATAAATACAGAAGGCCAGCCTCCCTGTTTAAGGTGAGTGCAGGGTCAGCTCCTAGGAGATGAAATGGTATTTGCAGTGGAGAAGTTGTTTATCCTGAGGCACCAAATGTTGTACTAGGCTGAACCAGGCAGTGGCGCCTCCAGCCTATCTTACCTTGGCTCAGACCAACTTGGGTCTGGGAGCATAGGCCCATGCTGCCAGCTCCCTGCCATCTCTGAGGCCCACATGCACAGCAGCAAAAGCAGGTAGACTAGAGGATAAAGCCCCAGCCAGGGACACCAATGATCAAAACATTCAGCTGGTTTCTTTTACATGATGTTGCCCAAGTGACTCACCTCTTTGTCATCATCTACTAAATGAGGTCCCCCTTCGTGTCTTCTTAGCTTGGTGTGACGGTAAGCATGATCATATCTCTGCAAGTGCTTTCAGAGGGCGCCCAAGGTCTCTGTAGTGCTGAGGACTATTGAAACTGTTGTGTTATTACTCTTTACAGGAAAGTGTGGTTAGAAAACTCAGAAAGATGACAGAAAAATCAAGAAGCAGACTGAGAAGACTTGGGGTCTTAGAGGCTGAAGAAACTCAGAAGGCCCAAAATGAAGTTGAACTTAGTTGTTATGGCCCAAGAACTGACTCTGGGTGGACAGAGGGGTCTCTACAGCCTTGAAATGTCATAGTCATTTACTCCTCCCCAGTTCCCACCCTCCAAAGAGTTCAGAGCTCTGTAAAGAGGGTAGAGGTTCATCTTGATTAGTCTCTGATTTTTAGAGAAAATAATCATTATCATGCCATGTTCTCTGTGATGGCCACCTCAGATGGGATGCAGGTGGTGGAGTAGAGACAGGCTGGTGTACAGGAGAAGTGGAAGATGGAGTGATGGATAATAGGTGGTTCTAAAGGATGGATCCAAGACTAGCTTAGGATGCAACCACCATACAATACTGTTCTCCATCCAGAAACCTACCAGGGCCATCAAGCAAAACCTTTGGAAAAGAGAAGGCACAGACAGAACAGTAAATTATAAAGAAGCTTGTTTTCTTGCAGTCAGGCTGGGACAAACTTCAGCAAGAAGAATAGTGAAATTCAACAAAGACAGATTTTCCCCACCCACTTCATGCCAAAGAAGGACAATCACATGCCTACCTCTCAGAAACTTTCTCTAGAAGGGGAGAAAAGAAGGGGAAAAGAGATCCCAAAATGGAAAACCATTTCAGCCTGTTCTTTTTTAAAAGCTTTATTGAAGTATAATACGGTGTACCTTTTTTTAATTTCTTTTTTTTTTTCCGTTGAGACAGAGTCTGACTCTGATGCTCAGGCTGGAGCATAGTGGCACGATCTCAGCTCACTGCAATCTCCGCCTCCCGGGTTCAAGTGATCCTCTCACCTCAGCCCCCCAAGTAGCTAGGACTACAAGCGCATGCCACCACGCCAAGCTAATTTTTGTAGTATTAGTAAAGTCGGGGTTTCACCATGTTGGCCAGGCTGGCCTCGAACTCCTGACCTCAAGTGATCCACCCACCTCAGCCTCTCAAAGTGTTGGGATTACAGGTGTGAGCCACCACACCCAGCCTCAGTGTAGCTAAAGTGTAAAATGTGATGAGTTTCAACATATGTGTGTACCAGTAAAGCCATCACCACAATCAAGATAACAAACATCCTCATCATACGTAAAATATCCTGTGCCCCTTTGTAATCCATCCCTGCCTCCACTCCCATCCTCAAAACACCACTGATGTGCTTTCTGTCACTATAGATTAATTTGTATTTTGTACAATTCTTTATGAATGGAATTATACAGCACCTACTCTGCATCAATAATTTGTTCCTTGTTATTACTGAGCATCATTCCATTACATGGATATGTCACAATTTGCTTATCCATTCACCTGGCAATGGCCATTTGGGTTGTTTGCAATATTTGGCAGCCTCAAATAAAGCTGCCATCAACCTGTATAAGAAGGTAAAAAGCAGGCCAATATTTGACTATGGTTTGCCCAGGGCAGGGATCATCTCTCCTTGACAACTCTATTCATGACAACTGTAAAGCTTCCTGTTTTATAAGACTTTAGGGTTTAAGATCTTTAACCTTCATGGCCTCGTTAGGTATTCAGGTAGGTGATGTAGGTTTTAGGCATGATGGCAGGAAATGAGAACATGCTGATCACCTGCTACGTTCAGGCACTGCACTAAATGTTGTGGGGTTCAGAAGGGATATATGACATGCCCTGAAGGATCTTGCATTTTAACACTTTGCAGATGAGGGCACTGAAGCCCTAAGCAGCTGGGAACCTTGCCCAGGGACACTCAAGTGAGAAGAGTTAGCTAAGAAGCAGAGCTCAGGTAGTCAATCTTCCTGTCCAATGAGTCCTCCACACACATGCTGTGTGTGGGTCCCATCTGAACTGGATCATGACCAAGAGACAAAAAGGAAAGCAGGGAGGGAGCAAGGTAAAGAACAGGTATGCAAAGTTATATTCTACCCGATGACCCTCCTCCCCCGACACACGCCAGCTAGAGCTCCAGGAGACATCCTCCGCATCTCTGGCTCCATTTCCAACCTGGCTTATAACTTTCTACTCTTGTCCCTTTTCCCCCACCTGTGGCTAGACTGTTATCTGTGAGGAGAAAATGATGAAGAGGCTTTCCCACATGAGGAGATGGGTTCTGAGCCTTTCGAGCTGATCCAGGGCTCCCCTTTCTTGAGTTATTTTGTAGAGACAATTGCTAAACACCTTCCAGAATCAAAGTTCTGTTTTAGAAGGAATCCCTGTCTTGCTGTACCCACCATATTGCAGCGGGTCTTGCAGGTGGCCAAGTCAGTAGAAAGCTCCATGATGATTGGCTCTTGTCCCCAGCCTCCATGGGTAGGTACAGCTGGGAATAGAAGAGAGACACAGATTAAGAAGCCTCAGGCTCTGCTTTCGGGGCAGTCAATGTGGTAGGAATACAAGCCCCCACACGTATATCAGTGCTTCATTCCTTTTAATGGCTTTAGTATATTTTATTGTACAGATATGCCACATTTTGTTTATCCATTCATCCGCTGATGGACATTTGAAATGTTTCCACTTTTTAGTTATTATGAATAATGCTACTATGAATATTTACATTTTGGTGTGCAGAGGAGTGCATACGACAGAGGCAATAAACTCATCTTACAGCTTTGCAATAGCCATAGCAAGACTGACAGGCAGCAAGGGGAACTGGAGAGTTTGGTGGGCTGTCTGGGAAGGCCGCCTGGAGGAGGCAACTTTTGAACCACTCTTAAAAACTTCATTTTAATACAGGGAGAAGAAGGGCCAGGGTGAGGTGGGCTAATGGGTAGGGGGGGAAAGACAAAAAGAAGGTATTCTACGCAGGCTGAGAAATACCAGACTTCACTTGCAGAAGCTCGGGTATGGATTGGAGTATCAGGTAGATCAAGGAAGAAGAACAAGAACTAATCTTTGGTGAGTGGACTTTGTGCTTCAGGTATGATTCCTACATGAGCCTCATTAGCTCATTAACCTTATTCTAAAACTAAGCTTTCTATGGAAAGAGCTCAGGATCTGGTCAAACAGCCCTAAGTCCCCCATTTAGCACTTATGTGACTTTAACCCGAATCTCAGTTTATTTGTATATAAAATGGAGAATATAGCAGTGACCATCCTCTACTCCATGACATGCCATGGTACAGAGTGCACATCTAAAACACAGAAGCAATGCCAGAATAAAGGGACCTCCCACAAACCACTCAGGACTGTCTCCAGCATGCACCTTCCTCCAGCTCTGTTCTGTTCTGAGTGTTTTCAAGAGGAGTCCTTAGGAAGAGTCCTCTCTGAAACTCCTGAGCCTGCCCAGGAGAACCTAGAAGGCACCAAAAACACACTATCTGCCCAAGGGAAATAGATGGATCCCATTTAGCAGAAGAGCTCCTTAGCTAAACCACAGGAAAGCCTTGGCCACAGATCTCACAGAGACTTATCTAGGCTTGGGCAGGGGAAAGCGGTCTGCTTTTCAGGGCTGAAACACAACCTGCAGCACTGCTGCTGTCCCTGCTGCAGCACCCCCGGGCACGAGCTGTCTGGAAAGGCTGCTGCCCCACCAGCCACTCCAGACATGGCCCTTAAGCCTGAGCATGCTGGGGCCTGGGAGCCTCAGGGCACAGCATTTCCAGTCTCTGGCTGTAATCACAGCTAATTGAATGTCTGCTGATGCCAAAATTGGCTTCTGATTGAATTCAGAACTTTTGTTTAATTAATTATCATCCACTTGAGTACTGCTGCTTCCCTCAGACCAGGTGGTTAACTGTTTCCTCTCTTCTGAGACTGTTGTCTTCCCCCTGAGCCCTAACACTTATACTAAAGAGTTAATCTGCTTCCGGGGAGATGCCTCACTCTGGTTGCAAAGAGGGTGAGGCAAAATGTCAAGGAGTCAAGAAAGTGGAAAGGCACCCAAAATGGGAGAAAACATTTGCAAATCTGATAAAGGTCTAGTATCCGAGTACATAAAAAACGCTTACATCTCAGCAATTTTTAAAACCCCAATTAAAAAACAAGCAAAAGATGCAAATAGACATTAATATATGTCTTCTTTCAAAAAAAAATTTTTTTTTGAGACAGCGTTTTGCTCTGTCGCCCAAGTTAGGGTGCAGTGGCACGATCTTGTCTCACTGCAACCTCCGCCTCCCAGGTTCAAGCAATTCTTCTGCCTCACCCTCCCGAGTAGCTGGGACTACAGCCACGTGCCACCGCACTCAGCTAATTTTTTGTATTTTTGGTAGAGACGGGGTTTCACCATGTTAGCCAGGATGGTCTTGATCTCCTGACCTCGTGATCCGCCCACGTCGGCCTCCCAAAGTGCTGGGATTACCGGCATGAATTACTTTTAACTTTGCAAAAAGATCATTGTCTATGTTATATCTGGGGATTTAAGTTTTTCATTTATATTGAGAATATTCATTTGTATTGATGTGGTGGCAGTAGTGGTGAACTTTATAATTCATAGGCATCGGCGCACTGGCAAATTTTTACAAACCAGCTTTCCAGAAAATAAAATGTCAGCATATGTAAGTTTATTATCAATTTTATTGATAAAAAGAATGTGTTGCACAAATTTACAAATAATAATATACAATCTTCTTTATTATGATTTTAATGTAGCCAATTGATTCTCACAGACTGCTTTTATTGATTTTTGCCAAACTTTTGTATCCATAGCCAATCTCTGATTGCAGTTGAGTTAGCGTAGTTCTCACGAATAAGATGGAAGTAAAGCAATGAAGATAGATCTTAGACTTCACTTGTTTGTCAACAGCATGAAAAATTTTATTGCTGAATTAGGTAATAGTTTTCAAATACGAGACACTATTTTCGTAATTTTTGTGCTATCCACAATGTAACAGCTATAGACATAATGCTTTTTTTTTTTTTTTTTTTTTGAGATGGAGTCTTGCACTGTTGCCAGGGCTGGAGTGCAATGGCGCGATCTCTGCCTGCCGGGTTCAAGTGATTCTCCTGCCTCAGCCTCCCAAGTAGCTGGGATTACGACCACCTGCCACCATATCCAGCTAATTTTTTGTACTTTTAGTAGAGATGGGATTTCACTATGTTGGCCAGGCTGGTCTCAAACTCCTGACCTCAGGTGATCTGCCCGCCTCAGCCTCCCAAAGTGCTGGGATTACAGGCATAAGCCACTGCTCCCGGCCGACATAATGCATTTTTAAGTTTAATCGCCATTACTAACATTTTCTCCATCATTTTCTTAAGTCTGACAATCATCCCGAAAAAGAAACAAACAAGCCTTGATTTGTAGTGTTTTTGCCCATTTTTCCAAAAATACTCCCACTGTGGCCAATTTCCTGCCATTAACATGACATCACTAAACACAGAGTTGAGATGAAGTATTCAGTAGAAATCATAATACAGAATTTCCACCATATAGATCCAATATATATTAATAACCTCAAGAGCATAGAGAATGGTAAAATGTAGTAAAATAATTAGTGATGAGCTTTTAGTATTTACTACTTTTGCTTTTAATATAATTTATTTCATTGTAAGCATATATAATTTGATTGTTAACAATTGCTGTGTTTAATAGCCAGTTCGCAGAATTTCTGGTATGAGCCGGCTTCAGCACATCATTACAGTTTACAGAATATAGAAATGGAATTGCGAGAGTTAGAGATGGGATGCACAGGACTCAAGGTCTGGGTGTGGTCATTGATAAGACCCTGGGCTGTCTCCCTTTAGAGAGAAGGTGAGTCCTTCACTTTGTACGTGGGATAGTTTCATAATGGTAACAGGATATTTTTTGACAGGGAGAGGGTTAGTGAAAATATGAGAAGAATGTATATAAATCTTGGGTAGCCACAATAGTGGATCCATTTATAGGTGTGTACTGGCTTTGGCTACTCTTTATACAAATACCCTTCCAATTTGGGGTGTAAGTCAGAAGTCTACCTGGGTGGCAGGCCCCTCACATCCACTTTAAAAGCCAAAAGAAGTCTCTGTCCCCTCAGTCTGCCCTTGGTCCTGCGGTCAGAATGTGCTGCCAGGGTTTGGCCAATCAGAACTCAACTTGCGTTGTGAATTTGCAGACAAAGTTTCAAAGACACAAATCACTGGTGGCAGCAGTAGTGATGACAGAGCAGAGAGGAAGTGGTGGTGGCCACAGTCCCAGTGGTGACGGAGTCAGTGGTCACAAAAAATCTGACCGCTCCTGAGGCATAAGCTTTGCTGGGTCTTCAGCACCCCGGTTTCCACTGGCTCCTGCAAGATTGTGGAACCAAGGTTCCAAGCCTTTTCATCCACCCTGTCAACTACCAGATATTTTTCCAGTACATTTGTTTTCTGCTTAAGTTAGCCAGAACCCACTTCTGGTTTTGCAACCATAAGCCCTGACTGATATAGAAATCTAGTGTGTATGTGGGGGTGGGGGAATTGCTGGATTGAAGGGAATGTGCATTTTTTACTTTTATTCACATTGTGAAATCAAGTACCAAAAAAGCCTTTACCAAGTTATATTCCTACTAAAGTGTGGGAGAGCACCCCTTCTAAAACTGAGCACGATCAACCCTGTTACTCTTTGCCAAATTAAAAAGCAAAAGTGACATGTCATTTGGATTTGGATTTCCCTGATTATTAGTGAGGCTCAACATCACTTCATATGTTTTTTGCCCACAGTACTTGTATTCTCTTTATTATCTAAGTATGCCCTTCGTCATTGTTTCTTAGGTTATTTGATTTCTCTTGTTTGATTTATAGTAGCTATTTCCTTTGTCTGTCAGATACAGTCAGCCTTCCATATTCATGGGTTCCACATCCATGAATTCAACTGACTTCAGATCAAAAACATTTCAGAAGATAATGCATTTGTACTGAACGTGCACAGCCTTTTTCTCCCTTGTCATTATTCCCTAAACAATGCAGTCTAATAGCTATTTACATACCATTTACATTGTATTAGGTATTAGAAGTAATCTAGAGATGATTTAAAGTATACTGGAGGATGTACATAGGTTATATGCAAATACTGCCCCATTTTATATCAGGGACTTTAGCATCCATGGATTTTGGTATCCTTGGGAGGTCCTGGAACAATTCCCTCAAGGATACCAAGGGATGACTGCATATTGAAAATATTTTCTCCCAGTCTCTTAACTTTATTTTTGATGTTTTTGTCATACTCAATAGTTTGAATGTTCCCATAGGTAAGCTATTGATTTCGTCTTGTTTTTGTTTTTTTGTTTTGTTTTGTTTTTGGCTTGTGGTTTTGTATCTTTCGTAGCAGAACCCTTTCTTTGCCAACTTTTTTTTTTTCTGTTACAGAGTCTGAATTCAGGTGTCATGGGTTCAAATCTTGACGCTGCCTTTTGCTGGCTCCATGACTGTTTGTTCATCTGCAAAACAGAGACAATGATAATGTGTAAAGCACTCGGCACTTTGCCTGGCATTTAGTGATCAAAATTTTGTATATTATTCTTATTGTTACTCAATATGTTTAATCCCTCTGGAATGCATTTTTATGGGTGGCATTAGATAAAGGGTTATATTTGTTTCCTAAGGATGCTATAACAATGTGCCACAAACTGGATGAATTAAACAACACAGATTTATTCTCTCACAGTTCTGGAAGCTGGAAGTCTAAAATGAAGGTGTCAGCAGAGCTGTGCTCCCTCTGAGACCCTGGGCAGAATTCTTCCTTGCATCTTCCTAGGTTTCTGGTGATGCCCACCAATCCTTGGTTTCCTTGTCTTGCAGCTGTGTCTCCAATCTCTGCCTGTCATCACATGTCATTTTTTCTGTGTCTCTGTCATCGCATGGTGGTTTTCTTCTTCTTAAAACAACACCAAGCATACTAGATCTGGGCTCAAATCACTGTATCACTCAGGGTTCTCCAGAGAAAGAGAACAATAGTATATTGGTATATAACACTATATATAAAAAGAGGGAAATTATATATGTATATATATGTGTGTGTATGTGTGTGTATAATATGATATTTTCATTCATCATATTCTACATAGAGAGAGAGAAATATTAGAGAGAGAGAGAAAGAGAAAGGAATTGGCTCAAGCAATTGTGGGGTCTGGTAAGTCCAAAATCTAGCAGACTGGAAATGCAGGTAAGAGCTGATGTTGCAGTCCTAAGTCCAAAATCTGTAGACATATTGGCAGGCTGAAAACTCAGGGAGGATTTCTCTGTTACACTCTTGAGGCAGAATTCTTCTTTTCCAGAAAAATCTCAGTGTTTGCTCTTAAAACCTTCAACTGATTGGATGAGACCCACCCACATATGGACAGTAAACTGTTACACTTAAAGTCAACTGATGGCAATGTTAATCACGCCTACAAAATACCTTCACAGCAACACCTACACTGGTGTTTGAATAACTAACTGGGTAACAAAGCCTAACCAAGTTGACACATAAGATTAACCATCACAGTCACATTCACAGATATCAGGTTCATATCTTTTTCAACATGTACAGGTAGATTTTTTTTTAATTCAACTCATAACAGTGGTCCACATTAATTTTATTTTCAAACAGACAGCTAGTTGTCCCAGCAATGGATATTGAAAAGCTGTTCCTACAGACTTGAAATGCTTACTCATGTCCATGAACTAAATATCTATGTGCATCTCCTTCTCAGATCTATATTCTAGTCTAATAATGTATTTTCCTCGTGTCAATGCCATACTGTTTTATTTCCTATATCTCTATTGTATGTTTTAATAAGTTAATCTCTTTCTCTTTTTCAAAATTTTCTTGTCTATTCTTTCATATTTGTTTCTTTCAGATGAACTTGAGAATCAGTTTGTTTAGTCGCCTAAATATTTCCCACTGGAGAACTTCTATTTAAACATAGTGTGTTGACCAAATACTCCTATTTGTCTACTTCATAAAAATCCTACAAATATGAAAGTGAAGTAGAATAAAAAGGTGTGCAAACACATCTAGATAATATAAGCTAGAGAGGAGTCAATAGTAGACTAGAAATTTTAGAACTGTTTTGAAGACGGAAAGTAGGAGAAGAAGCAGTGACTAATGAGGCAGAGCAGGGAAAACGCAGCCTCGTTGCCTGAAGAGGTAACTGAGATGTGAAGGTTTCCCTGGAGATGGGGTGGGGGTGGGGCAGAAGACTCAGAAGTAAAAGGCGGCGCAGTAGGTGGAGGTGTGGAGCTGCAAAGGGGATTGCAAGTTTCATCCTCTATTCCAACCCTGGGGATACCTCAGAAGTAAATGGAAAAGTACAGATTTGAAGAACCTAAGACTGTGAGGAACCCTAGGGAGACAGAGGGTGGTTCTGATCTGAGGATGGGGAGGAAAGAGCAGCTCAGAGCAGCAAAGCACCGGGCACCACTGTTGGGGGAAGGTCTCTGAGCTGTCTTTGTGCACCACACTATCCTGGGTGGATCGTGGCCCCCATCAGCCCCTACAGGATAGAGAAAACAACAGATCCAGCGGGCACCACAGAAGGAGTAGGAGAAGTGCCAAGGAAGCAACTGAAACTGAGCCAAAAAGCAGGAGACAGCAGGTGCAGGACACCAGCAAGCCCCTGGGAGCTCTCTTCTCCCCACGCTCTTCCACATTCATCGGGCTTGTCAGTTAGGAACAAGGGTCTCCTTCCCAGTAACAATTTAAGCCAAAAAGCTAATAACCCGCCCCCAGGGGAAAATGAACCCCCAAGCAAAAACCACCGGACATCTGAGAAACATCACCGTTAGAAAGAAAACAAACTGTACAACCTATAGAAGATAAATTAGAACTAATGAAACCACACAGATTAATAATTTAAAATAAGTGTAATAAATAAGGAAAAGGAAAGATAATGGTAACATAAAGCAGTTATAAAGAAGAACCAAACAGAAACATTGGATGCCAAAAATTTAATAATTGAAATAAAGAATCCAATAAATGACATAAATATTAAAAATGGATTCTGCTGGGATAAGTGAGCCAGATGACCAGGTTGATGGACTCTCCCAGAAGGCACTGAGAAAAGACAAACAGTTGGAAAATATAACAGAATTAGAAGCTGTGAAGAATAAAATAAAAGTGTCATCATCTGTGTAATAGGAAGTTTTGAAGAAAAAAATGAAGAAAGAGAAGTGTCAAAGAAAAAATAACCAAGGATTTTTTAGTATTAAAGAAAGATGAAAGACTTCAGACTGAAAGAGTTTATGGAATGTCTAATAAGATAAATATGATTTAAAACCTTGATACTTTATAAGGAAATTTAAAAACACAAAGTCAAAATTCTAAAAGCTGCTAAAGAAAAAGAGATGATTACCCATGAAGGAATAAGAATCTGATTGATATCTAACTTCTGTTCAACAATGACAATAGAGGCAAAAAGACAGGTACATAATATTTTTAAAGTACTAAAGAACTTCAAGCCTCAAATCTATATTCAAAAAAATTAAATAAGAGGATGTCATAAAAATAATCTCAGGCACAAAAGGCCTAAGGAAGTTAACACGGAAAATTCTCTTCTAAAATATTCTCAAAGAATGTATCCCAGTTAGAAGAGAAATAAATCCATGAGACTACCATGAGATAAAAAGGAAACAAGAGTGGATACATAATATAGAAAAGTTAATTCAAGTATACAACGGTAGAGAGAGAGGGAGAGGCAGAAGAAGGGGGAGAGAGAGAGAGAGAGAGACAGAGAGAATCCAAAACGACTAATGGGCAGTGAACAAATGGTGGCTGCAAAGAGATACCAGTGGAAAGTGAGAGTATTATTTTGTTATAGAGAATGATATAAATGTTATTGAGAATTGATGAGAAAAATAAACATAAATATGATTTTTAAAGTTAAACATAGCTACCGAGTATAGAGAATGGAATTCAAACTTTTCAAGCCCTCAGAAGAAAATTCTATTCAATGAAAGATGAGAAAGGAAAAAGGGAGAGGAAAGTAAAAGATATTTAAATATAAATTAGAAATAAGATGTCTGAAATAAATCCTAATACACAACTAATTACATAATTTGTTTTATGGATTGAATCATGTCTCCTCTAAAAAGATTTATTGATGTTCTAACCCTCCATGTCTCGTATTGTAACCTTATTTGGAATAGGGTTGTTGCAGAAGTAATTAGTTACATTAAGATGAAGTCATGCTGGAGTAGGGTGAGCCCCTAATCTAAGAGGACTGGTGTCCTTATAGGAAGAGGAAAATGCCACATGAAGAGAGAGAGAGATGCCCAAGGAGGTGTCATGCTGCAATGAGGGCAGAGATTGGAACTGTGCAGCTGCATGCCAAGGAACACCAAAGATTTCAGCAAACTACTGGAAGCTAGGAAAAAGCAAAGAATTCCCCTAAATATTTCAGTGGGAGCATAGCCCTGCCAACACCTTATTTCAGATTTCTATCCTCCACAACTATGAGGCAATAAGCTACTGCTGTTTTAAGCTCCTCAGTGTGAACTATTTTGTCATGGCAGCCTTAGGAAACTAACACAATTTACAAACAGATTAAGTTCACTAATCAAAAGACAGCCACTTGCAAATTGGGTTTTTTTTTTAAGCAATATCTAACAATAGGTTTTCTGAAAGGAATATTTCTAAAACAAAAGGTGACAGAGAGGTCACAAATAAAATGATGGAAAAGGTATATGATGCAATTTTGAACCAAATGAAACTGGGGAGCAGATTTAATGTCAAACAATAGAAGAAAAATATGAGCAGAAAGATATAACAATTGTGAACATACATCTGCTTAAAAACATACCTTCAATGTACAAAATGCAACAACCAACAGAACTAAAGAGAGAACCATATAACAATTATAGCTAGACACGTTTTTTGTAGTCATCTGAGAAACTGATGGGATACACAGACAAAAAATAAGCAATTATAGAGGAGATCTGAATGGTATGATTCATAAACTTGAAATACTAATTATATGAGAACTTTACAACCATCAATAAGAAGAGAGAACATTTTTGAGCACACATAAAATATTCAAAAAATTTAACATTTACCAGATCACAAAGGGAGCCTCAATACATTCTCCCCAAATCATCATCATTCACATTGTTATCTTAACAAAATGGAACAAAATTATAAATTATGAATAAAATAACTTTAAAGCTTTGTACTTCTGTTAAGTAGTAACATAATAATGTTTGGGTTAACAGGAAAATATAAAAGAAATTATAAAATACTTGGAACTAAATGATAATGAGGGAAAATACATGCCAGAATTTCAGAGACACAGCAAAAGCAGACTTAAGAATGAAACTTATAGTTCTCAATACATTTACTAGGGGAAAAAAAGCATTGAAAACAAATGAAGTAAGGTTTTAACTGAAAAGATTAAAAAAAGAACAGTTGACTGAGCACAAAAAATAAGAAAGAAAATAAAGATAAAGGCAGAATTCAATAAAAGAGTGACTATAGCAGCAGCAGCAACTACAAAATCGGTAAGAATAATTAAAACAAAAGCTGAACGTTTGAAGTGATTGCTAAGCTGTACCGACCTGCAGCAAAAGCTCATCAGAAAGAAGATGCAGAAATATAAAATTCAAAAGGGAAAAAAAAACTCCAGATATCAAAGAGATTAAAATAATTATTAAAAAATAACTATTCACTTATAAAATGAAAACTAAGACAAAATAGATATATTTATAGAAAAATATAGAATTTAAAACGAGCCCAAGAAAAATCAGAAATTTGAACCAACCAATAACAAAATATTGAAATGGTTAAATACAACAGAGAAGACACCCCTACCCCATCTCTAAGCAAAATAATAATAATAATATTTTTTAAAATTGCTCCTAGGCTAAATGGTTTTACAGACGATGTTTCAAAAAACAAAGTATTCCTGTCTGGAAAATTTGTTCCAGAAAGTAAGAAAAAAAAGCAGCACAACTCATTCTATTAGATTAATTCTAAAACCTAATAAGAATAGAGAGGGGGGGAAAAACACAATAGTTCCTTTTTACTTACAGATCCAAAATAGAATATAAGCAAACTGAATTCAACAGCACATTTTTAAAAATTGTGATCAAATAAGGTTTATTGCAGTAATCTTGAGGTAATTTAAAAACAGAAATCTGTTAATATAAGCCATACACTAGACCAAGGGAGAAAAATCAAATGATTTCTCAATAGATTCAGAAAAAATATTTTATAGAAATTTCACATATATATATATAATAAAAACACTTAGTAAAATAGGAATTCCTTTAAGTTAGTAAAGGAGCTATGCCCAAAATATACAGTAAGCATCACACTAAATAGATAAGATCAGAAATAACCCAAAAGATGTCTGCTATGACCATTTCTGGATATCCTGCCTAATGCTATATAAAACTAATAATAATAACAACAGCAATAAGAGTTTTTAAGAATTAAAAGGGAAATGATAACATTTCTATTGTTTTCAAGTTATATGCTCATGTATGAGAAATCTCAATAGATCTGAAGACAAACTGAAAGATCTATTAAGTGTTCAACAAGGGAACTAGATACAAAATCAATCTACATAAGGCTAGGCCTGGTGGCTCACACCTGTAATCCCAGCGCTTTGGGAAGCCAAGGCAGGAAGATTGCTTGATGCCAAGAGTTCAAGAGCGGCCTGGGCAACGTAGCAAGATTTCATCTCTACAAAAACTTTTTAAAAAATAAATCGATCTACAAAAATCAATAGCATTTTTACAGACTTACACTAAAACACGAAAATAAGACATTATTCACAATAGCAACAAAACCTCTAACATCTAGGAAATAAGCTAATAAAGAATGCACATTCTTCTAAAGAGAGAGCTTTAGAACTTTAGAACTCTACTAAATCTTTTAAGCTTGTTTAAAATAATGAAGAAAATGAGTAAAAGTAGAAGTAAAGGTAGAGCCCTAATTTTTCCCAAACTAATCTATCAAATCTATGCAATTGCAAACAAAATACTAACTGAAATTTTCAGGAACTTAATAAAACAATCCTTAACAATTTGTTTAGAAAACTAAAGATGTTAACTTGCAAATATCAATTAAGAGTAACTAGCACACAATAATAAAACAAAATGTAAAATTCCTGGGATTCAACAAATAAAAACTCAACTGACAAGGTGAAAACTGGATGGCTGAGAGGCATTAAAAAAGACCTGAATAAATAGAGAGACATAGAAACATAGTATTTGCCCAAATGTGTGGTAGTTCAATATTACAAAGATGTCTATTTTCCCTGAGTACATCTATAAATTCAGTACAATTCCAACTAAATTGATGCTGCTTAACACACACACACACACACACACACACACACACACACACCTTTTTTGGCAGGGGGTTGGGGGAGATCAAAAAAACAAGCAAAAAAATCCTGTGCAAGGCTGACTAGATGGGTAGAATCTATTTCAACATGTATCTCTTCTCTGGGAAAAGAAATCTCCTTCTATTGCCTACAAAAATGTCCTGAGGATACCAAAAGGGACCAGATCCCTCTTTGCAAACCACAAATACTCTGCAACCACCTGTGGATATAGACGTCTGACCCTCATCATAGGCTGCTCTAAGAACAGAGTGAAGGTGGCAAAGAATGGAACAATGACTCTGCTTGGCTTATTCAGAAAGGCAGGAATAGATTAGTCCTCTTTCCAGATGACTAGATTGCAGAGGGTCCATTCTCTGCTCTGGAGCAACCCAGCTACCCCTGCATTCCTGGGAAATAAAATCTCAGACCAAGAGAAGCCCTGCCCGGGAAGGAACCGCACTGTGCTGAATAACTACTCCCAGGAAGAGAAGAAACCTCTCTGGCCCTGAGCGAAATTAGAAAGAGGAGAAAACTCAGCTTCACTTTGCCTTCCAGTACCTTAGCTTCCTTCTTGCTCTTTTTGATCTTTCCCTTCTCTGAATTGCCCACACTCATTCACTAATTCAACAAATGTGTATATTGAGCTCTTCCTCTGTGCCAGACACTATGCTGGGCATCCAGGGCTCTGAGGAAAGCAGCCCAATTTAGGTACTGACCTAAAGGACTGGAGATATAACACGCTTCTTCTCCAACTTCTTTCAAAAGGATTTGTTGATTTAAGAGACCTCAGAGAGAAGGCAATGCTTAACCCAAAGTTACCACTTCTCTAATAGAGAAATTTCAGATCTTGCTGTTTATTGGAAAAGAGGCAATACTTTAGCCAACAAAAACCTTTCCATTATTCCCCAAATCAACAATAGCTAGCATGCAGCTCAAAAAAAAATTAAAAAGTGTTTCCAAAGGACATTTTCTCATTTAGCTATGCAGAGCAGTGATTACCACAGAGGGGGTGCCAGAAGATACATGGGGCACAAGAAAAGGATGTGAGAACTCCTAATCCCTTAGAACTGTTTCAGCCTATACATCTTCTACTTTCTGTATAAGCTTTATAACATATATTAGTACAAATTTACATGTACAAAATTTATAAATAAATAACATAAGCAAAAACTAGGATGGGTGCTCAAAAATGTTTTACTGATAGGAAAGCATGATGGAAATTTTTTGGAGACCCCTAATATAACAAAGAGTTCAATCTCTTAAACCTAAAACCAGTCTTGGTGACCACAGTCCTAGTAGGTGCAGGAGAAGTCAAGATCTGTGTCCCCAGACCAAGGTCTAGCTCAGTTAACTCTGGGTCATTTCATGCCGGTCCCATAGTAGGAGGAAAAATCTGGTAGAACAATGAAGGGAAATGAGCGAGTCAGAAGCAGAGATTGGAGGGAGAATTGGCTTTTCCAGGTCACTGGCTCGTTCATGGGCAACATCCCAGCATCTAAAAATAGAAGAAACATCTGCAGTTTGCCTCTTGGAGCTGGGGCTTGGATGAGCCCCAGGACAGGCCCTGGCAGACTGCTGGTGGCCACAATGACAGCACTGGCCTCTTCAGATGACTTCATCAGAGAATGGCCAGGAGCCAAAGAAGAGCTACTTCCAGAGCCAGGGTCCTCACTGTGAAACAAAAGACCCAGAAATAAGTAGGGACCTTAGCTCTTTAACCAGAGATCTGGCTCTTCTTTTCTTGGTAGCAGGGTGGGGAAAGAAAGGAGAAGCTGGAAGGGGTGTTCAGAAATCAGGGGGAGTCTCCTTGATCAAGGATGGCTTCAGAGTAGGTGATTGCTCAATGTCATTTTTCATTTCTTATCTGTGACTCTTCCTTTGGGTTCTCTGAGCCTGGCACATAGTAGGAATTCAAAAATACTACTACGCAAGAGAAGGAAAGTAAGAGTTTATCAGTGCAAGTCTTGAACTGAGCTCTGAGGAGAATTGTGTTTCTGATTAGTTTGACTTGCCGATGGGTATTCAGGAACAAAGGGAAGGTCCTGGCTGAATCCTAGGAGCATATTTGGGCCTCTGCTTTGTGAGAATCCATGAGGAAAGGAGAAAAAGGAAATCACAGCCTTCAACCTCCCTTTCTTAGGAGAAAGAAGAGAATGAATGAGGAAGCCGAAGAGCAGGAGAAATAGGAGAAGGGTTCTTGTCCATACTGAAGAAAAAGGACAACATTCAAGATGCCTAAAGAGGAGCAGGTGCTCATAGACAGGGTTCCCTCTTCATTCCCTGCCTGTTTGCCCAGCCCCAAACTTCCCAGGTCTCCCCTTCCTTCATTCCTTCTCAATTGACCCCTCACTTTCATCTTGCCAGTTTCCCAAAGGAATGTTTAAATAGGTATTACTCAAATTGGTGTTAATCAGTAACCAATTTGATAAACAATGTGTCTTTTCTCATCCTCTACTTCCCTTTGTTCTCCAAGAAAAGAAATGAAGTCTCTCTGGTCAAGATGGGCAGTGAGTTCATGCTTGATAACTCCTGCCACTCCAAACAATATAGCAATGAAATGAAAAGTGAAAACGCACTCACAAAATACATAACAAGGTTCTAATATGAGATAAGCATCTGCATTGATCAGAAACAAAACAAAATATTAAAAAGTGATCCTCAATGTGTTCATGTCCTTTGCAGGGACATGGATGAAGCTGGAAACCATCATTCTCAGCAAACTATCACAAGGACAGAAAACCAAACACCACATGTTCTCACTCATAGGTGGGAATTGAACAATGAGAACACATGGACACAGGGCGGGGAACATCACACACCACAGCCTGTCAGCGGGGTGTGTATTGGGAGAGGGATAGCATTAGGAGAAATACCTAATGTAAATGATGAGTTGATGGGTGCAGCAAGCCAACATGGCACATGTATACCTATGTAAAAAAAACCGGCACTTTGTGCACATGTACCCTAGAACTTAAAGTATAACAATAAAAATGAAAAGATAAAATAATTTTAAAAAGTGAACCTGAATGGAGCTGTGAGCTTGCTGGGCTCTGGGCCCAGGTGGAGGGAATGGTAGCTAAGAGTTCAGATCCTGGGGAGAAAGGAACTTAAAATACTTCACAGGAAACAAGGAACTTGAGTCAGGAGTTTTTACCAACTTACTCCTCTCTTAGGTTGCAAAAGGAAGCTAGAAAATATTACTGACAATTGCTGTCTAAGGGTACACGTCTTTGTAAGCTTCAGCCTACAGATGTGGGAGTCCAGAGACCCGATCTCAGACCAGGGTCTGAGATCTGTGACAACCCACCATTCCCTGGTGGGGGAGAACTCTGAGTAACTATTAAAACACTTGGTTCTGGAAGAGGGACCAAGTAAGCTGGGAGGAGATGCAAGCCACTAGACAAGAAGGAGTAGGGGGAATGAAAAAGAGAAGGAGACAAAACATGAAAGAGATGGAAACTTTCACTGAAAATATTTTCTTCACAGAATACTTGCACATCTTTTGATAGGTTTATGTATAAGTGTCTTATTGCTTCTTTGGTACTGTGAATGAGATTTTTTTTTCTAATTATGTTTCTGATTGGTTATTGTTTTGTGTAGGAATGCGATTGTCTTTTTATGTTGTTTTGGTATCCAGCCAAAATGCTAAAACGTTTATTAGTTCTCATATTTTGTAGATTCTTTTGGATTTTTGGTGTAGACAGTCATAGCATCTACAAATAACAGCAGCTTATATGTTTCTTTCCAATCTTTTACTTCTTATTTCTTTTTCTTGTTTTATTGCATGGGCTATGGAACTGAAGATAGTTGCCCTTCTTATTCCTGTCTTTAATGGGAATATTTCTACAATATCACCATTAAGTATATTGTTTGCTGTCTGTAAATCTGTTAGGAGTATCCTTGGTCAGGTTAAGGAAACCTCCTCTAACAATCTGCTAAGAATTACCTGAGATGTATTTAAAATGCACATCTCTGAACACTATTTGATCAAAGAATCAGAATTTCTAGAGATGGTGACTAGAAGTCTAGAGTTTAAGAATTACTACATTACAGAAATTGTTTCTTAATGCTTTTTAATAATTTTCATTTTTAATAATTTAGAATAATTCTGCTGTCTTGACCTGCCTGAAGCACTTAACACTGCTTGGAATTCCCTCTTCTCTTGGTGTTTGCATCTGCAGCAAGCTGCGTCTTCCCCCACATTTCTACCTGTTTTTTGGAAGCTTCATGTGTCCAGTAAAGAGGAACCCTAAGAATTTGAGATAAATGTCTTATCTGATCTGTATTTGCCTGATTTGGGGATTATAGTCTTAACCCACTTTTCTCCATCATCCTCAATACTGCACTCCCAGGCTTTGTAATCTGAGGCTCTTCCTATCCCAGAGTCTGTATGAGCTGAGTTTGTTATTAGACATGGCCCAATCTCACCAATAAGACTAGAGTCACCTCCCTTGTGTATCTCTTCCTATGAGGCTCCCTCCATGTCCAAGTTTCATAGTATAACTAAACTGAAGCTAACCAGGCACTGACTCGACTACCAAATGGGTGGAGCTATTGCTGTCAGGGATATACTACAATTTCTAAGTTTAGTATTTATTATTTTATATTTAGAGTTATCACTTTTGATATGAAAAATTAGATGCATATCACTTTCAGATATAACACATCTCCAACTCTCCCCAGTTATCTCTCCTATAAAAGACTTACCTATTAGCAACTAACACCAACAGACCCCCAGTCATGCCCCTTCATCCTCACTCAACTAGTTATATCAGCTATTTCAGGTATTGGATTTCCTTTTTATAAAAGGAAAATGGCAGCCCAGCTGTATCATGAGATTTCTACAGAAATGATGGTTATCCCACATGTATTTAATTTGTGGTTCGTTTTGGGGAGAAGCCACTCTCACAATCAGAAGACAGCCCCAGCTTTTGTACACCCAAGGGAATTGAACTGACTTTGCTGATATGAATTCCGGTTACAGAACAGTATCACTTCATCTCATCAACAGAATTCAAGTACTATTTCAGAAACAAGAGAGAGCTATTCTATAGATTTCCTTCCTAAATCCTAAGTCCCTTATTTCTTTCTAAGTCATGAGTCTTAAATCATAAATCCAACTGTAGTACTTCACAGTCAGTTTCAACTCTATAAACCTTATATTAATTCTGCCTAAGAGCACATGAATGCTAATATTTTCAATTGTATAAACTTTTTGTTATTGATGTTATAAATCTGAGTTTTAAAAGTAGCTAACTTTATAACTTTTAGAAATTTTCATCATACTTTGAGACCTCAGTCTCTTCATCTTTCAAGTAAAAGGGTTGGGCTGGATCTCTAAGTGTCCTTCTGGCCCTAACATCCTATGGGTCTGGGTGCCAAGGCTTTAAACAATGTCCAGTGAGAAAATAAAGAGGATGCAAACTCTGACCCTGGGCTGTGAATGAGTATGCTACTCCCAGATTTACCCAGAAGGATGTTCTGTGCCCTAAAGAGTGGCCAAGTGAGTTTATGGTCTGGTTATCTTGGCTATTTGCTCTTTTCTAGAATTGCAATATGTGAATAAATTTAAAACACTTTAGTTTTCCAACTAGTAAATATAGGTTGAATTGGAAAATGGAAATTTTGAAGTATTCTTATTTGCAAAACACAATACTACAACTCAGTTCTTCATTTATATTGCATGGATCAAAAATAAAATGAAATGACAAAAATTATTGGTGGAAATATTCTTTAAATTAGTTGAAATGATTTGGGTATCTAAAAAAAAATTAATTCTAGGTTTAATTTTTTTTTTCATTTAGGTCTGTCTTCAGACTAGGATTTCAAAATTAACTGGGGTTTTTAGAGACCTAAATATTTCAACTAAAATATCAACTACTGCCTTTGACAAAATTCAACAACCCTTCATGCTAAAAACTCTCAATAAATTAGGTATTGATGGGACATATCTCAAAATAATAAGAGCTATCTATGACAAACCCACAGCCAATATCATACTGAATGGGCAAAAACTGGAAGCATTCCCTTTGAAAACTGGCACAAGACAGGGATGCCCTCTCTCACCACTCCTATTCAACATAGTGTTGGAAGTTCTGGCCAGGGCAATGAGGCAGGAGAAGGAAATAAAGGGTATTTAATTAGGAAAAGAGGAAGTCAAATTGTCCTTGTTTGCAGATGACATGATTGTATATCTAGAAAACCCCATTATCTCAGCCCAAAATCTCCTTAAGCTGATAAGCAACTTCAGCAAAGTCTCAGGATACAAAATCAATGTACAAAAATCACAAGCATTCTTATACACCAATAACAGACAAACAGAGAGCCAAATCATGAGTGAACTCCCATTCACAATTGCTTCAAAGAGAATAAAATACCTAGGAATCCAACTTACAAGGGACATGAAGGTCCTCTTCAAGGAGAACTACAAACCACTGCTCAAGGAAATAAAAGAGGATACAAACAAATGGAAGAACATTCCATGCTCGTGGGTAGGAAGAATCAATATTGTGAAAATGGCCATACTGCCCAAGGTAATTTATAGATTCAATGCCATCCCCATCAAGCTACCAATGACTTTCTTCACAGAATTGGAAAAAACTACTTTCAAGTTCATATGGAACCAAAAAAGAGCCCGCATCACCAAGTCAATCCTAAGCCAAAAGAACAAAGCTGGAGGCATCACACTACCTGACTTCAAACTATACTACAAAGCTACAGTAACCAAAACAGCATGGTACTGGTACCAAAACAGAGATATAGATCAATGGAACAGAACAGAGCCCTCAGAAATAACGCCACATATCTAAAACTATCTGATCTTTGACAAACCTGAGAAAAACAAGCAATGGGGAAAGGATTCCCTATTTAATAAATGGTGCTGGGAAAACTGGCTAGCCATATGTAGAAAGCTGAAACTGGATCCCTTCCTTACACCTTATACAAAAATCAATTCAAGATGGATTAAAGACTTAAACGTTAGACCTAAAACCATAAAAACCCTAGAAGAAAACCTAGGCATTACAATTCAGGACATACGCATGGGCAAGGACTTCATGTCTAAAACACCAAAAGCAATGGCAAAAAAAGCCAAAGTTGACAAATGGGATCTAATTAAACTAAAGAGCTTCTGCACAGCAAAAGAAACTACCATCAGAGTGAACAGGCAACCTACAAAATGGGAGAACATTTTCGCAAACTACTCATCTGACAAAGGGCTAATATCCAGAATCACAATGAACTCCAACAAATTTACAAGAAAAAAACAAACAACCCCATCAAAAAGTGGGCAAAGGACATGAACAGACACTTCTCAAAAGAAGACATTTATGCAGCCAAAAAACACATGAAAAAATGCTCACCATCACTGGCCATCAGAGAAATGCAAATCAAAACCACAATGAGATACCATCTCACACCAATTAGAATGGTAATCATTAAAAAGTCAGGAAACAACAGGTGCTGGAGAGGATGTGGAGAAATAGGAACACTTTTACACTGTTGGTGGGACTGTAAACTAGTTCAACCATTGTGGAAGTCAGTGTGGCGATTCCTCAGGGATCTAGAACTAGAAATACCATTTGACCCAGCCATCCCATTACTGGGTATATACCCAAAGGATTATAAATCATACTGCTATAAAGACACATGCACACGTATGTTTATTGCGGCATTATTCACAATAGCAAAGACTTGGAACCAACCCAAATGTCCAACAATGATAGACTGGATTAAGAAAATGTGGCACATATACACCATGGAATACTATGCAGCCATAAAAAATGATGAGTTCATGTCCTTTGTAGGGACATGGATGAAATTGGAAATCATCATTCTCAGTGAACTATCGCAAGAACAAAAAACCAAACACCGCATATTCTCACTCATAGGTGGGAGTTGAACAGTGATAACACATGGACACAGGAAGGGGAACATCACACTCTGGGGACTGTTGTGGGGTGGGGGGAGGGGGGAGGGATAGCATTGGGAGATATACCTAATGCTAGATGACGAGTTAGTGGGTGCAGCACACCAGCATGGCACATGTATACATATGTAACTAACCTGCACATTGTGCACATGTACCCTAAAACTTAAAGTATAATAATAATAATAATAATAATAATAATAAAATCAACCACTGAAACTGTCTCACAATGAAAGAAATATGTGAAAATTAATACATTTATTTAGTTAAATGAATAAATTTATTTAGTTAAATTACTCTCATTCTTTAGTTATAGGAACAGACACCAATGGTGTGATTACTCCTTAAAGCCTAGGCTAATAAAATATATGTGTTCATGTGTTTGTATATGCTTATACAGACATGTGTATGTACCTTCCCCCTGAACACCATCCCTACCAACAAATACACATACACATCACTTTACTGAATGTCCACAGTAACATTCTGGGAGACTTTGAAAAAGTAAGAGTCTATTCGTAAATTACTCTAAATTTTACGTACTCTTTTTGTCTTCATAATTTCCCAATTCAAATCACAAAAATAATTTTGGAACATTCGCAACAACTTATGTTGTAAGCTATAATCTTACAAGGAATTTATATTTCAAATGTTTCATATTTTATCCCATAGGTAACAGAAATTAATTTTCAACTTACAATAAACTGAACTTATCTTTAAGGCAATGTCTGAAAGTCAGAAAAAAATTTAACCTTTAAAATCCATTACTTATTAACATTAATTTCACTAAAGTTGGTATACAACCCCCCGCCACTGCTGAATTTGACTGGCTATAAAAATAAAATAAAATCCATTAAAACCTCTAGTTTTTGTTTTCCCCTTTTAAAATTTACTTTAAAAATATACCCTAGACTATACCCAAAGACAAGAATATACCCTAAGGACAAAAAGAACAGCTGTGTTAGTCTGCTGGGGCTGCCATAACAAAATAGTTTTTTGGTTTTGTTTGTTTGTTTGTTTGTTTGTTTGTTTGTTTTTTGAAACAGACTCTCACTCTGTTGCCCAGGCTGGAGTGCAGTGGTGTGATATCGGCTCGCTGCAACCTCCACCTCTCAGGTTCAGGCAATTCTCCTGCCTCAGCCTCCCAAGCAGCTGGTATTACAGGCACGCACCACAACAGTCGGCTAAATTTTTGTATTTTTAGTAAAGATGGGGTTTCGCCATGTTGGCCAGGCTGGTCTTAAACTTCTGACCTCAAGTGATCTGCCCGCCTCGGCCAGGATTAAGTCCAGCAGAGTTCCCTTTCTGGTGAAGGCTCTCTTTCTTTTTATTTTTTTCTTTTTCTTTTTCTTTTTTTTTTTTTTTTTTTCCTTTTTTGAGACGGAGTCTTGCTCTGTCACCCAGGCTGGAGTGCAGTGGCGCGATCTCGGCTCACTGCAACCTCCGCCTCCCGGGTTCAAGCGATTCTCCTGCCTCAGCCTCCCGAGTAGCTGGGACTACAGGCGCCTGCCACCACACCCGGCTAATTTTTGTATTTTTAGTAGAGACGGGGTTTCACCATGTTGGTCAGGATTGTCGCGGTCTCTTGACCTTGTGATCCGCCCGCCTGGGCTCCAAAGTACTGGGATTACAGGAGTAAGCCACCGCACCTCGCCAAGGCTCTCTTTCTGGCTTGCAAATAGCCTCCCTCTTGCTGTGTCCTCACATGGCAGAGGCAAAGAGAGAAAGCTGTCTGGTATCTCTTCTTACCAGGGAGCTAATGCCATCATGACCACCCCCCACACAACCTCTTTCCCAGCCAACTCCTACCATGACCTCATCTAACACTAGAACCCATCTCCAAATACCATCTCATTGCATATTAGGGCTTCAACATATAAATTTGGGAGGGGACACAATGCACTTTGCATTCAATGTGTAGAAAAAGCTTAAATGTTTTTAATAATCACATTGTTGATAGAAGTGTTAGCATATTTGGAGACTGTTGTGGGATAAAGCAAATGAATAATTTTGTTGCTATCATTGAGAACCAGTATTTTCTGCATGGAGGAAAGGAGATGCAAATGTAACATCAAAACATTTGAGTAAAAACCTTACAGTCCTGAATTTGAATTGGGAGTATCAGAATAAACTAATAATATATTTTTAAAAAATATTTTCTAACTTTAAAAGGGTCTAAAAACAATGACTAAAAAAGCCAGTAGCAATGAGCACTTCTAGTACCTAGATTGTGGTCTTTAAAGCCATTTCTTTTAAAGCCAAAATAAACCAGGGCTCTGAGGAAAAATGGCTGATTCTAAGTCTTGGCCAGAACTTTTGCAAGCTACGCCTAGGACATCTTATTTTACCAGAAACCTATCAAAGATAACTGGGGTCATGTCAAGAAAACTCAAGAGCCAACTTGAAGAGGTTGCTACAGGCCAAATACAGGAAAATCCAAGCATTAATAAGAGCACGATTATTTAAACATTTTAAAAATATGTTTAAATCATGAACACATAATGTTACATCAAAAAAAAAAAAAACCTCATTGGTCATCTTTGGAGCATGCTGAGAAACCAACTCATTATTTGGAAATTGGCAAATAAGAAAAAGAATCAAGATCAATCCTGAAAAGTAAGTAGTTGATGAGACAAACCTTTTTTTTTTTTTTTTTTTTTTGAGACGGAGTCTTGCTCAGTTGCCCAGGCTGGAGTGCAATGGCATGATCTCCACTCACTGCAAGCTCCACCTCCCAGGTTCATGCCATTCTCCTGCCTCAGCCTCCTGAGTAGCCAGGACTACAGTCGCCCGCCACCACACCCAGCTAATTTTTTTTGTATTTTTTAGTAGAGACAGGGTTTCACCGTGTTAGACAGGATGATCTCGATCTCCTGACCTTGTGATCCGCCCCTCAGCCTCCCAAAGCACTGGGATTACAGGCAAGAGCCACCGTGCCCAGCCGAGAGAACCCTTTTAAAAATAAACGTGTGTTAGCTAATAAATGAGGAAGGAATGATAGAATTTGAATATCAGTGTTTTGTAGCCTCCAGTGACAGAATGGATTTAGTTCTGCACAATTCAATATGGCAGCCCCTAGCCACATGTGACTATTGAACACTTGAGATGTAGCAAGATTGAGTTGATATGTGCTGTAAGTGTCAAATGCACATTGAATTTCAAAGACTTCGTGTATAAAAATGAAAAATATCTCAATAATGTTTATATTGATTATATGTTGAAATGATAGTATGTGAAATATATTGGGTTAAAAACAACTTTTTATTAATTTAGCTAATTTAATTTAGTTTTTAAAACAATTACATTTAGGAAGAATAAATTTCAAGAGATCTATTATGCATCAAGGTGACTATAATTAATGACAATATATTGTATTCTTGAAAAATGTAAAGAGAATGGATGCTATCTGTTCTCACCACAAAAATGGTGACTGTGTGGGGTAATGCATTTATTAATTAGCTAGATTTAAACACTCCACAAGGTACATAAACTTCAAAATATGTTATACACTTAAAAAACATAAAATACTGTCAATTTTTAAAAATTAAAGACATACATAAATGTTTAAAATTAATTTTACCTGTTTTTCTTTTTTTTACTTTCTAAAAACCTGGTGTTAAGGAAAATTCAAAATTGAGGCCACCGTTTGGATAGACTGCTAGGCCAACTGCCTGTAGCCACATCACTGAAACTTAAGCTATCATGATTTTCCTCAAATATTAGCTCTAACCACGAACACAACTTAGGTTTTTCTTTCTGAATTCTGAACCAATCAGCTACAGATAAATAAGCTAATACAGACTTACTTGTCCTAAAAGGAATGTAAGTTTTAATAGCCAATCACAACAAAGATCAATGTACTTCCTCATTTAGGCTTTTGAAGCTGCACTGTGACCGCTGTGAGCCAAACTGCTTGCCACTTTCGGCGTCAACTCTGCTGCTTATCAAACCAGGAGACTTTTGGGGATTTTTCATGCACAATAAACTCTTAAAATTTTAACTCGATTTGCTTTTATTTTTGGTAATGGCTACCAGAAAATTTTAAATGACATATGTGGCTTGCATTATATTTTTGTTGGACAGCACAGATCTAAGCACTAAGCACTAATAGCTACTAACAATACAAAATGAGAGCTAACCAAATAGCATATGCCTCCTGTTAGAAGTACAAACACCATCTCTGAAATATTCTTACCAAAAAAATGGACCCTGAATCTGATCAAGATTTTATGTCTTGCTACCAAATTGCAGTAAATATAGACAGCAGAGAAACAAAGTAAATGACACCATAGGCATACAACCAGCAAAATCCAGAAAATAGGAAAGTCTACAAACAAATGATCCTGTTTGTTCAACAGATAAGTTGCAAAGGGGGAACAAAAAGCGGAAGAGGAAACCGGAAAATGAAAAGAGATTTTAAAACATACCAACTGGTTACAAAGTATGGACCTTATTTGGATCTTGGTTCAAACAAACTATACAAAGAAATAAATTAGGATGCAATAAAATCAATTTGAACACTAACTGGATAGCTGGTGATATAAAGGAATTATTAATAATTTAGGTAGTGGTATTATAGTTATTTTTTAAAATTGCTTATCTTTAAAAATACATATGGAAATATTTAAAAATAAAATGTTAAAATTTCTGGGATTTGCTTCAAAACAATTTAGAAGATGGAGAGACAAGAGTGGGGATATCAACACCTGTGAAAAGAAGGGGAATAGAAGATAAAAGAAATAATTAATTTTTTTTTAAAGTAGAGGCTTAGTCAGCCCTTCCTGTCTGTGGGTTTCACATCCATGGATTCAACCAACTACAAGTCAAAAATCCTTGGGGGAAAAAATTGCATCTTTACTTAACATGTACAAACTTTTTTTCTTGTCACTATTTCCTAAACAATGAAGTATAACAACTACTTACATAGCATTTACTTTGTGTTAGGTATTACAAGTAATCTAGAGGTGATTTAAACTATATGGGAGGATGTGCATAGATTATGTATAAATACTATGCCACTTTGTATCAGGGAATTGAGCATTCAAAAATTTTGCTGTCAGTAGGAGGTCCTAGAACCAATCCCCCATGGATAAGGAGGGATAACTGTGTTATGAAATGAGATTAGCTGTAAGCCAATTACTGGTAAAACATGGTGATGAGTACGTGATGTTCATCATATCATTCTCTCCACTTTTGTATATGTTTAAAATGTTCTATAATAAATGTAGTGTGGTGGGTCCCCCACCGGGTATATGTCCACTGCCTGAACCCTGAAGGCTGGGCAGTGAGCCAAGGTTATGGTGCCCAACCAAAGAGCAGGTGTCCCTGAGAAGCCCAACATCATGGAGAGTATCTGAGAACCCTCCGAGGAAAACAGTCCCATTGCTCAAACACAGTAGGCAAAGAGCCTGAAAACTAGCTTAACAGCAGTTTACAGACAGGAGGGAGGGGCGGGGACAATGCAGATCTCTAGCACTGTCCTGCTGCTGCCCAGTGTCTTATCCAAGGCATTCTTTGGTCTCTCACACCTTCCCAGTTTGGGAGTTGAGGGAAGGATGTTATGGTCCCAAGTTTTTCTCATAACAAAAGAAAGGTAAAAACAAGTTTAAAAGTCGTAGAAATCGTTATTAAAAGGAGAAAATTAGAAAAATCAATAATCTCACCATTCTAAGAACAGGGTTACAGAGTTAATAATTTGTTGTATTCCCTTCTGGTATTTTTTCCTACATATTTTTATAGATATAATATTATATTTCCTACAAATTATATCCATTTGCATATAAATATATATTTACAGTGTATGTGTGTGTATACACACACATACAGAAATATACATACATGCCATTTTCCATCCTGTTTTGTTGGCTTAACATTTTATTCATTCAGCAAATGAATATATTTAGAAACAAATATTTATTGAATAAATGAGTTATATTTTCATGCTGCTTCATAACCTTTACATCTATCATCTTTAACAGCTGCATAATGCTTCATTAAGAGGATGACATCATTTACTCAAGCAAGTGCCTTCTCAGTTTAGTAGTAGTAGTTGAAAGCTCAGGCATGAAGCCAGAACTGAATTCAGATCCCAACTATGTAACTTACTAGCTACGTGACCTTGTGCAAGATACTTAAACTCACTAGACATTAGTTTCCTGCTTTCTAAAATTGGTATGGGAATAGTATTTAACTCAAAAGTTTCCTGTAAGGAAAAAAGGAGCTAATATATGTATAGCACTTAGCCTGGAGTCTAATAAATAGCAAACACTCAACCTGTTATTGAAAAAATTGGTTTTTTTCTCTCTTATTAGTAATATCAAAGTAACCATTTACATACATATCATTTCTTCTATGTTTTGGATGGTTGTATTAGGCTGGAATCCTAGAAAAGGAATTACTAGAGCTAAGTAAATAAGCTCTTCTATGGCTCATGTCATATTTGTGCCATTGCATTTGTTAAATTGCTTTCCCAAAGAATTGTACCAATCTTCAATGCCATGTGTTTCACTATCCCTGCCAACATTAAATATCATTTAATTTTTTTTCTTTTTCTTTTTTTTTTTTTTCTTTTTAGAGATTGGATTTCACTCTGTCACCTAGGCTGTACTACAGTGGTGTGATCATAGCATACTGCAACCTCAAACTTCTGGCCTCAAGTGATCTTCCGACCTCAGCCCCCCAGAGTGCTGGGATTACAGATGTAAGCCATCACACCCAGTGTTAATATTAATTTAATAGAAGTCTCCCATCTTTTAGGACTGTGCTCTTTTTATACTAAAAAAATTATTGCAATAAAAATTACATATGTAAATAACATAAAATTTGCCATTTTAAGCATTTTAAGTGTACAATTCAGTGGCATTAATTACAGTCACAATGTTGTGCAACCGTCACTACTATTTCCAAAATTTTTCATCACCCCAAAAACAAACTCTGTTACCATTAAACAATAACCCCGCATTCCCATCCTCTAGCCCTTGGTAACCTTGAATCTGCTTTCTGCAGGTTTAGAAAAATGTTTATTTTACATTTTTAAAATATCTAATGTTGGCAGGGATAGTGAAACACATGGCATTGAAGAGTGCTACAATTCTTTGGGAAAACAATTTAGCAAGTGCAATGGCACAAATATGACATGAGCCATAGAAAAGTTCATTTACTTTGATCTAGTAATTCCTTTTCTAGGATCCCAGCCTAAGACAACAATCCAAAACATTCACCATAGGGGAAATGATATGTATGTAAATGTTTACCTTGAAGGGAGAAAAAAGAATACAATTTTTTCAATATGGTCATATCCATAAGAACACTTACTTTGCGTATAGTCAATATCACTATACATATATTTTTTTCACTTTCCTTTTGCCCTGGACGATAGGGTACATCAAGATGTCTAACTATGAGGCGAAAACCAGGAAGAGGAACAAGTTTAGGAGGAAGCTTACAAGTTGAGATTGAGACAGATTGAGTTTAAGGTGCTTGTGGAATTTCCAGATGGAGACGTCCAGGGGACACTTGGATATATTGTTCTAGAGCTCAAGAGAGAGATATGAGCTAAAGACATAAATTGTGAAGTTATCATTGGTAGCAGTGGAAGTCATAAGTGTAGATGAGATTGCCCAGGAAATACATTTAGATTGAAGAGAAGCAAACAATAGAACAAACCTTATATTCACAGCAAACACTTTTAAAGGTTTACAGAACTTCAGACTACAAAAACTTGTCTTCAAAACTGAAGAGAGGGAGACTAAACTCATAACCTTGGTTACTTTAGGGCAGGGAGTTAGGGGAGAGAGAATAAGGTTGAGGAGACTTTAGCCTTTTCAGCAGCATTCATTATTTTTTTAAGAAAAACATATTTATGTTACTTAAGAAATAAAAAATAAAAAGTTAAAATTAGACAAGTGGATTATAAAACCCAAGGAGTGAGCACATGGAGTCTTGTATACAAAGCAATCAGCTTGTTTGATGTGGCCCCAGAAAAGGGATTCCAGTGACTGTGCAAAGAGATATAGCAGGCCTGGCATAGTGGCTCACATCTGTAAATCCCAGCACTTTGGGAGGCCGAGGCAGGCAGATCACTTGAGGCCAGGAGTTCGAGACCAGCCTGGCCAACATGGTGAAACCCCATCCCTACTAAAAATACAAAAATTAGCCAGGCAGGGTGGCAGGTGCCTGTAATCCCAGCTACTCAGGAGGCTGAGGCAGGAAATTGCTTGAACCTGGGAGGCAGGTTGCAATGAGCAGAGATCCAGCCACTGCACTCCAGCCTGGGCAACAGAGCAAGACTCAGTCTTAAAAAAAAAAAAAAAAAAAGAGATAGCAGTCAGTGGAATACAATGTGTGAAAAATTAATGTGACTCTCAGACTGAAGGAGACAAACCCAAAGACCCAAAGATTTTAGATGTTTCCATTGAAATCTGTTCCAGAACTCGAGGCAAAATCCTGTATTCTGGTGATGGGGAAAGTCAACTCTGATGCCCAAATGTGGAAGTAACCGGCAACTCTGGTCAGGCACAACATTATTTTTTCAGTTTAGGGCCAGGGCCAGAAATTCTTCTGCATGCTAGTCATAGGATTGTTTTATTGATGTCAAAGATGAACTAAGAATTACAGCGTCCACTTATTCAGTGCCAGTTCTATGGCAGAGATTCTGCCAAGGCTTTCATTCAAATCTCACAACAATCATTTGATGTGAGTATTGTTTATCCTTCATAGAAAGACTCAGAGGATTGAATTACTCACTCAAGACCACATAGCCCATAAATGACAGGGTCAAGATTTACACCCAAGTTGTATTAATTCCAGGACACTTACTTTTATACATGATGTTAATATTGTATCTCTACAGCATCTCTATTAGAATCCACATATGTACTAAAATTGAACCTGACTCAAAGGTGAGTCAAGAACATTCATAACTACTTACTCTTTGTCAATCATCTTTTATAATGCATCATTTTGGGTTCTACTTTGATGCCTTGCTGCTTGGCCTGGTCCTCAAACCAGCAGCATGGGCATCACCTGGGAGCTTGTTAAACATGCACAACCTGAGGCCCTGTGAATCAGTCAAAACCCATGCTTTAACAAGAAATCCAGGTGATTCTTATGCAAATTAAAGTTAGGGAAAAACAGCCTTAGTAAATTAAAACATGAAGGGTTCAAAATATTATAATTGATTATACAAGGAGTCTTCCAAAAGTTCATGGAAAATGCAATTTATGAAAAAAGCCTGCATGAATTTCAAATTTTTGCATCAAAATAAACTTGCACAAACTTGTTATAATGTGTCTGAACAGGATCTATTTGGAGGTACTAAGAAAAATAAGACATCAGTCTGAAAAGAGCTCCTATCAAAACACCATAAATTCTGCTAAAAGGCAAGCAAGGAGAAACATCAAATTTATGGTGAAGCTTGGGGGGAAGAATGATGAAATCATTGATACTCTATGAAAAGTTTATAGGGACAATGGCCCCAAAGAAATCAGCAGTTTACAAATGGATAACTCTTTTTAGGAAGGGACTAGAAAACTGTTGAAAATGAAGCCTGAAGCAGCAGACCATCCATGTTAATTTTCAAGGAAAAAATTAATCTTGCTCATTCCCTAAATAAAAAGGACTGATAATTGACAGCAAAGACAATAGCCAACACCATAGCCAACTCAATGGTTCGACTTACACAATTCTGACTGAAAAGTTAAAGTTGAGCATTTCCACTCAAAGGTACAAAAATTTATGTGTCCAGATCAGCTGCAGACAAGAGCAGAGCTTTCAGTGGAAATTTCAAACAAGTAGAATTGAGATCCTAAAGCATTTCTTCAAAGAGTTGCAACAGAAGGTGAAACATGGCTTTACCAGTACCATCCTGAAGACAAAGCACAATCAAAGCAATGGCTACCAAGAGGGGCAAGTGGTCCAGTCAAAGTAAAAGCAGACTGGTCAAGAGCAAAGGTCATGGCAACAGTTTTTTGGAATGCTCAAGGTATTTTTCTTGTTGACTTTCTGGAAGGCCAAAGAATGACATCTGCTTATTATGAGAGTGTTTTGAGAAAGTTAGCCAATGCTTTGGCAGAAAAATGCCCAGGAAAGATTCACTAGAAAGTCCTTCTCCACCACGACAATGCTCCTGCTCATTTCTCTCATCAAACAAAGGCAATCTTAAGTTCCTATGGGAAATCATTAGGCATCCACCTTACCATCCTGCTTCGGTTCCTTCTGACTTGCTTTTGTTTCCTAATCTTAAAAAATATTTCAAGGGCACTCATTTTTCTTCAGTTAATAATGTGAAAAAGATTACATTAGCATGGTTAAATTCCCTGGAGCCTCAGTTCTTTGGGGATAGACAAAATGGCTGGTATCATGTCTTACAAAAGTATCTTAATCTTGAATGAGTTTATGTTTTAAAAAAAAAGTATATTTTTTAAATTTTTATCTTTTATTTCCATTTTTCATAAAATGTTTGAAATTCCCTCATGTACAATTTAAAATCCAATTCGTAATTGATCTAAGCCTCTCAGCATAACATCATATGCTACTATTCTTTCCGTTAAGGAGTATCATATTTATTAATTGAATAAAATAAAGTTTGTTTAAAACCCTTAGGTAGACTTCATTTGGTCCATGGGTTGCAGATTGGATAGTCAGGTTTCTGGCATCCTATTTGAACCTCCAAGGAATTCAGTCTTCTAATTAAGACTTAGAAGATGGGCCAGGCATGGTGGGTCATGCCTGTAATCCCAGCACTTTGAGATGCCAAGGCAGAAGTATCGCTTAAGGCCAAGAGCTTGAGACCAGGCTAGGAAACATAGTGAGACCCCATTTCTAAAAATATTTAAAAATTAGCCAAGTGTGGTGGCACATGCTTGTAGTCCTACCTACCCAGGAGGCTGAGATGGGAGGATCGCTTGAGCCTAGGAGGTCGAGGCTACAGTGAATTATGATCACACTACTACACTCCAGCCTCAGTGACAAAGAGAAACCCCGTCTCTAAGAGAAAAAAAAAAGGACTTAGAAGGTGGAACCTTCCCAACTTAGCTCCCAAGTCTTCCTAATTCTATGATACTCAACTCTCCCAACCCACTTCAGAGGTGAACTTATCTGCTCTGTTTTAGAAGTTAGTAGTCCTCATCTGAATCTGTGTGCTCCTCAATATTTCCCAGATCCTTTGCCATAGGTTGGCCAAGCTTTGAAGTCTTGGCTTGTAGGATACAGGAGAAAATGATGTGTGTCACTTCTGGGCCTGGTCCTCAGCAAGTCCCACAATAGATGTCCCACCTGAACAGTTAGCAGAGCCATAAGGAAAAAGGAGCCTGCCTGGGTCCCTGAGACACCACCTGGAGTGAAGCTGCCCAATAGAATAAGACACATCCCATTAACAAAAATTTTGTGTGATGAACCACTGAGATTTGAGGGTTGTTCATCTCAGTGGCTAGATAACTGTCCCTAACACATACTCCAGGCTGGAATTCAGCCCAGGAAGTCAAAAAGGTGAGACTTTCTGAGCATTTGAGACAAGAGTGAGTGAAAGTAATTGCTCGTATATTACTCAGGGTCACTCTGATGCACAGAATGGCGTTCTGCCAGAAAATAGCATTTAAAGTGTGTTGGTTTTTACACTATGTTTATAAACTAATTTAACAACTCGTGAATTAAAGTCCTGCATTATAACAGAAATGAAAATCATATCTGAAATTAGAGAATTGTTAATGTAATCCAACAGTTAATTATTTGCAAGGGTTGAGGGGGGTGTTAGTGATATATTCAGTATTTAGGTGTTTCTTGAACCAGTTAAAGATTCCTTTTTATATAAATGTATAAATGTTGGTTATAGCTTTCTCATTAGGATTAATGGTCCTAATTTATACACTTACTAGATTTGAGTAAGTACATATGATTGTACTAGTTTAGATATATTATCTCAAGTGGGACATAAAGTAAAAAAACTATTTCTTGAAGCAGCAAAGAGCACACATAAAAGATACTTTTGAGAGCTAGATACTGAACTAGATATTTTGAGAGCTAGATACTGAACTAGATATTACAAAAATCACAGAAATTACATATAAATTGATTTCTAAGAAAGGAAACAATAAATATTATGTGTTGTGTTATACAAAATTAGAGCATGTGTTTATGTCCACATTCACTGTGATTTTTAACACTGACATGTGTTGAAGAGAATCCATTAGTGTTTCAGTAAGAGTCCAAATATTGAGTAGAATGTCAGAATTGCTTAGCTGTTTGTGTAGGAATTTTAAAACAAAATCAGGTTTGTTATAATTTATTTGTTTTTTAATAAATCTGTAGACTTGCCCCTCTTGGGGAGGGCTTTGGATGAACAGTTAGGGCTTCATAGGGTTTTGGAGCCAGGAGTGACAACAAAAGCATTTTTAGAAGATAAATCTTTTACTGAGTGCAGGGTGGAAAACATGCGGAAGAAACTGGAGGTGTCAATAAGCCAGTTAGAGGGCTTTACAAAGATTCAGAAAGTGTGAGGACCTGGAGCAATAGCAGTGAAATTGGAGAAAGACAGGGGAAATAAATATATTGAAAAAGGAGGTATAGCTGGAGAAAAGGAAAAAAAGAGAAAATATATTGACATCTTACGCCTGGGTACCAGGGAGGACAGAGGCCTGTTGGGGTGTTAAGAGGAGCTGCTGGGGAAGAAGGAAGGTGACAATGACACTCCACGGTTGAAAAAGCCAGGACAGCAGAGAGGACATCGTTCTTGGAGGGAAAACTGTGTTTCCAAGGTGTAGAAGCTGAAATATGGTCAGTATGTCTGTAAAACAAAGAAACACGTAGGCCACCCTGAGAGGGGCTTCCTGGAGACCACCGTGGTATCCAGTAAAGAGCACAGCATGTGGGGTCAGGAGGATCTGCTTCTGAACCCAGGTTCTCCCCTCATGAGCTATGTGACCTTAGGAAATTGATCTAACCTTTCTGGGCTTCAGTTCCTTCCTCTGTAAAATGAAATCAACAATAGATTCGCTGTTCATTAAACAGAAGTAATTATTTCTTCTTGATTCTTTTTCTAATATAATTTTTTATTTTTTAATTTTAATCTATTTATTTATTTATTCTGAGACTGGTTTTTGAGACTGGCCAATTTTCGTATTTTTGGTAGAGATGGGTTTGCACTATGTTGCCAAGACTGGTCTTGAACTCCTGGGCTCAAGCAATTCTCCTGTCTCGGCCTCCCAAATTGCTGGAATTATAGGCATGAGCCACTGTGCCCAGCCACTGTTCTTGGTTCTTTAAGACTATTCCCCAAACATCTTCAAAATAGCCTTTCTTAGAATTGCAAGGGAAATCATTTTTAATCTCCTCTCCCTTGGCCCATCTGTATAACAAAGATAATATTGTTTACATCTGTGGTTCTCAAATGTTATCTGTGCATCAAAATCATTTGAAATATTTGTAAGATACAGATTCCTGTGCCCTAATTCAACAACTTCTGATTCAGTACTTCTGGGCGAGAAGCCAGGCATCAATATCTTTCTAGTTAAGAACCACTAATTCACATCAAAAAGCTGGAATGGAGATGAAATAAAATGAGCATGGCAAACCCACATAGCACAGTTCCTGGCACACAGTGCTTGTTTTATAAGTGGTACTGGTTGGGAGTGGTGGGGTTGGTGATGGGGTGGGCCATGGAAGTGGGCAGGGTGATGGTGGGTGATGGTGATGAAAGTTGGGTTATGTTAATGGAGGTGGTAAGTGATGATCGGGGGTGGTGGATGGTGGAGGCCAGGTTGTCGAAGATCCCTGACTCAGCCAGAAGATTGAAACTTTGGTGGAGCATGAGGAGGCAGTGAATGATGGGACATTCCCAGTGGAAACAAATGTTCATTCTTGCTTCCATTAGGGATTTGTTCCTGGACTAAATAAGAGGAGAGGCAGCTCTTTGGAGATTTATTCTCCTTTCCTCTGAAGTAAGAAATACAACTGAAACTACAAACTGCAAAACTGTATTATGACCTGCAAAATAGATTAATTGTATCAAACCATATCTTGCAACACCAGCAAAGATCAAACTACTTTAAGACCAGCACACTGGTGTGTTGTATGCACAGAGGCTTGATGCCAAGACCACGGGGAAAAGGATTCAGCAGTGACTCTGGACTCAGGCTTTAGAGACAAGACCCCTGACTATTCCAGAAATTCACTTTGTTTATAAATTCTGACCAACCCCAGTCCAGACTTCACTCACAAATTTCTACCCTATGACCACTCTATCACAAAAACCCATTAACTTCCCCATTTTGAGCCACCACTGAGTCTCTGTCAAAACAATGCTCCCTCATGCCGTGAAAGAAAGAGCATTGTTTTAAGCATTATTAAACATGCCATGAAAGAGGGAGCATGGTTTCCCAGTGGTCTTTGGAAGAGGGTTTCAACAGGCAGACAGGCACCCATGCCTCTTGCTCTTAGACTGTCAACTTGGTTCATGGAAACAGCCTGTCCAGCACCTGCACTCACTGAGTATGGAAAATGGCTCACTGTGGACCAAACACTTCAGAGCAGCCAGTGAGAATCAAAATTTTGGGATGTTTAGGTAAATATTCAAAGTTAAATGTATTAGAGTCTTTTCCTATATGTTTTGAAAAGCAGCCAGGGGTCCAGAGGAAACCTCCACAGGACACTTGCCTTTCAATGCTTGGAGCTCTCTGGGCACTTCTTGTGGAGAAAAGGTGGGTAGAAAGGCAGGGGCAGCACGTTTCTTGTCTGAAGGGCCCATGGCTGGAGGAAGAGCATCCCTGAGGAGCCTGCAGGTGGTGGCGAGGAGAGAGGGGTACTCTGAGGGCGACCTAGAGCACCTACCTGCTTCTCCTCCTCAGCCCCAGCTCCTGCTCTAGAGGGTTTCACATTCGCTAACCCCTCCAGCCTTTGTCCATGTTGCTTGTGAATCGATGTCTTAGTCTGCTCAGACAGTTATAACAAAATACCATATTCTGGTGGCTTAGAAACCACAGAAATTTATTTCTTACAGTTCTGGAAGCTGGGAAGTCCAAGGTCAAGGCTCCTGCAGATTTGACATCTGAAGAGGGCTAACTTTCTGGTTCATAGATGACACTTTCCCACTATGCCCTCACTTGGTGGAAGGGGCAAGGCAGCTCTCAGGGATCTCTTTCATAAGGTCACTAATCCCATTCATGAGGGCTCCATCCTCATTACCTAATCACCCCCAAAGGCCCCATCTCCTACTACCATCAACTTGGGGGTTTTCAACATAGGAATTCTGGAGGAACATGAAAATCGAGCCCCTAGCAATAGGTATTAAGGTTATGATGGTTTAATATTCAAACAGAAAGGAGTGAACCATGCAGGCAAATGGGAACTTCTTTACCATTCGGTTTGGGAGATTTACCATTACCTCAAAGCAGAACTTGAATAGCCAAATTTATGCAAGTACGTTTTCCTTTTATTTCTTTCTTCCAGTGAGTTGTTTCAAAAATATCTTAGTAGTTGTCTACATAAAAGCCTTTTGTGGTTTTCTGATAACCTAATGCTGTCCTCCATACCCCAACATGTAAAATATGGGCCCTCTCAAGGGTGACCCCATCTCCCTGTTGCCTTAGGAGTCTGTTCCCAGTGTAATTATAGCCTCTCTTTCACTCCCAAAACTGCTTCAGTTTGTGTAATAAATTATGTGGTGACCCTAGCAGTAATCTGATATTGTCAAAGGAGAACTAATGATATGGAACATGTGTTGAGTATGTAAACTTTTAAAATTATTTTTTATTGAGCATTAATTGTGTGTGTGTGTGTGTCTGTCTGTGTGTGTGTGTGTGTCTATAGACACATATATTTTCAGTCCTCACCAACCCTCTGGGAAGTTAAGCAAAATTAATGTTCCCATTTTATATTTGAAAAAAATCAAGGCACAGAATAAATAACTTGCCCAATATTGCACAATGTAACTTCAGAACCTGCACTCCTTACCACTATTTATTGCTGCCTCCTGAGATGCTGGATCTTTACTCCAGAGAATCTGGGTGGTCAGAGAGGGTTTGATTTAGACATGGTGGTCCTGAAACTTAGGAATAAGAGAAAGAAGAAGAATTCAAAGTGGAAAAACAGAAAAATAGATGGTCCCCTCTTATATTTATTTCTTACAGCTGCCATTTCTAGGGCTGCAGATGGCAGTCCTAGGAAATAAATACAGGATGTCTTGATAGCTGAAGACAACAGAAATTTAGGCCAGGCACAAAGACTCATGCCTGTAACCCCAGTGCTTTGGGAGGCCAAGAGCTTGAGACCAGCCTGGGCAACATAGTGAGACCCCCATCTCTACACAGAGTTTTTTAAAAATTAGCCAGTCATAGTAGTGCATGCCTGTAGCTACTTAGCTACTCAAGAGACTGAGGTGGGAAGATTGCTTGAGCCCAGGAGTTTGAGGTTACAGTGAGCTATGATCATGCCACTGCACTCCAGCCTGGGTGACAAAGTGAGACCCTGTCTCTAAAAAAATTATATAAATATACATGTATTCCTCTAGTTCTGGAGGCTAGAAGGCCAAAATCAAGGAGGAGGACCCTCCCTTGCCTCTTCCAGCTTCTGGTAGCTCAAGGCACTGCTTGACTTCTGGTAGCATCACTTCAATCCCTGTTCCCATCTTTGCCTTCTTCTGTGTGCTTGTGTCTCTAATCTTCCTCTGTCTTTCTCTTCTAGGAACATCTGTCATTGGATTCAGGAACCACCCTATATTCAGAATGATCTCATCTTGAGATCCTTAAGTTAACTATGTCTGCAAAGACCCCTTGTCTGAACTAAGTCACATTCACAGTTTCCAGGAATTTGGACCTGAATATGTGTTTTCGAGTTGGGGATCACCATTCAACCCACTAGGCCTCCGGGCATACATGATAGGGGATGTAGCTCCTGTAATCTGTATAAACCTAGGTCTAAATGTATTCCTTTGAGCCCATCTTGAGAGGCCTTTTTTTTCCCTCTTCAGAGTTGCTTAACTTTTCCTTGTTAAGAAAACTTCTCAAGTTACCAACAGCAAGAAAGATTTTCATCATTTCTAGAAAACCCCAGAACTGAAGGGAGGCCAAGATGTTAGAAGGAAGCAACACCATTCCTCATCCTAAAAGCCCTGATTTTCTTCTGCCTGCCTGGACATTCTCCACCAAGCCCAAATGTCACTCTTTGAGGCTTCCTGAAACCATCCTCTCACACACCCCTACTCACAACATCATCAGAAACACAGTCAGCTTTCTGCTGACTTTCACTAATCAGGTGTGTGACTTCAGTCTGCTCTTCAAGTTTCTAGGCTTGTTTCCTCCTCTGGAAAGAAGGAACAAAAGAAAAAAAGAAAGAGAGAGGTGGGGAGGAGGGAGGGAGGGAGGGAGGAAGGAAGGAAGGGAGGGAGGGAGGAAGGAAGGAAAGAAGGAAGGAAGGAAGGAAGGAAGGAAGGAAGGAAGGAAGGATGGAAGGAAAAGGAGGAAGGAAGGGAGGGAGGCAGGGAGGGAGGGAAGGAAAAGGAGGAAGGAAGGAAGGAAGGGAGGCAGGGAGGGAGGGAAGGAAAAGGAGGAAGGAAGGAAGGAAGGAAGGAAAAGGAGGAAGGAAGGAAGGAAAAGGAGGAAGGAGGGAGGGAGGAAGGAAGGGAGGGAGGAAAGGAAGGAAGAAAAGAAGGAAGGCAGGCCAGTCTTGAAGGTCTCTAATATCCTAGCCATAGCATTAAGGATGTTGAGCCAGGGAACCACGTCTCTAAGATCTCCATCTAGTCCTTATTTCCCTGCTTAGAAAATCATTGCGCCTTCTTCTCCCAATCTAGGCCTGGTTTGCCCTCTCCTCCTGCCTCCAAAGGGCTCTCTCCAAAGCTGATCTTACTCATCCCTTAAACCAAGTCTTCACTACCTCTTGCAGATCTCTGCCTCCAGCCAGAACTCCCCAGTTCTAATTTCCAGGCCCAGAGCTCTTTTCTCTTCCCTGAAGGAGACAGAGCAGAATTCTCTATTCCTTTACTCATCTCTTGTTTCCTTACCAATAATTAACTTTATTATTATTTAATAAAGATACATAGAGGATATTCCTAGCAAAGCACAACAAATACTTGGCTCCAAATATCAACATTTGGAATTCACACATCCCACTATCACCAGAAAGTGATTATTAGCAGGAAGAAATTGCTGTAGGGTTTTTATGCCTTTCCTGTTAGAGGCAACAGATGGTTCCCAACAACAAAAAAAATACCAGTCACTCTTGATAAAATATGTGCACGCCAAACCGAAAAAACAGAGATGGACAGCAAATTGGCAACCATTACCACTACAGTTTATATTTGGCATTTGAAGACACTGATTGTATATACAGAAGTCACATCTTGCCATAATAAAATCTTTTCTTGATTTGAAAAAAAAAAAAAAAGCAAACAGGATAGGTGCAGTGGCTCACGCCTGTAATCCCAACACTTTAGGAGGCTGAGGCAGGTGGAGCACCTGAGGTCAGGAGTTCGAGACCAGCCTGGCCAACATGGTGAAACCTTGTCTCTACTAAAATACAAAAACTAGCCAGGTGTGGTGGTGCGTGCCTGTAATCCCAGCTACTCGGGAGGCTGAGGCGGGAGAATCACTTGAACCCGGGAGGCAGAGGTTGCAGTGAGCCAAGATCTCACCACCACACTGCAGTCTAAAAAAAAAAAAAAAAAAAAAAAAAGCAAACAAATCTTTATATGTTCAGTATTTTTTCCACCAGACTTCAAGCTCAACACCAGACTTTTCAGTTCAAAACCAAGCAAATGGTAATCTTGCTGCCTGTAAGGGCCTAGGGCTAAAAGTTAACCACTTTGACATCCTAAGGAACATGAGCTGGGGATGCCAGCACCATGAGTTTCAGGGGATCAATTGCTTCAAGTAGCTGCCACCCTATGTCTACCTTCCCTACCTCCTTCAGGGACTGGCTTTGAAATTTCCACAATGGCCTCTCATCTTGGTCTGCACCATAATGTCAACAGTGTTAATAAAATAAAATTTCCCAAACTTGCTAAGGGGAGCAGCTGTTTCATTCCCACACCTGCTACCACCCCTACCCCAGCAGAAGGGCTGTGAGCTACAGAGCCAGTCCTGTGTTCTCTCAGCCCACACCCGCCCTGCTCAGAAGCTCAGCCAATGGGATAACCTTTGGGTAGCCACAGGACTACTCTCCCCACAGATCTCACAGCAGAACTGGAAAGGTTTCATCAACGGCTAGGAAGCAGAAAAACAACAGGTAGGAAAAGAATCAAGTGTTCTCTTTCAAGCCTGCCCTAGGGAGTCTCTGCAAGCCATTATTCTGAAGCCTAGAAGCAATGCCCTCCCCAGGGTGCCTTGCTTGCACAAATACTGAGAGACAAAACAAAAATGCTCAATTTCAGTGCTTCCAAGAACCCCTGAAGAGGCTGGAGTTCCCTCCAACAGCACGGTGGCTTTGTGTGTGCAAAGCAATTATAGGAGTTGGATGTCAGAGAAAACGGGGGTGAAATCTAAGCACCACCCCAATAGAAAGTACAGATGTTATTAATCACCACCTTGCAGCTCCTCTAAAAGCCCAGATAGCTCCAAAGTGAATAGGTTTCCATTCATTCAGCATTTAATAATAGGTGTCAAGTGTTTCAGCAGCCCCTGTCCTATTAGAACTGTTTTGATGGGGAAATAAACAAGCAAATTTGTGATCTTACAACACCTGGTAAATTTTCTCAGCCACACACAAGTTGAGGTGTTGAGCATGCAGAGACAGCAGGGAAGACCCGATGCCCAAGGCAGGAGGCGGTTCCTGGAGAAAGTCATATCTGAACAGAAGGAAGAGGATCTGGCCAGGGGATCGGGTGAAGCAATAGGTGTCCAGGCAGCTTGCCCTACACACTGGGAGGGACAAACTCTGCCATATTCTGTGCCATTAAAAGAAGTTCAGTTTAGCCGGAACAGAGGACAGGAGGAAGGGCTAGTGAGCAAAGAGACTGGAAAAGGAGGCCATAGCTGGGTGTTGGATCGCAGGCGCCATAAGAAGTTTGGACATCTAAAGGTATCTGGAGAGTCCGCAGCGCAGGAGGAGGAGAGGAGCAAACGACGGGATTGGATCTGCAATTTGGATGATTTCTCTTCCAAGGAGCACCGTGCCCTCGGACTCTTTGTTGTCTTTGACACTCGGAGCTGCTGTCGTGGCAATTGTTAAAAAATGAAACTTTAAGAAAATGAAAACCTGAAGGTAGAAAATGGAAGATGGGAGGACTCCCTTAATAATTCTGAGGATCACTATGGGAAGCCAGCCTAAAGACCACAGGGTCAGAAGCTGTCTAGAAGCCACAGCCAAAAGTATGCCCTCCGCTCCTCCAAAGCCAGGGAAAGATCTGGCCCCCAGCCTGCCTTGGAGGGAAGGGGCGATGCTGCACACAGCCTGGGTTGCCTCCTTGCTGCCGCCAGGCTGAGCTTGTTAAACTTTCCATCATTTTCCAGCCAACTGAACTGCATCAGATGAGACTGAGTCTGCGTTTGTAAAAGATGAGAAGAGACCCTCTGTATACAGCTACACCCCTTCCACCCCACCCTCTGCCAATCCAAGAGATGAGTCCATCTCTCTGCCCTCAGTTTGGGGTTGCTCTAGGAGGCTTTATGGGGTGCAGTGGCCCCCAGACCACTAGGCTGTCACTGAAGTTGATGCCTTTCCTACAGGGACAAGGAACCCAGCAGACCTGCCTCCTGCCTCGTTCTGCCACCTGGGGAAGGCAGGGTTCTGCCTTTGAGCCTAAAGAGTTTTCTACCCCAGGGCTGAGAGTGTGAGTGGAAGTCAGGAGGAACCAGCTCTAGGTAAAGCCCTAGGATGGGCCTTCTGGTCAACGTCCAGCAGGTCTCAGCTCCTCTTTCTGCTCCCATGGAAAGAATCAGAAGTGGGGTATTTGGCATCGTTTTGCCTGAAGAAGAGATGGAAAGGCTTGGAGGTGCACACAATGGTGAGACAGAATAAAGAGGAGACCAAAACTCTTCCAGGGAAGGCAGGTCCAAATGACCTACTTAATTATAAATGATCTAAGCCTCGGGTGACAAGAGGAATCAGAAAACGACCAAAGACTCTCAACCCCATGGGGGCAACAGCATTTTCTTGTGCAATTCAGAACACTAGAGGTTGGTGATGTTAAGAGATGTCTTATTTCAGGCAAAAATAGATGTTAAATAGGGCTCCCTAGATGTGTGTATAGATGTGTGTATGGATGTATAGATTCGTGTATAGATAATTCTCATTTGCACGGAGCTTTTATAGTTTGCAAGGCTTTATCACCATCATATTGGATCTTCTTCACAAACCAAATGAGGTAAAAAAGCAAAGTATCATTACTACTACCTTGTGACAGCTGAGGAAGCTGGAAGGAGGTTGAATGAAACAGGTGTGACATAGCAGAAAGGACATAAGATTTAGAATCTAAATACCCGAATTCAAGCCCTGCCTCCCCAACCAACTAGATTGCAAAAATAATTGTGTCTGTATATTATATTTAATTCTTAAAAGTGTGACTATATTTCCCTTATTTCCAAGTTCTTGGGAAAAGAATGGGCACCTTATTCTTGCCCCCATATGTGGCTAACACAGGTAACATTCTCTCTCAAGACTCCCCACAAATTATTGCCCTTTAAGTTAATGTATGCAAAGAACTTTGGGTAGTGCCTAGCATGTAGTAAGTAGCATATGAGTGTTAACTAGTATGGTTTATCTCTTTGTCCCCAGCACCCGCACAGTGTCTGGCACATGCTAGGTGTTTAATAAATACAAGCTGATAGAATGACTGACAGGTATTTACTGTCCAGTGTAGGAAACAGACATATAAGCAAATAATGGCAATGGAGTGAGGTGAGTGCTATGGAAGGTATGTATCAGTGTGTGGTGGTGGGGAGTGGAATAAGAAGTTGCTCACTGCAAGAGGAAGGGTGAGGGAGGGTGCACTGAGGAGGTAAAAGATATGCACTGACCCATTTATAAGGGCTTAAAGACTTTGGAGGAGGACATGAGTTAAAGAGAGTGGAGAAAGAATCTCTTAGGCAGGAAGTTAAGCGTGCAGAAAAGTCTGTAGTCATGATGCAGTAGCATGTACTCAGAGAAGAGTGACTGACTCAGTATGGCTAGGAAGTAGAGTATCAGGGACATCATGGTGGAAGAAGAGGTTGGAGCCAGGGCCAGATGTGAACAACTTTGAATGTCAGACTAAGGAATTTGGATCTTATTCTCTAGCAGAAATGCAGAGCCAGTGAAAGGATTGTAAGCCAAAGAATGAATATTTGTATTATAGAAAGGCCAATCTATGTGTTTTCAGAAAAATGGAATTGAGAAAAGCAAGACTGGAGGCAGACAGACAAGTTAGGAAACTATTTCCATAGTCCAGGTAAAATATAAGAAGAGGTTGAGCTTAGATTATGACCACTGAGACCTTGAAGAGGAGACAGATTAGAAACGTATTCAGGAAATGTCATCAGAGAACTTTGTAAGCTACTAAACATGTCGGGAAAAGCAAGGAAAGAGGCAAACATGGTGTCGAGGACTTAAGCCTGGGTGACTGGATAAACAGAAGCCCCACTAACCAAGTTAGAAAATGCTGGCATAAGAGCAGATGAGGAGTCTCCCGTCTGGACACTGTGTTTGAAGTTCTTGCTCAGTGTGCACAGGGAGCTGCCCAATAGCTGTTGAGCCAGAGCAGACTGGAAAGAGCCTGGCAAGGGGTCCACCCTGGTGTTGTAGATCTAGGGTCATGGACAAGTGATATAGCTTAAGCCACGGGAGAGGATGAGATCAGTCAGAGAGAGAATCTAACCTGTGTTGGCCGTGCATGGGAGCAACAGCAAGATGCCCATTCTGCCCAAGAACTTCAAAATAGAAAAATACAGTCACCCCCACTAAGAACTAAATAGTGTTATACAGACAAAATGGATGTGAGGAGCTCATTGTGGGAGTAAAAGGAGATGTCTGTGCCCAGGGAATTTGAGAAGGCCTAAAATATCCATCAGCATGGCTTGCTGTAACCTACTGTCTGTGGACCTAGTCTTTGGCCAGGAGGCCTGGCATTGTTGCAGCTATCCTAACAGCAGCCTAAAGAAGGGACAAAAGGCTGAGAGTATCTCAAATAAACCAAGCCAGGGCCAAGTCTGAACCATGTTCCAACCCTGGCCTTTTTTGGTTATACGATACAATAAATTCCTGTTATTGTCTTCAGTTGAGTTGGGTCAGATTTTCTGATCATTGCAGCCAAAAGCATGCTAAGCTGGTACACTCAGTGAGCTTGGAAGCACAGCAAGAGGAGGAAGTGAGTAAGTCCCAGTAGGAATGCACCTCTCTGGGGACCAGGGCACTCGAGTCTGAGGGTCAGGGCATGCTCCCCATGCTTTCTGCTTGGACAGGATCTGGATCTTTGCTTTCTGTTTTCAGAATTCTGGATTCATCTGCAACATAGTTTCTATGGCTGTCTTAAGAGTGAAGAAATCTCTTTCCAAGCAGACCCCAATAAATTTGGCCTTTTGTCTCATTAGACCAAATTGGGTCATAACTTTTCCTGAATTAGTTCTGAGGCCAGGACTGATTCACATTGGCCTGGATTCCAAAAGCCAAGGGAGTGAGGTTACTCTTAGGCCCTTTAGGCCCAACCTTGGAGCTGAGGGTGGCAGCAGCCCCTCAACTACAGTGGCTGTGTGGGCAAGGCTTGGGCAAAACTGCAATAATCACCGGATGAAGAGGAAGTGGATGTCAGGGAAGCCACCATGACATCCACTAGACTAACCAACTTTACCAACTTCTGGATATAAGTTGGCTTCCTATTTGGACTTGCCAGAGGAAAGCACAAAAACACTATCAATTCAAATCTTATGGTCCAGAATCTGTTTCCTACCAGTAAGGCTGTTTTCATTTATGAGGGGCTGCTGTATCAGGTAAACATAGAAATATTTTGTGATTTAATACAATGAAGTTTTTCTTACTCAGATAAACTCTAAACAGTGGCAAGGTGAGTGACAATGAGCACTGTGCTCCAGAGATGGCAGGGTCCCTGTCTGCTTCAAAGCCATTTCAAAGGTTGTCCTGGACAGCAACATACAGCCCACACATGGGCAAAGAGAGAGGGAAGCATTGAGAGGGGAGTCTTATGGCTCAAGCCTGGCAGCAGAGTGCCTTACTTCCACCCATAATCATACACCACACACAGCAGTGGTGAAGCCTGGGAGAGCCCCTCCATCCCATTTGAACTGCCCAAGAGAGAGAGAGAGAAACAAACAAACAAACAAACAAACAGAAGAGGATGGAACTCTGGAGAGCAATAAAACAATCTGTAAGCCAAGGATAAAAAGAAGCCACAAAGAAGATTGAGATGGGTAATCAGACAACTAAAGACAAAAACCAGAGTGGAGACAGAGATTAAAGGAAGAGGGAGTTCCAAGTAGGGGAACAAGAACACTTAACCATCTCCCCATCTCATTAGATGGTGCTGTGGATTAAAGGAGCTGGGAAATGTGAAAGTGTTATCAAAATGGTGAAACACTGTACCCATGTGTGAGACAGACTCTGATAATTTGTTTGCCTCTGGGGCCTCTTGAGAGCCCCACCTGTAACATTCAGCCCTGGAATTGCCAGGCCCCACCCTGCTCCTTCCCTTTCTGCACTCCCAGCAGATGGGGTAGCAGGGAAGGTTGAACAACCACCACCTGTGGCCTGCGAAAATGCCCTGTGGTTCCAGAACCTCAGGCAGAGTCTCCAAAGTTGAGCTACCCCTAAATCCCCAAGAGGCCGTAAGGGGTTGAATCTCTAAGATACAATGTCCTGTGCTCTCCAGGGAAATACCCACCCCTTGATCACACTGGACCAGACTGGGCTGCACTTGTACTTGCAGAAGAGAAAGAGGAGAGAGAATAAATACAAGAAATCTTTTGTACAGGAGGGTGGGGTGGGAGGGTTGGAGGAGTGTTTCAAAAGCTTTTCTAAATTTAATATGTCATTTTCTAATTGTATTTCATAATTGTGTAATTATCCCTAAGTATTTTTCTTTAAGTAATAGAACTAGTAATTACATCCTAATTGAATGTGTAATCTCATCATTAGGATAGGTAAATATATAATAGTGTGATGATGATAAGGTAATTAAAATTCCAAGGATGACTCTGCCATAAAAACCTATGACATGTTCCTGCCTCTGTCCCAGGATTCCCTTCTCCAGCAGGCTTTGAAATCCCACCTGGACAGAAGAGATAAGCTCCAAGGCCTAAGAAACGTTTAATGAGACAGCACTTTTCCCAGTGAACATACAGGCCATCTGGAGCAGTATTGTCTGCCTCTCTCTCCACAACCCTTCCCAAAATACCTCCTTGGGATTTCCCACTTTTACATCATTCCCCATTAGGAAGGAAGCCTAGACTTGCAGAATGGCTGGATATGGGCTGTCTGACTCCCCCGACCCTGCCTGAATGCAGAGCTCTGACGAGGTAGGTTGGCCACGAAGCCAGGCTCAACTGATGCACAAAGGAAAAATAAATATATCCCCTCTCACCCCAGAGCAGCTGAGGTACCCACAACAAACATGGATCTGTGTGTGAGGCTTCTGCATGGGCAGAGGCTGCTATTTTTAGGGAGACCCACTGATTAGGATTGTGCAGGAGGTTCCAGCCGCCTGGATGGCCCCATGATGGAGGCCAAGGGCTGGCCTCAGGCACAGCACCAGCTTCCTGCCCCATCCATGACAAGAACTCCCTCCTCGACCAAACATACTCATTACTCCTTACTCTGATGAGCCCCCATCCTTGGCCAACTGAGTCCAGTTTTAGCAAAGAATTTATTGAGAATCCCCCCACCTTGATATCAAGTTCCTCTTCCCCACACCCTGCACACCTAGGCAAGTTCCTCTTAGTGATTTTCCATCTACTTCCTTACCCTGTCATTGGCTATAAATCCCCACTTGTCCCTTTTGCGTTTGGAGTTGAGTTTACTCTCTCTTCCCTGTTGCAATAGTCTTGAATAAAGTATTTCTTGCCATTTTGGACAAGCATTTTGTGTATTTTTTTTCTTTAACTGCTAAAACCCAGGGACATGGACCATGAGCAGACCTGTCTAATCTGAGATGACACTCATGGCCTTACCTAGAGGGTGACAGGTATCCTCCTGGGGTAAACTGAAGATGCTAAAGAAGCACAGATGAGAAGGGACATTTACCTGGACACAGTCAGTGGGAGATGGGCACAGTAGAGGGGTCAAGGTAGAGGGGAGTGTGAGGTGGCGGGCCACCATGTGCCTCACTGGGGAGGTGATAACATGGCCTTTTCAACAGGGTAGAGACCATGAAGAAGACAGTCAGCAGAGACAAGGCTGGAGGGGGTGGGCTGAAGAGCCTTACAACCTTCATCAAAGTTCAGACTCTCCTGAGGATGGCATTCTTTACTAATTTGGAAAAGGTGTAAGTCCAGATGGATGGAAAGATGGACAGAAAGATGGACTGAAGGACTGATGATGGATGGGAAGATACTGGATATCACAGGTGGACCTAAAGCAAACGATAACCTGGCCTCCACCAAAGCTATGATATTCTTCTTCTGATTCCCTAGTCCCAGAAAATCAGGGCCAGCAAGGCAGAGACTAGGACCCAGGCAAGGCCCAGTGCTCTCTCTGCTCTGTGTGACCCTCCTGAAGAAAGCAAGGGCTTCCCTTGTCTATCTACTACTTCTTTTTCTATTTTTATTTTTTATAATTTCAAATTTAATTTTAGATTCAAGGGGCACATGTGCAGGTTTGTTACCTGGGTATATTGCATGATGCTGAAGTTTAGGGTGCAAATGATCCTGTCACTCAGGTACTGAACGTAGTACCTGATAGATTTTCAACTCTTGCCCACTCCCTTCCTCCCCACTCTAGTAGTCCCCAGTTTCTATTGCTGCCATCTTTATGTCCATGTATACCCAATGTTCAACTCCCACTTGTAAATGAGAACATGAGATATTTGGTTTTCTGTTCCTATGTTAATTTGCTTAGGGTAATGGCCTCTAGCTGTATGCATGTTGCTGCAAAGGAAGTGATTTCATTCTTTTTTATGGCTGCATAATATTCCATGGTATATATGTACCACATTTTCCTTATCCAGTCCACCATTGATGAGCACCTTGGTTGATTCCATGTTTTTGCTATTGTGAATATAACAAATAGTAAAGTGTTATGATGAACATATGTGTGCATGTGTCTTTTGGGTAAAACTATTTATTTTCTTTCATCCAATACTTCTTAAATGCACTAGTCACTTCACATAGACACACACATTCCAAAGGCCTCACATCACACAACAGCACCAAAGGCCTTTGACTTCCATGTCCCAGAAGGACCTCTCCAAGCCAACAGGCTCAAAGAGAAAGTTTCTATCTTTCTTTCTTTTTCTTTCTTTCTTTCTTTCATTCTTTTTATTAAGAAGGAGTCTCGATCTGTTGCCCAGCCTAGAGTGCAGTGGCACAATCTCAGCTCACCGTAACCTCTGTGTCCTCGGCTCGAGCAATTCTCCCACCTCAGCCTCCTGAGTAACTGGGATCACAGGCATGTACCACTATGCTCACCTAACTTTTGTATTCTTAGTAGAGACAGGATTTCACCATGTTAGCCAGGCTGGTCTCAAACTCCTGGCCTTAAGTGATCTGCCCACCTCGGCCTCCCAAAGTGCTGGGATTACAGGCATGAGCCACCGTGCCCAACCGAGAGAATTTCTTAACATCAGATATGTGGATTGATTTTTCCCACACGATCCTATTAAAAAGTGAGGAAGCTGCCTTAAGATTTGGTTTGTGGCCCTCAGAAATCTCAAAGGCACATGGGGCTAAAACCCAATGTGACAGGGCAGAGGTGGGTCACACACTTGCCTTTGGAGCAGGAACACTGAAGTGAGGCTTGAGTGACAGAGAGGAGGAGGGATGGTGGCTCCCTGCAGGGAACCCAGTGGAACCCCTCAGTGACAGCTTTGGCGTGGGAGGGAAGGGAAGGGAAGGGAAGGGAAGGGTAGATGAACGTCAGAAACTGGAAGACAGTAAGTGGAGCTCCTACCTAAGCATATTAAGTATTTTCTCTGCATAGCAGTCAGATGAGGGTTGAGCTGTGACTTGACCCACTGTCCCCAGATGCTAGCAATCTGTTACAAGACTCCCTAGTCACTTAGCCTGAAGAATACTTATTACCAGTCTTCTTTTTTGTTTTCTTCTGAGCTGTCTTTTTAATAACATGACAAATTCGGCCCACATGCATACAGAAATCCCCAAGCAGATGTTGGCAGCTTTGTTCCACCATGGCAAGGCTGTCAGGTGCAGGAAGCATAAAAACAGAGGCATCCTAGACACAGAAGGTCTTCCATGCCACTCCTGCAGGATTAGGGATTGGCTTCCTGACACTTTCTCAGAAGCCTGGGGTCCAAACTACAGGCACTGAGGCCACAAATGCCAGGCCCTGGCCAGATGGTTTAAACCCCATCCCACTTATTCAGAAAAGTAACAGTTGCCTGGGTTTAGACATTTTCCTTAGGAACATTTCTATAATCAGCTGCCTCAGAGGCACACATAATAGGGCACATGTTAGTAACAATACAGCAGTGCATTAAAGTAAATTACATTTTAAAAGACATTATCTACCTCAGAAGTCTCTCCCGCTAGGTCTAGAAGGTAAGGCTGGACAGCTCCCAGCTGAGTCATTACCAGGGGCTTCTTTGGAGAAATCAGCGGGTGCGCAGGAGCAGAGGGAAGAGAGGGAGGGCCTGGGAGCCTGAAGACGCGCTGAGATCCCTGGGCATAGCTGGGGTCCTGAGACCTGCCGTCCAGCTCCGGTGTCTCTGCCTCCGGCCTTGTGCCAAGGCTTACATGAGGAGCACCGGGGGAGATGAGATGGGAATGTAGGACACAGGCCAGGTCATGAGGTCCTTATATGCCATGCTGAGGGGCTTGTGAATTAGCCTGTAGATGATGGGGATCATTGATGGGTTTTAAGTTGAGGGGAAGATATTTTACTTTCAGATAGATCGCCTTTATTGTTACATAGAGAATGAATGAGATGGGAGAGAAACTGGAGGTGGAAGGCTATATGGGAGAATACTGCAAATAGCCTGAGCAAGAGATGACCAGGACCTGAACTAAAGCAACTGCAAGAAGAGGGAGGGAAAAGAAGGAACACATGTGCTATTAAGGATACAGCACTTACATGGCTTGGTCACCAGGGGTATGTGGAGGATGAGAGGAATAGAGTAGATGGACATGACCAGGTAGATGGTGGTGCCATTCACAAACAGAGGGAATTTGGGAGGAGGGTTTGGGGTGGGGAGAGACAAAGATTCCATTTGTAGGCTTACAGACATGAGGCATCTGCAGGACATTCAGGTAGAGCTATATAGTAGGAAGTTGGAAATATAACTAGGACTTGGGAGAGAGAGCTGAGCAAGAGGTAGAAGTTTAACAGCCATGAATGGAGATGGTAAACAATGCAATGGAAATGGATACAATCACCCAAATAGAAAATGTGGAGTGAGAAAAGGCCATGGACAGGGCCTAGGGAGCACCAGCATTTCAGGAGGGGGCATTGTAAACACGTCTGCAAAGGAGACTAAAAATGAATAGTCAGGAAGGCAGGATAAATAGGGAAGGCCCACTGGAATCTCGGGGAAAAGAGACTTCAAGCAATGTATAAGCAGCAATATAAAAGCACAAGCAATCCTTTCAAGATGTTTGGCTATGAATGGAGAAAGAAAATCAAAGTGCTACCAAAGTCCTGGCTCTGGAGGAGAGAAGAGGCGATGGAATTAAAGACGTGGGTACAGGGATTGCATTTGATGAGAGACTTCAGGGAGGGAGGAGGGTATTAATAACAGATGTAGGGAAAGGAAGTTATGGGTTGGGGGGTCATAGAAGTACCTTGCTGAGATTGAAAGCCATACATTTGCAGTAGATCCATCATACACGGGTCTGTGATTTTCTACGACGTTTAAGTATAGGAATGATAATGGTAAAGGGTTAGAGGTCTGTGGGATGAGAGAAAGGGTTAAGGTGGGTCAGGTGGAGAGGCTTAGGGTAGGATGGGGAGAGGGTTAGGGTAAGACAGGTGGGGAGAGTTAGGACAGTTCAGGTGGAGAGGGTTAGGGTGAGACGAGGAGAGGGTTAGGGTGGGTCAAGTGGAGAGAGTTAGGGTGAGTCAAGTGGAGAGAGTTAGGGTGCATCAGTGGAGAGGGTTAAGGTTGGTCAGTGGAGAGGGTTAGAGTGGGTCAGGTGGAGAGGGTTAGGTGGGTCAGGTGGAGAGAGTTAGGGTGGATCAGTGAATAGGGTTAAGGTGGTTCAGGTGGAGAGGATCAGGTGAGTCAGGTGGAGAGCATTAAGGTGAGATGGGGGAGAGGGCTGTCTGTGACTGGTGATTGTATCTGTTACAGAGAACTCTCAGCTGGGTAGGGAATGTACTAAAGCCATGGGTGAGATGATGTCCTAGAGTTTCAGGAGTGAAGCCATGCTAGCTGATGACAATGTGCAAGGTTTGAGTGAAGGCATCAGTGAGATTTTTGAGCCCAGGAGATTAAAGATCCCAGAAGCCATGCACTAACTACTATACAATACTGCCTATTTTAAAAGGCTTAGAGACAACTGGAAAGAGAAGACATGCACATACAAAGCTCAGGTAGCCTCAGGATTGCGAGATTATGATTAGCTGGGGAACCCACAGAGGGCTGTGTGGAGCATATGCTACCTAAAATGGGCATCATGGCCTGGCTTGGTGGCTTCTTCCTGTAATCCCAGCACTTTGGGAGGCCAATGCGGGAGAATCACTTAAGCCCAGGAGTTTAAGACAGCTTGGGCAACATAATGGGACCTCATCCCTAAAAAATATACAAAAATTAGCCAAGTGTGGTGGTGCATGCCTGTAGTCCCAGCTACTTGGGAGGCTGAGATGAGAGAATTGCATAAGCCTGGGAGGTAGAGGCTGCAGTGAGTCATGATCGTGCCACTGCACTCCAGCCTGGGTGACAGAGTGAGACCCTATCTCAAAAAAATTACGTGTGTGTGTGTGTGTGTGTACGTATATATGGCATCAGAGTAAATGGGCAATATTTGGCAATGCAAAGATTAGAGGAAGCAAGTCAGAGAGGATAGCATGATGCCTCAATTTTTACAAAGGCCTTCTAACTAGACTTCTTGACCCAGAGTTTCCCCCAAGAAGCTGAATATAGAGGTAGAAATGCTTATTTTAATCCTAGCTATTCTGCTTAAAAGTTCTTGACTTTGGACATGTCACAACTCTTTTGAGCCTTAGTTTTCTCAACTATAAAATAGAGATAAGAATATTGTTATGGGTTACAAGATTGAATGAAAAGGTGATTTGTAAACAGCATAGATCAATGATTCTAGACCTGCCTAAATATTGGAATTACCTGGAGTGATTGCTAAAATACAGATTTCTGGTGACACTCAGCTATCACCAGCAGGAAAGAGGTCTCTTGACCTCTGTCTCTGCCCACACTCCAAGCTACTGCTCATGCCCCCATTGACTGAGCCTAACCAGGAGCTGGCCAGCAAAAGAGCATGCAGCTTGTGGGGCTCATTCTCCTGGCACACAAACACAAGGGGACAAACAGAATAATTAGCACTCTCCCTTTCTCCAAAGCTCCCAGAGACTCTCCACTGCCTACTAAATAAAGTCTAATCTCCATAACTGAAGGTTCAAGCCCCTTTATAATCTGCACCATCTTTCCACACTGTTCTTCCACTCACTGCTAACACAACTGAGGCTGCAATGGTAGTCGGTCAGGACCACATGTTTCCTGGCCCATTGGGTCTTCTGCCATTCCACCTGCCGGTATGCTCTCCCCAGCCCCTTTTCTCTTAGGAGAACCTTCTCAGCCTCGATTCAAGGTCTGTCTATGAGGGCATCTCTAATAACCTCCAACTGAGAAAGATCCTCTTCTCCCTCGGCCCCTCTCTAGAGATTGCATTTGTACCGTTTGTATGATTCACCAAGGCCCACCTTACACCTGCCATCAGTCCCCACCTTTTCCTGTGGTGAAGTCATTTGTATCCATGTATTACCTCCTCTATGAGATTGGAAGCTCCTTGAGGATAGAAACCATGCCTTTATGTCCTTCTGTTGCCCAGCCAGTTCCCAACATTGTGTTGGCTTATGACACCTCCACCTCCTTTCCTGGCTCACAGACTCCTGTGCCTTCTCTAAGATCCAGCTCAAATACCAACTCCTCTATTTCCTCCAAGCATAGCAATTTATCTCCCCATTTTCTCCTGCCAGAGGACTGTGCAATGTGTCTCTGTCCCCCCCACACCTTCCCCACCCAGGGAGTCAGTGTCCTGGTTAGGAGTACACACTCTGCAGCCCATCTGCCTGAGTTCAAACCCTGAGACTCTATCACTCAAAAGCTGTGCAACATTGAGAAATGCCTATGCCTGTTTCTTCATTTTACTCACCATAGGAAATGAGTTCATATATGTAAAGCCCTTAGCATAGTGCTGCCATATATACTAAATGCTGAATAAATGTTAGCTATTAATGTTATCGCTTTAAGCTCCTAAAAGGCAAGACCTGTGTCTTAGCTTTTGTTTCCCTAGTGTATACACAATTCTTGATATTGATTGGTGCTCAGTATATATTTGTCGATAGCCTGAATGCATAGGCATTTAGAATTCAGTAAATATCTGGGTGGGTGGGTGGGTGAATGAAGGGATAAGTGTAGGTACTTTGTAAATGCTGCTGGTTTGCACAAATATGTGAATCAGTAGGTATTCACTACATGTTGTCTGGTTACTTCATTGCTTAAAATAAATGAGTGAATGAGAAAAAGAATGAATAATAGGTATTAAATAAGAAGGTTGATCGGTTGCACGGTTGAATTAACAAGCAGATTTTCCACAAATAGCAGATGTTCCATAAATGTTGGCTGGCTGAGTAAATGAACAAACATTCCTAAAATGTAACAACAGCCTGGAGTCAAAGCCGAAAGGACACAGCTAGAGCACCGGTCAGAGAGAGGAGGTAATAGACCCTATCCCCTCCCCAGTAACTGCCTCAGAAATTGTCCCCTTGTCCCTGCCATTTCTGAAGTTCTCCCCGCAGCCCACACTGCTTCTACATCTGTCCTGGTGCTCATGGGTGATTCAGGAACCTGGGGTAGGAAGAATGGCTGGAGATGCACCAGCCTCCCCCTCTTCTCCCCACTCAGCCAAGGACCAGCCTACTCAAGACCCTGTGCCCCCAGTACAGGCCTCCATGCCGTGCCCCTCGTGAGAAGGGCACTCTTCACCTCAGAGCACATTAGGAGCAAAGTCTGTATTACCTCAATCCTGGGGGCTAATCAACTCACACATCCTTGGCCCCAGTTTCTGGCTCCGCTTTTCCCGAGACAGCCCCAGCAACCACACGTCTCTAGTTAATGAATTATTTTGCAACACGTCTGGAGACACATGAACTAGAAATCTTACACATGTTGGAGGATTTTGCCATTTCTATTAAATATGCCATTCACTTGGTGGGTAATTAAATGTGCAATAATGGGCTCTAATTTCCATCTTAAATAACTTCCTAGGAGTAGCAGAAAGGAAGACGCAGGGTGTGATTTTCTGGAAGAATCTTTTTTTCCCCTAAAGCTTTTCAGCACATAAAGAAGGGGGAATTGAGTAAAATAAAGTTAGATACTGCACCACATGTGAGTCTTCTGCAATTGCCCCCAGCAGGGAAAGAGACTAAAGCCTGTAACGCAGTAGCATCTCCCACCCCCAAAGCCCTGAGGCAGCCTAGGGAAGGCTGTTCAAGGAGTCTGAGCTCGGGGGAGAGAAGAGAGGTTGGGCAGAAGCAGGAGCTGGTAGTGAGGCGGCAGGGGGCATCTCTGCTGTCTCTGCCACAGATCTGAGAATGATAAGCCTTCTTCCTCCTCTCTGCATTTCCCCACTGTATGTGTGTGCTGTGTGTGAACACAGGTATGCACACACATGTGCACATGCATGCATGCATGCATACACAAACAGGTACACAAGCACGGGCTTCGCTGTCCAGCACTAGCAGCCCCAGTCTGAGCCTACCGCAGCGAGGCAGCCAGGAAGCAAGAGGGAAGAGAGGGGTCTATGCTGCATTGGAATGAAAAGGGCCAGGTGGAAACACCACTCCTGTGGGAGCTGCTGTATGGGGCCTTTGAGGTCACATACACCTGGCTTCAGATTCAGGTTCCATCACTTGCTGTGAGCATACGGTCACTCAGCCTCTCCAGATTCAGCTTCCTCATCTGTAGGATGGGAATAAACCCAACTACCTGGCAACACCCCTGGCACACAGTAGTAAGCTCTCAAAAAACCTGATTCCCGCCTGCCCTTCTCTCCCTCAGTGGGCATTGAGGGTCAGCCTTGCCGGGGTCAATGTGCAATCTACAGGCCAGCTCCTCCCCACCCCCACAGCATCTTGCCTCAGACCGGCCTGCACACTCCGCTCCCTCTCCCCCTCCCTCCCTTCATCCCATCTCTAGATGGCCTTGGCATCTCCACTTCAGTAGGAATGACGCTTTCACCCTTTCTTGAGGCAGGGTTGAGATTTGCAGGGAGGCCGAAGACATCATAATCCAACTGGGTTCCTGATGTAAATACAAAGGTAGCACCAGTCAGGAAGGGCAGAAAAAGCAAACCTGTGGCACCTCCCTTTCCCTGCATTGTCTGGAGCGAGTTCACAGACTTCCAGGTCCCTACTTCGAGGCATCCCTCCCCTCAGAACCTTCAGGAGCTGACACCAGAGGGCATCAAGCAGGACTTCTCCACTCCTGTGGCTGTGAATTTGGAGGGCCCACTGGAAGGGCTACTACCACTGGCCAGTGCCTCCCACTTCCTGGGTCTCTCCCACGTCAGTGTCTGGTTCAGCTCAGCTTGGCAGAACCCCTGCGTGGTAGACAAGGGTGCTGACAGGAAGCTGAAAGCAGCAACAAATCAGATGTCTCCCTGCTCCTCTGCCTGGTCTCCATTCTGGGAATCTGGAAAGAAGATAAGCAAATTATTCTGAGTATCTCCCAGAATATCTCAGGATCTCAGGCAAGGAAATGGACTGTGTAATAGCTGAGGTGGAAGGAGGCCTGGGATGGAAGTGAGTGGTCGGGGGAGGCAAAATGAAAAGAAATTACCTGGTTGACTCAAAGCAGAGCCTCCACTCAAATTAAAAGGTAGACATGGGTGTGCTGGGAGTGAGGTGGGATTCTTTACAAGGCAAGATCAGACAAGAACAAAAAGGACCCAAGGACCATACCCAGCTATAGGGCCTGGGCCCCATTCAGCAGGGTAAATGGTGCAGCATACAACTCCCTCGAGCCAAAATTCTATTTATTTATTCTTTCAAGCACTCACTGTTCACTTACTCAATTACTCAACCAATATTTATGGATTGTCAACTTTACACAAAGAAGACCATTCATGAGATAAACATGAGTTTGGGAGACAGGTAGACCTGGTTCGAGTCTCTATTCTGTCATTAATGTTTATATGACTTTGACAAGTTACCTTGAAGTCTCTGGGCCTCAGTTTCCACATCATAGAATAGGGTTGTTGTGCAGACCAAATGAGAAAATACCTACACTGCTTAGTATGGGGTCTAGCACATAGTTTTGCATTAATTTAAAAATGTGTCATTGCTGTTATTTTGAAGGCAATGTGCTAAGATCTTAAGATGCTCAAAACATGAGATTATCCCCTTGTACAATCAGTGCATAAAATCCACTTTCTATAAAATTATGTCCCCAGGGAAGACTGTTCTGTCCTTATTGTTGCCTACACTATCTGCCATAGAGTTTTGTACATGATAGGTGCTGTTAGCTATTTGGCAAATGACCAAGGATAAACCAGTGTGAGCCATTTCAATAATAATGTAGGAGATCATAGCCTTATTTAGGAACACTGGGCTGTACAGATGGCAATTTAAGCATGGGCACTGACACAGACCCAAATTTAGCCTATGTATGAAATCTAGGACTGGACACACCCCAGAGATTGCCTTTCTAGTGTTTCCTTTGAACTTTTCTCAGATACAGAACATAAAGTGTTACATGTAGGCTGAAAGGTATTCGTAGTATTACAACGTTCATCTCTTATCTTTTGTGCAATAAATACTGAATTTCTGTCTGGAGGAAAACTGACATGCAAAGAAATTCCAGCTTGTGATGAGGAAAGAGAGATGTTGAGAAGTAGCTGGACTGAATCCATAAACTGACAGGGCATGAAACAAGGTTGGACCATAAGACAGGAAGGGACTTGAGGAATCATCGTCATCCTTCCCACTCATCTAACAGATGAGGACACAAGGTCCAAAGAGGCTCTGTGATTTGGGATACCAGCTAGTTAGTGACAGGGCTGCAACAAAGCATGGTTTCCTGACTCCATTTCAATGATCCTTCCACTACATCCGTCTGTCATCGTCTCTGAACACAAATTCATCAGAGGCAAGCAGATGACTGCTTTCCTCCTAATCAGGCGAGAGGGACTGGAAGAGCATCACTTAGTAAAAGACGACCAAGTACAGCCCCTTATTAGAAGCCAACCACTAGAGCATGGCCACCCTCCAGCAGATGCCAGTCAAAGCAGCTCTTCCTCAGCCCCTACGATCACCGTCTCTAGGCTGGCTTTTCGAATGAAACAATGTTGTCAAGCATGTTGATGTCTGCAATTAAGCCAGCTGGACAGGGGAATTCATCCTGGAGACAATTAGAACTGACACCTGCTTTTAAAAATGAAAACAATCTGAGGAATATTTAAGTGAGTCACAGTTCAGCCGCCACATTTAAAAAAAAAAAAGAAAGGCCGGGCACAACGGCTCACACCTGTAATCCCAGCACTTTGGGAGGCCAAGATGGGTGGATCACCTGAGTGAGGTCAGGAGTTTGAGACCAGCTTGGCCAACATGGTGATACCCTGTCTCTACTAAAAATATAAAAACTAGCCAGGCATGGTGGTGGGCACCTGTAATCCCAGCTACTCAGGAGGCTGAGGCAGGAGAATTGCTTGAACCCAGGAGACGGAGATTGCAGTGAGCCGACACGGTGCCACTGCACTCCAACCTCAGTGACATAGTGAGACTCTGTCTCAAGGAAAAAAAAAAAAAACAAAACCAGAAGGATGGGGCATGAAAAATGTCCTCAGGGAAGAGATACTGGCCAGGGGGCAAGGCTCTCCAAGGGGCCTCTTCCAATGAAACCGAACTTAGAGGCAGCCACAGAGACCCCACCTTCCCTTTCTTAAAAGCTCTGCCTCCTCACACCCTCCAGATTACAGGTCAGCTATGTGCTGCAGCAAGTGGCTGGGGCCCTCAGTGGGGTAAAGAAAGGAAGTTGAAGAACTTAGGAAACTACGTGTGAACAAGCACCATTTGACTCTAGACCCTGCCCTGCACCTTCTCACGGTCCCTGTCCCTCTTTTTGCCCACTCACACAGTCCTGTCTACACATAGTCTCCACCCACACACAGGCCTCGCCCACACACAGTCTCCACCCCCTTGTTCAAAGGCATCTGCCTAACTCTGCTTAATTCTTTCTGATAACTGTTGCAAAATCTCAAGTGATAATGAAGGGACCTCTTTCACCATTTTCTAACCAGGGTCTGATACAGGTCCTGATGCATACTAAACATTTAATAAATGTGTTAGGTGACCAAAAGCTCTTAAACATTACCATTTTATTGCCACCGGCAATTTTCTAGTTTAATTCCATCTCACACCTGTTCTTTACTTAGGTAGCTATGACCCTTCAGATGTTGGCGGCTGGGAGCACCATTTCATAGTTGAGAAAACTGAAGTTTGAATCAGTGAAGGGGAATTGCCTGGATGACCCAATTGGTAGCTGGAAAAGCCAAGCATCCTACAAGTCTCTCACCTGGGGGTCTCACCCTCTTTCAGCCACGGGGGAGCTGCCTTTCCTGAGCTATGGATGCTCCACGGGTAATAGAATGTGAAAGGGAACTCTGTTATTCCAGGACCTTACTTCTAGCTATGTGCACGGTCGGAGCTCATTACCTAAGACAAATCAACCTAGAGGTTCTACTGGAGGTTGTTCTTTCACAGGGAGGAGGTGGTGGAGGTAGGGGATGCATCATAGGTGGTGGTGATAAAGAACGATAAACAAGGCAATTTCACACAGTTCTAAGAGCCTCAAAGATCATCACAAATGGAAAATCTTAGAGAAAAAATGCAAGGCGGAATGCATCAGTAGAATCACAGGCTAGGCTTTATGAGTCACACTCTTAAGTGTTCAGAGATTCAGAGAGAGGAAGGGAGAGACCAGGGGAGATGAAGTCAGATGCTTCATGGAACTGGGGTCCTGCATTGAACCTTGAAGAAAAATTAGAATTTGGTTAGTTAAAGAAGTCTGGAGCTGAGTCTTCCAAATGTAAAATCTAGAGCAAAGGAAATTGAAAAGAGGAAGCATTTATTGAGCAACTGTTATATGGTGGTGTGTCTGAAATTGGTGGGTTCTTGTTCTCACTGACTTCAAGAATGAAGCCATGGACCCTCGCGGTGAGTGTTACAGTTCTTAAAGATGGTGTGTTCGGAGTTTATTCCTTCTGATGTTCAGACGTGTTCAGAGTGTCTTCCTTCTGTTGGGTTCGTGGTCTTGCTGGCTTCAGGAGTGAAGCTGGAGACCTTCGTGGTGAGTGTTACAGCTCTTAAGGCAGCGGGTCCGGAGTTGTTCATTCCTCCTGGTGGGTTCGTGCTGTCGCTGGCCTCAGGAGCGAAGCTGCAGACCTTAGCGGTGAGTGTAACAGCTCACAAAGGCAGTGTGGACCCAAAGACTGAGCAGCAGCAAGATTTACTGCAAAGAACGAAGAAACAACCCTGCCACACTGTGGAAGGGGACCTGAGCAGGTTGCCTCTGCTGGCTTGGGCAGCCTGCTTTTATTCCCTTATCTGACCTCACCCACATCCTGCTTATTGGCCCATTTTACAGAGAGCTGATTGGTCCATTTTACAGAGAGCTGATTGGTCCATTTTACAGAGAGCTGATTGGTCCGTTTTGACAGCGTGCTGATTGATGCATTTACAATCCCTGAGCTAGACACAGAGTGCTGATTGGTGTATTTGCAATCCTCTAGCTAGATGTAAAAGTTCTCCAAGTCCCCACTAGATTAGCTAGACACAGAGCACTGATCGGTGCATTAACAAACCTTGAGCTAGACACAGAGTGCTGACTGGTGCGTTTACAAACCTTGAGCTAGACACAGAGTGCTGATTGGTGTATTTACAATCCTTTAGCTAGACATAAAAGCTCTCCAAGTCCCCACCATATTAGCTAGATACAGAGTGCTGATTGGTGCATCCACGAACCCCGAGCTAGACACAGAGTGCTGATTGCTGCATATACAGTCCTCCAGCTAGACATAAAAGTTCTCCAAGTCCCCACCCGACTCAGGAGCCCAGCTGGCTTCCACTAGTGGATCCCGTGCCAGGGCCGTGCCCGCCAGTCCCACGCCACGCACCTGAACTCCTCAGCCCTTGGGCAGTCGATGGGACTGGGTGCTGTGGAGCAGGGAGCGGTACCCGTCAGGGGGGCTCAGGCTGTGTGGGAGCCCACCATGGGGGGGCTCGGGCATGGCAGGCTGCAGGCCCCGAGCCCTGCCCCACAGGGAGGCGGCTGAGGCCTGGCGAGAATTTGAGCACGCTGCAGGCGTGCCAGCAGTGCTGGGGGACCCAGCACCCCCTCCACAGCTGCTGGCCCGGCTGCTAAGCCCCTCACTGCCCAGGCCGGCCGGCTGCTCCGAGTGGGGGCCCACCGAGCCCATGCCCACCCGGAACTTGTGCTGGCCCTGGTTCCCGCCCACTCCTCTCTCTCCACACCTCCCCGCAAGCAGAGGGAGCTGGTTCTGGCCTCGGCCAGCCCAGAGAGGGTCTCCCACAGTGCAGCAGCGGGGCTGAAGGGCTCCTCAAGCATGGCCAGAGCAGACACCGAGGCTGAGGAGGTGCTGAGAGCAAGCAAGGGCTGCTAGCACGTTGTCACCTCTCAATGGGACCATGCCAGATGCTGTCACACCCATTAGCAGCTCATTCACCTACATGGTGTTTATTCCCTCCCTCTGTGGGGACAGGAGAATGATCAGACTATAGCGGGGGGCCCAAGTAGGAGAAAAATGAAAACAAATGGATCAGAGCAGCTCAGCTTAGGAAAGACCTTAAATTCCAGGCTAAGAAACTTTCCCTGACATCTCCTCATGTGCTTGCTATAGCATTGTGTCATAACTTCTTAGTAACTTAAGCTAGGCCATGGGCAAGCTTGAGAGCGGAGATCACTTCACACATCACTGCAATGGTCTCAAAACCTTAGTGTGCATCAGAATCACAGGAACAGCTTGTGAAAACTCCAATTATAGGCCCCCGCCCCCAGAGTTTCTGATTTAGTAGCTCTTCAGGTAGGTCTGCAAAATTGCATCTCTAACAAATTCCAAATCTCACAGTTGACCCTGGTGATTCCTGTTTTCTGATATTCATATTCCTGTGGAGTTTCCTCCTACCTTGAATAGGTTTACTTATGTGACCAACAGGGCGTTGTGGAAGTGATGGTGTATGACTTTGAAGAATAGCTTATAAAAGAAACGCAGCTTTCAGCTTATTCTCTTGGATTGTTTATTATGGGGGAAGCCAACTGCCATGTTGAAAGGATACTCAAGCAGCTGTGAAGAGAGGTCACATGGGGAGAAGCTAAAGCTTCCCACTGACAACCAACCCCAGCTTGCCAGCCAGGTGAATGAGCTACCTCGGAAACAGATCCTCCAGTCCCTATCAAGTGTGAAAATGACTGCAGCCTCAGCCAATTTGTGACTGCTACTTCATGGTAGACCCTAACCTAGAATCTACAGAAACTATGAGACACAATAAATGGTTCTTGTTGTTTTAGGCCACTAAGCTTTGGGGAGATTTATTACATAGCTACAGATAGTTAATACACCAAATGATGCTGATGTGTCTGGTCCAGGGACAGCACTTTGAGAATGGCTACAGCATTTTAACCCTTGTACCCACCGTGTGCCTGATGTATAAGATGCATTCAATAAATGTGTTTTAAATTAATTAATGAATAAATGGATGGATAAATAAAGGTTAGACTTAAAGCTACAGATACAGGAGAGTCACTGAGTTGAGAAATGGCATGATGGCAGAGGCATTGGGGGATACTTGCTGTATTAGTTCATTTCTGCAGTGCTATGAAGAACTTGAGACTGTATAATTTAATGAGAAAAGAGGTTTAATTGGCTCATGATTCCACAGGCTGTACAGGCTTCTGCTTCTGGGGAGGCCTCAGGAAACTTAACAATCATGGTGGAAGGGGAAGTGGAAGCTGGCACATCTTATGTGGCCAGAGCAGGAGGAAGAGACGGCAAAGTGGGCGATGCTACACAGTTTTAAGCAACCAAATCTCGTAAGAACTCACTTTCATGAGAACAGCAAGGGAGAAGTCTGCCCCCATGATCCAATTACCTCCCACCAGACCCCTCCTCCAACATTGGGTACTACAATTCGACATGAGATTTGGGTGGGGACACAATCCAAACCATATCGCTTGCTAAGAAAGGTCTCTAGATTCATGGTTTGCTGAGTGACCCTGCTGGCAAAATTGCCAGCTCAAGATGCAATCTCCACTCTAGTTTCATATGCCTCCATCCAAGTGCTTAATAACCAGAGGAGCCTAGGCCTGGGAACTGCCATTTCTACTTCTCCTTCTGACCTGCAGAAGGCTCCCCAGGACATCCATTTCCTCCTGCATTTTGATCCCCATCAGGAATCTCCCATCCCTCTCTCTGCTCTTCTTTGTCAGTCCTTGTCCTCTCATTCTGTCCAACATTTATCCTGCTCCCCACCCCTTCTCTAATAGGCTCACCTTCTTCAACAAGCCTTCTGGGGACTTCCTGGCCTCCTCTGCTGATTCTCCTTGTGGCCCCTTCCTCCTTCCAGCCTTGAGTTTTTTATCCCCTCTACATTGTTCCCACAAAGCAGTTCACAGCACAATGCCACAAATAGTGACCAAATTCCAGCTGCCTATGCCAGCCAGCACTAGGTTGAATATATTGAGACAAATAAGACCATTTTCATGCAAAATATTGTTATTGAAGACTTCAAAGTACCCCGGACTAGCATCTTTATTTCAGCTGAAATCCTTCCAGGCCACACTCCAACCTCTCCCCACTGCCCCCATCTCACTGCCTTTCCCTTCAGGGCTGGTGTAGACATAGGGGTTGTGACCACCAGCTTAAGCTATGTGCCACCTCACCCAGTGGTAGGAACATGTAGAAAAGGGTTAAACAAGAACACTTGTATCAAAGGGGACCTTTCCTCACAACCCCAGGCCAGGACAAATTCTCTCTTCCTTCCCATATTTGATTACTGCATTTGGAACTCATTGGAAGAAAACTGGCTTTACTTTGATGTTTTTCCAGCTCTCTCTCCCTTGCTTTATTGGTCTCATCTGCTCTTCCAGAGCTTCAGACTTATTTGTCTTCCCCTGCATTTATGCACAGGGTGTTTGTGCAGTAATACCTAGGATTTGATTGGGATTTCTGAAAAACACAGTATCGTATATGCTACAGAAGACTGGGGGTGTCTATCTGGCTTCTACGCATGGCTTGGAATGCAGAGCTGGGCACAGTCTGATTATTTTTAGCATTGTTATGGGGCTATTAAGTATGTCTATCCATGCTCCCTTCTCTCCCTTGGGTCTCAGATGTCACCTTCCAGGATTCCCAGAGTCTCCAAGAAGAATGTGGTCAGCCTAGAAGAAGGAGGTAGTTGAGCCCAGCCTCAACTGCCAGCCTCTCCCAAGACTTCACCATGCTGGATGATACAAATAAACTTCCAAAGAAACTCAGTCCACATGAGGAAACAGCCCACACAGTTCCACACAGGGTACAGACCACCAGTGTGTCCTCAGGCAGTGCCCACCCCACATGAGGAACATTTCAGCCTCACCCATTCCAGCTCCCAGAGCCTGAGTTCCAGCCCTTTTCCTGAGGCTGGCTTCCATAATGAAAGCTCTTCACACCCAGCAAGTCCAGATGGAAAGGCTTGCTCTTCCCTCAGTTCTGCCCTTCCCGCAATCTTCCCCTTTGAAGAAGGGCACTCCCAATCTCCAGGTGCTCAAGCTAAAAGCCAGGATACATTTTTGACATCTTCCTTTCCCTTGCCTCTCCTCTATTCATTCTTTCACCAAGCCCAGAATATTTTATCTCCAAAATATCTCACAGGCTATCCACTTCTCTCCTTCACTGCCATGACACTAGCCTGGGCCACTATCATCTACCTCTCAAGTGGATCACTCACTAGTGTCTCAGCTCCCACACTGTTCCCTTTCAGTCTATCCTCCACACTGTAGCCAGAGTGAGCCACCCAAACCAAATCTGATCACATCATTCCCCTGCTTAAAACTCTCCAATGGTACTAAGAAAAAAAGAAGTATCGCAAGTCCCTTACATGGCTCTAAGACCTTTCATGATCTCACCCCTGACCACCACCGCTTGAACCTTCTCCCAGGATACACTACACTCTTACCCCTCCTTGCCAATCACAGTCTTCAAACTTCCCAAGTCCCTCAGCACACTCTGGCCTTTGTGTCTAGAAGAAAACACTGACACCTGTGTTCCCATGCTCATTCCTTGCCTAGCTAGCTCCAGCTATCCTTCAAGTCTGCTTAAAATTCACATTAGCAAAGACCTTCCCTGACCACCCTAATCTAGATTTATTTCTGCTGTTTTATTCTCTCATGGTACCCTATACTTCTACTCCATAGTTTGTAATTATGTAATTATTCATGCAATAGTGTGTTTAAGTCTTCCTCATCAGACTATAAGCTCCAGGAGGGCACAGGTCATGTGTTTCTTTGCCCCTATACTACAACTTGGAGTCACAAATATGAGTGAGTCCTTCTCATCAAGAAACTTATACTCTCATGCTAAAGACACATCTATGAACAGGACATTCTAACTGAATATCTAAGGTATCAAGGTGTATTAGTCCATTCTCACACTGCTATAAAGATACTACCTGAGACTGGTAATTTGCAAAGGAAAGAGGTTTAATTGACTCACAGTTCCACATGTCTGTGGAAGCCTCAGGAAACTTACAATCATGGCAGAAGTGGATGCAAGAACCTTCTTCACATGGCAACAGGACAGAGAAGTGCAAGCAGGGGAAATGCCAAACATTTATAAAACCATCAGATCTCATGAGAACTCACGCATTATCATGAGAACAGGATGGGAGAAACCACTCCCATAATCCAATCATTTCCTTCCCTCAACACATGGGGATTACAATTCAAAATGAGATTTGGGTGGGAACGCAGAGCCAAACCAAATCACAAGCCTTTGAAGTTAGCAAGGTCTAGGGCATAGCCACATTAGCCCAAGAGAACACCAGCTTCCTGGAGTCTGTGAGCATCTAAAGGATAAGCCAAACTCCACTAGTGTGCCGGCCATTTGGTCATGGCACCTGCTGCTCCTACAGCTCTTTCTAAGGGATGGCTGCCCCACCTTGCCCTGAGGAATGGGTAGTCATGGCCATGCATTTACCCCAGACCTACCCACCAGACCTTCCGCTCCCTGACACAGCTGATTTCATAGTCGGGGGTGCCTGACCGAGGGCAACCAATTCCCAGGCTTTCTGGCATGGCATAGAGCAGCGGTGCTCAAATTCTGGGGGCTCAGAACATCTTTGAATGCTTAAAAATTGCTGAGAACTACAGAAAACTTTTGTTTATGTGGCTTATATCTACTAATATTAAACATATTTTTACACAACACCACATATCTATCAACATTACCATATTTTTAACTCTAAAAACATTCATTCAGGAGTTCATTTAAAAATAAAAATAGAAAACTTATTATATCCTAACATAAACTTTTTTTTTTTTTTTAGGACAGAGTCACACTGTCACCTGGGGTTGGAGTGCAATGGCAGGATCTCAGCTCACTGCAACCTCCACCTCCCAGATTCAAGTGATTCTCCCGCCTCAGCCTCCCAAGTAGCTGGGATTACAGGTGCCCAACACCATGTCCTGCTAATTTTTTGTATTTTTGGAGAAACGGGGTTTCACTATGTTGGCCAGGCTGGTCTCGAACTCCTGACCTCGTGATCTGCCCGCCTCGGCCTCCCAAAGTGCTGGGATTACAGGCATGAGCCACCATGCCTGGCCCATAAACAACATATTTTTATGAAAAACAACTAAATTTTTGAAAACAAATATTTTAGTGAGAAGAATACACAGTTTTACAAATCTGCTTAGTGTCTGTCTTAATAGAAGACAGCCAGATTCTTATATCTATTTCTGCATTCAATCTTCTATGTCTTGTTTGGGTTGACCTATGAAGAAAATCCAGCCTCACACAGATATGTAGTTGGAAAAGGTGGGAGTAACTTTAATAGCCATCTCAGATAATCGTGGCTGTTCTTCTTTGATACTGCATCAAGACTTGACAAGGGGTAGATCCCTAAATGGGGTACCAGAAACCATATTGGCAAATTTTGTATACTCTATTATATTGAAATCTACTGGTGTATCCCAGACTTTAACTGGACTCTTCACTGTTGAACGATGATGTAACATCCATGTCTTGGTCATTTAGAAAATATCAGCTACTGGCTGGGCGCAGTGGCTCACGCCTATAATCCCAGCACTTTGGGAGACTGAGCCAGGCACATCACTTGAAGTCAGGAGTTTGACACCAGCCTGGTCAACATGGTGAAACCCTGTCTGTACTAAAAATACAAAAATTAGCTGGGTGTGGTGGTGCATGCCTGTAGTCCCAGCTACTCGGGAGGCTGAGGCAGGAGAATCGCTTGAACCCAGGAGGCGGAGGAGGTTGCAGTGAGCTGAGACTGCGCTACTGCACTCCAGCCTGGATGACAGAGTGAGACTCTGTCTCAAAAAAAAAAAAAATTGGTTTACTGAATTATGTAGACTTTTCAAATGACACATTTTATTATAGAATATTTCAAATGTCACATTGATTAATATCACCACCAATCCCATCAGAGAAGTCTTAAGAAGTAGAAATCTCTCCAGTTCATTGTGGATCCTTGTGGTTCACTTGTAACATCAAATTTCATCATCAACACCGTCAGTTGTTTTCCTTGAGGTGGCAGGTTCACGCCAATCATTTTCAAGAAAATGTCTGCTAAAAATCAAATCTGAATAACCATAGTTTTTCTGTCAATTGTTCTCACGAGTAAAATGACGTTTATGAAAAAAGTGGGGCTGGGCGCACTGGCTCACACTTGTAATCCAGCACTTTGGGAGGCTGAGGTGGGCAGATAACCTGAAGTCGGGAGTTCGAGACCAGCCTGGCCAACATAATGAAACCCCATCTCTACTAAAAATACAAAAAAATTAGCCAGGTGTGGTGGTGGACGCTTCTAATCCCAGCTACTCGGGAGGCTGAGGCAGGAGAATCTCTTGAACCCAGGAGGAGGAGGTTGCAGCAAGCCAAGATCACGCCACTGTACTCCAGCCTAGGCAACAAAGTGAGACTCTGTCTCAAAAAAGGAAAAAGTGGCTAGTTCAGCTTGCAATTCAGTCATGTAAGTGCTTTTCCTAGATACTCCCATTGTACCTTAGTATACAGCGGAAGTGCTATACATACCCTTCACACAGACTTTAATAAGACATATACTCAAGAGTCACAATTTAGTAAAATTAATAATCTTTACTGCTTCATCAAGGACTCTTTTCTTACTTCAAGTGCCCGATGATAGAAGGAGGAGCCAAGATGGCCAAATAGGAACAGCTCTGGTCTACAGCTCCCAGCGTGAGTGACGCAGAAGATGGGTGATTTCTGCATTTCCATCTGAGGTACCGGGTTCATCTCACTAGGGAGTGCCAGACAGTGGGCGCAGGACAGTGGGTGCAGTGCACCGTGCGCCAGCCGAAGCAGGGCAAGGCATTGCCTCACTCGGGAAGTGCAAGGGGTCAGGGAGTTCCCTTTCCTGGTCAAGGAAAGGGGTGACAGACGGCACCTGGAAAATTGGGCCACTCCCACCCGAATACTGCGCTTTTCCGACGGGCTTAGGAAACTGCACACCAGGAGATTATATCCCGCACATGGCTCGGAGGGTCCTATGCCCACAGAGTCTCGCTGATTGCTAGCACAGCAGTCTGAGATCAAACTTCAAGGCGGCAGCGAGGCTGGGGGAGGGGCGCCCGCCATTGCCCAGGCTCGCTTAGGTAAACAAAGCAGCCGGGAAGCTCGAACTGGGTGGAGCCCACCACAGCTCAAGGAGGCCTGCCTGCCTCTGTAGGCTCCACCTCTGGGGGCAGGGCACAAACAAAAAGACAGCAGTAACCTCTGCAGACTTAAATGTCCCTGTCTGACAGCTTTGAGGAGAGCAGTGGTTCTCCCAGCACTCAGCTGGAGATCTGAGAACAGACAGACTGCCTCCTCAAGTGGGTCCCTGACCCCTGACCCCCAAGCAGCCTAACTGGGAGGCACCCCCCAGTAGGGGCAGACTGACACCTCACACAGCCGGGTACTCCTCTGAGACAAAACTTCCAGAGGACCAATCAGACAGCAGCATTCGCGGATCACAAAAATCCGCGGTTCTGCAGACACCGCTGCTGATACCCAGGCAAACAGGATCTGGAGTGGACCTCTAGCAAACTCCAACAGACCTGCAGCTGAGGGTCCTGACTGTTAGAAGGAAAACTAACAAACAGAAAGGACATCCACACCAAAAACTCATCTGTACATCACCATCATCAAAGACCAAAAGTAGATAAAACCACAAAGATGGGGAAAAAACAGAGCAGAAAAACTGGAAACTCTAAAAAGCAGAGCACCTCTCCTCCTCCAAAGGAACGCAGTTCCTCACCAGCAACGGAACAAAGCTGGACAGAGAATGACTTTGACGAGGTGAGAGAAGAAGGCTTCAGACGATCAAACTACTCCGAGCTACAGGAGGAAATTCAAAACAAAGGCAAAGAAGTTGAAAACTTTGAAAAAAATTTAGACGAATGTATAACTAGAATAACCAATACAGAGAAGTGCTTAAAGGAGCTGATGGAGCTGAAAGCCAAGGCTCGAGAACCACGTGAAGAATGCAGAAGCCTCAGGAGCCGATACAATCAACTGGAAGAAAGGGTATCAGTGATGGAAGATGAAATGAATGAAATGAAGCGAGAAGGGAAGTTTAGAGAAAAAAGAATAAAAAGAAACGAACAAAGCCTCCAAGAAATATGGGACTATGTGAAAAGACCAAATCTGCGTCTGATTGGTGTACCTGAAAGTGACGGGGAGAATGGAACCAAGTTGGAAAACACTATGAAGGATATTATCCAGGAGAACTTCCCCAATCTAGCAAGGCAGGCCAACATTCAGATTCAGGAAATACAGAGAACGCCACAAAGATACTCCTGGAGAAGAGCAACTCCAAGACACATAATTGTCAGATTCACCAAAGTTGAAATGAAGGAAAAAATGTTAAGGGCAGCCAGAGAGAAAGGTCGGGTTACCCACAAAGGGAAGCCCATCAGACTAACAGTGGATCTCTCGGCAGAAACTCTACAAGCCAGAAGAGAGTGGGAGCCAATATTCAACATTCTTAAAGAAAAGAATTTTCAACCCAGAATTTCATATCCAGCCAAACTAAGCTTCATAAGTGAAGGAGAAATAAAATACTTTACAGACAAGCAAATGCTGAGAGATTTTGTCATCACCAGGCCTGCCCTAAAAGAGCTCCTGAAGGAAGTACTAAACATGGAAAGGCACAACCGGTACCAGCTGCTGCAAAATCATGCCAAAATGTAAAGACCATCAAGACTAGGAAGAAACTGCATCAACTAATGAGCAAAATAACCAGCTAACATCATAATGACAGGATCAAATTCACACATAACAATATTAACTTTAAATGTAAATGGACTAAATGCTCCAATTAAAAGACACAGACTGGCAAATTGGATAAAGAGTCAAGACCCATCAGTGTGCTATATTCAGGAAACCCACCTCACATGCAGAGACACATATAGGCTCAAAATAAAAGGATGGAGGAAGATCTACCAAGCAAATGGAAAACAAAAAAAGGCAGAGGTTGCAATCCTAGTCTCTGATAAAACAGACTTTAAACCAACAAAGATCAAAAGAGACAAAGAAGGCCATTACATAATGGTAAAGGGATCAATTCAACAAGAAGAGCTAACTATCCTAAATATATATGCACCCAATACAGGAGCACCCAGATTCATAAAGCAAGTCCTGAGTGACCTAAAAAGAGACTTAGACTCCCACACAATAATAATGGGAGACTTTAACACCCCACTGTCAACATTAGACAGATCAACGAGACAGAAAGTTAAAAAGGATACCCAGGAATTGAACTCAGCTCTGCACCAAGCAGACCTAATAGACATCTACAGAACTCTCCACCCCAAATCAACAGAATATACATTTTTTCAGCACCACACCACACCTATTCCAAAATTGACCACATAGTTGGAAGTAAAGCTCTCCTCAGCAAATGTAAAAGAACAGAAATTATAACAAACTGTCTCTCAGACCACAGTGCAATCAAACCAGAACTCAGGATTAAGAAACTCACTGAAAACCGCTCAACTACATGGAAACTGAACAACCTGCTCCTGAATGACTACTGGGTACATAACGAAATGAAGGCAGAAATAAAGATGTTCTTTGAAACCAATGAGAACAAAGACACAACATACCAGAATCTCTGGGACACATTCAAAGCAGTGTGTAGAGGGAAATTTATAGCACTAAATGCCCACAAGAGAAAGCAGGAAAGATCCAAAACTGACACCCTAACATCACAATTAAAAGAACTAGAAAAGCAAGAGCAAACACATTCAAAAGCTAGCAGAAGGCAAGAAATAACTAAAATCAGAGCAGAACTGAAGGAAATAGACACAAAAAAAAACCTTCAAAAAATTAATGAATCCAGGAGCTGGTTTTCTGAAAGGATCAACAAAATTGATAGACCACTAGCAAGACTAATAAAGAAAAAACGAGAGAAGAATCAAATAGACACAATAAAAAATGATAAAGGGGATATCACCACCGATCCCACAGAAATACAAACTACCATCAGAGAATACTACAAACACCTCTATGCAAATAAACTGGAAAATCTAGAAGAAATGGATAAATTCCTTGACACATCCTCCCAAGACTAAACCAGGAAGAAGCTGAATCTCTGAATAGACCAATAACAGGATCTGAAATGGTTGCAATAATCATTAGCTTACCAACCAAAAAGAGTCCAGGACCAGATGGATTCACAGCCAAAATCTACCAGAGGTACAAGGAGGAACTGGTACCATTCCTTCTGAAACTATTCCAATCAATAGAAAAAGAGGGAATCCTCCCTAACTCATTTTATGAGGCCAGCATCTTCCTGATACCAAAGCCGGGCAGAGACACAACCAAAAAAGAGAATTTTAGACCAATATCCTTGATGAACATTGATGCAAAAATCCTCAATAAAATACTGGCAAACCGAATCCAGCAGCACATCAAAAAGCTTATCCACCATGATCAAGTGGGCTTCATCCCTGGGATGCAAGGCTGGTTCAATATATGCAAATCAATAAATGTAATCCAGCATATAAACAGAACCAAAGACAAAAACCACATGATTATCTCAATAGATGCAGAAAAGGCCTTTGACAAAATTCAACAACGCTTCATGCTAAACACTCTCAATAAATTAGGTATTGATGGGATGTATCTCAAAATAATAACAGCTATCTATGACAAACCCACAGCCAATATCATACTGAATGGGCAAAAACTGGAAGCATTCCCTTTGAAAACTGGCACAAGACAGGGATGCCCTCTCTCACCATTCCTATTCAACATAGTATTGGAAGTTCTGGCCAGGGCAATGAGGCAGGAGAAGGAAATAAAGGGTATTCAATTAGGAAAAGAGGAAGTCAAATTGTCCCTCTTTGCAGATGACATGATTGTATATCTAGAAAACCCCATTGTCTCAGCCCAAAATCTCCTTAAGCTGATAAGCAACTTCAGCAAAGTCTCAGGATACCAAATCAATGTACAAAAATCACAAGCATTCTTATACACCAATAACAGACAAACAGAGAGCCAAATCATGAGTGAACTCCCATTCACAATTGCTTCAAAGAGAATAAAATACCTAGGAATCCAACTTACAAGGGATGTGAAGGACCTCTTCAAGGAGAACTACAAACCACTGCTCAATGAAATAAAAGAGGATACAAACAAATGCAAGAACATTCCATGCTCGTGGGTAGGAAGAATCAATATTGTGAAAATGGCCATACTGCCCAAGGTAATTTATAGATTCAATGCCATCCCCATCAAACTACCAATGACTTTCTTCACAGAATTGGAAAAAGCTACTTTCAAGTTCATATGGAACCAAAAAAGAGCCCGCATCGCCAAGTCAACCCTAAGCCAAAAGAACAAAGCTGGAGGCATCATGCTACCTGACTTCAAACTATACTACAAGGCTACAGTAACCAAAACAGCATGGTACTGGTACCAAAACAGAGATATAGATCAATGAAACAGAACAGAGCCCTCAGAAATAACGCCGCATATCTACAACTATCTGATCTTTGACAAACCTGAGAAAAACAAGCAATGGGGAAAGGATTCCGTATTTAATAAATGGTGCTGGGAAAACTGGCTAGCCATATGTAGAAAGCTGAAACTGGATCCCTTCCTTACACCTTATACAAAAATCAATTCAAGATGGATTAAAGACTTAAACGTTAGACCTAAAACCATAAAAACCCTAGAAGAAAACCTAGGCATTACCATTCAGGACATACGCATGGGCAAGGACTTCATGTCTAAAACACCAAAAGCAATGGCAAAAAAAGCCAAAGTTGACAAATGGGATCTAATTAAACTAAAGAGCTTCTGCACAGCAAAAGAAACTACCATCAGAGTGAACAGGCAACCTACAAAATGGGAGAACATTTTCGCAAACTACTCATCTGACAAAGGGCTAATATCCAGAATCTACAATGAACTCCAACAAATTTACAAGAAAAAAACAAACAACCCCATCAAAAAGTGGGCAAAGGACATGAACAGACACTTCTCAAAAGAAGACATTTATGCAGCCAAAAAACACATGAAAAAATGCTCACCATCACTGGCCATCAGAGAAATGCAAATCAAAACCACAGTGAGATACCATCTCACACCAGTTAGAATGGCAATCATTAAAAAGTTAGGAAACAACAGGTGCTGGAGAGGATGTGGAGAAATAGGAACACTTTTACACTGTTGGTGGGACTGTAATCTAGTTCAACCATTGTGGAAGTCAGTGTGGCGATTCCTCAGGGATCTAGAACTAGAAATACCATTTGACCCAGCCATCCCATTACTGGGTATATACCCAAAGGACTATAAATCATGCTGCTATAAAGACACATGCACTCTTATGTTTATTGCAGCACTATTCACAATAGCAAAGACTTGGAACCAACCCAAATGTCCAACAATGATAGACTGGATTAAGAAAATGTGGCACATATACACCATGGAATACTATGCAGCCATAAAAAATGATGAGTTCATGTCCTTTGTAGGGACATGGATGAAACTGGAAATCATCATTCTCAGTAAACTATCACAAGGACAAAAAACCAAACACCGCATGTTCTCACACATAGATGGGAACTGAACAATGAGAACACATGGACACAGGAAGGGGAACATCACACTCTGGGGACTGTTGTGGGGTGGGGGGAGAGGGGAGGGATAGCATTAGGTGATATACCTAATGCTAAATGACAAGTTAATGGGTGCAGCACACCAGCATGGCACATGTATACATATGTAACTAACCTGCACATTATGCACATGTACCCTAAAACTTAAAGTATAATAATAATAATAAGTAAAAGAAAAAAAAGTGCCCGATGATAAAAAAAAAAAATACAACTATTAGAATGGTTGGTGGCCTTGCTTTGATTTGTGCCAAGGTGCCAGCAGTTTTATTCACCATAGCTTTTGTACCATCATTGCAAGTGTCAACATAGTGAAAAAGGCAAATGACATCTTAATATTATCATGAAAAAAATAGTTTTAACTGTATAGACCCCTGAGAGGGTCTTGGAGACCCACTAGGGGTCCACAGGCCATGCTTTGAATACCGTTGGCTCAGAGCAAAACTGATTAGCTAAGACAACCATTTTCTCTGGAATTTTTAAATCAAGAAGCACAAAATCAATAAGGTAGTTAGTAGTGAGTAGTAAACCTAGAAACAGTACTGCTTTTAGATCAGAGCAAGCAGAGCCCCTGTCCTGGGCCCCAAACCTCAGGAGGACCACACTTCCTCTCTGATGTCTGGGACCAGTTGGGGCTAGCAGTATCATCCAAGCGAGGCACTCCAAGCCTGGACAAGGAAGGGCATAGGCCCTCTTCTCTGCTTCTCCCCTTTGGGGTATTCCCGGAGCTTCTATCCCATGCAGGAGATTGACCAGATGCCCCAAGGAGCACAAAGGCTGATGTGGTTGTCGTTGGCTCTCATGGGTGGACCCTGGTTCCAGGAGGGCAACCTGGCAAGTGGATTGCTTCTACTGGCTTCTGCAGTATTTCTTTCATGGGGTTGCAAAAGATTGGGCTGCCAAAGTGGTGTTGTCACACTTCTTTTGGTGACAGTCACGTCAGACACAAGATGAGTTCATAACTCTAGGCTATCAGAAATCCACCACCCATCCTTGGGCTTAAACTATGTGTGGGGGCCCATGCATCAGCTCTCATCCATCTGTGTTCCAATCATGGTGCCACCTTCAGTTGACAGTACCCAAAAGCAATGAGGGTGCACATGTACTCCCACCCCGGCATCCATGCTCTGTGCCACATGTCAGGCAGTTGCCTGGGGTAGCTGAATCATCCCCTCCAAGGTCTTTAGACATCATTGCTCCACAGTGCCAACAGGCCCTTCTGATTGATGTCTTCTCTTGATTTCAGTTGAAGTGGTGACATCATGTTCTTCTAGATTAGTCTTAAGCCATCCCAGACAAGAGACTGCCCTTATCCCTCCACCTGTGTTTCCCTCATCTATCTTCTCTGCAGGTGGCAGTGTGCGAAAGACCAGAGAGCAGTCAACAGTGGAAAAAATCATATTCTTAAGTCCCTAAAGAAGTCAAAAGAATACATTATTGTAAAATGTGTTGTTCAAAGTTTATGCTACAAAATTCCAAAGGATGAATTTAATGTGACCATAGTACAAAGGATTGGTCACATTTTTTTGTATACTCTGGTTAAGACTTGTGTTAGTAGTCATCCTCAACAAAGAAGCATAGTAACAACCTTTGAGAGAGTCATTAAAAGTCAGTACTCACAGGTGGTGTGACACATGATACAGGGTCATGAGTAATGATGTAACCAGTCTGAAATGCATGGTATTAGGGAACTGCAGTAGCAAGAAGATTATACCATTTCAATAAAAAACACATTTCTAAGAGCGATGATATTATGCATAATAAAAACATTCCCGCTTTTTTCTCAGTAGGAGGTATAAAATTAGCCAGAAACCATAAATTTAACAATAAAGACCATGAGGTGATAGCTCCTAGGAACAGCCGACGCCTAGACACTATGAAGAAAGATAAATTTGTTTATCAGATTAGATGATAAACAAATACATAAGTACCCCTTCTCTACCCATTATTCTAAATCTTTACTGGTAAATTACTGTGCTTCACATGGACCTATGGATTTTATCATGCATTTTTATAACAGCTTTATTGAGCTATAATTCATATGCCATAAAATCCATCCTTTTAAAGTGTACAATTCAGTGGTTTTTAGCATATTCACCGAGATGCACAGCCATGATAACTATCTAATTATCGAGCATTTTCACCACCCTTGTAGGAAAACAGCCTGTTGCATGGTAAGAGTGATGCCGCCTTGAAGCAAAACTGCCGTGATGACCGATGTTTGACTCCTGCGTACCAAAGTGTTCATGTAGCGCAGAGAACCCCTCATAAAGATGTTTATCTAACCTCCCCAGTGGTCATGAGTATTTGCAAGAAAGTCTGAGGCATGACAGATGCAAGTGTTTTATCAAAAAAGCTTACTATATAAAGAATATTTTCTGGAGGGTGGGTGTGGGGATCTACTGTCTGGCAGTTGCCTAAGATATCACTTCTGTTTGTAAGTCCATATTAAATGTTTCTCTCTGAGAAACTGGATTCGTCTGGGGTAGGTTTGCATTTACCTGCTCGCTGCAAAACATCCTCAAAGAAACCTTTGTCAGATCCAAGAGAAGTTCCTCTTCAAAGGTTTAGTTTGTTTAGTTTCTTTGTTCTCTACTTTCAAGGTCCAACTTCCTTATCCTTTGTGCCTCCCTGCTCCTGGTTCCAGTAAATAACTCTCCCGCCAGTCTTTATCTACAGAGCCCACGTCTGCTACTCACTCTGTAATTTACCCCTCCAGCTGTAACGGCTCTTCCCGCCAAAGCTGTCTTTCAAGTTAGTCAATCGGGTTCAGTTTAGATTGTGTGGTCCAACTTCAGCCAACGGAGAAAGGACACAGTAGTAGGGACAAACTGCATTAAAAATAAAAACTCTTTCCCTCCTTTGTTCAGTGTACTTTCATGACAACCAGTCCTGCAGAAAACACCCTTCTACAGAAGTAAATTAGCCTTACTGAAAAATCTTTTGTTTGAGTACTCATTTTCTTTGTGACTCCGAGCTTTACTTCCAACACCTCATACTCATGAGCAGTCACTTCCCATTCCCAGACCCTGGCAACTATGACTCTACTTTCTGCCTCAATGGATTTGCCTATTCCTAACATTTTATATAAATGAAATCATACAATAGGTAGTCTTTTGTTTCTGGCTTCTTTCACTTAGCATAATATTTTCAAGATTCATCCATGTTATGGCATATATCAGTACTTTATTCAATTTTATTGCCAAATAATATTCCATTGTATGCTTATACATATATCACATTTTATTTATTCATTCATTAGTTGTTGGATATTTGGGTTGTTTCTGCTTTTTGCCTACTATAAATAATGCTGAAATAAATATTCAGGTAAAGACACTTATATGATCAGATGTCCTTACTTCTCTTAAGTATGCACCTACAAGTGGGATTTCTGGGCTGTGTGGTGACTCTATGTTTAGCCTTTTGAAGAACTGCCAAACTGTTTTCCAAAGTGGCTGGCACCATTTTACATTCCCACCAGCAATATATGTGAGTTCCAATTTCTTCACACCCTCACTAAAACTTGTCATTGTCTATCTTTTTTATAATAATTTGTTTTATGGACTATGGTCTATACTGGAGAATGTTCCATATGCACTTGTGAAGAAAGTGTAGTCTGTGTTGTTGGGTGGAGTGTTCTATAGATGTCTGTTGGGTCTAGTTGGCTGATAGTGCTGCCACTATTTCCTTATTGATCTTCAGTCATTAATGAAAGTAGGTATTGAAGGCTTCAACCATTATTGAGTTGCCTTTTGTTCCTTCAATCCACATAGAGCTCTTTTGTTAGATGTGTATAAGCTTGATTGTTATATCTTCCTGATAAATTGCACCTTGTTATTATAAAATGTTCTTCTCTTTTCTAATGATTTTTTAAAATAGAGATAAGTTTTCACTATGTTGCCCAGGCTGGTCTTGAACCTCTGGGCTCAAGTGATCCTCCTGCCTTGGCCTCTGAAAGTGCTGAGATTACAGGCATGAGCCACTGTGCCTGGCCTAAAGTATCCTTCTTTGTCTAGTAATAATTTCTGTCTTAAAGTCTATTTTGTTGATATTAATGTAGCCACTCCAGCTCTTTTTTGGTTTCTCCTTGCATCGCATACCTTTTTCCATATTTTTACCTTCAACCTCTTTATGTCTTTGAATCTAAAATATCTGTATTATAAACAGCATGTAGATGGATTATGGTTTTGTGTCCAATCTCTGCCTTTCGATTGGAATGTTTAGGCCATTTACATTTAATATAATTACTAGTAAGGTAGGATATACTTCTGCCATTTTGCTATTTGTTTTCTATATTTCATGTGTTTTCTGATGCTCCATTCCTTTATTACTGCTTACTTTTGTGCTAAATAGATATTTTCTAGTATACCATTTTAATTCCTTTGTTTCTTTTACATTATTTTTTGAGTTATTTTTCTAGTGATTGCCTTGGGGATTAAAATGTACAACTTAAAACAATCTAGTTTGAATTAAAATCAACTTAATTTCAAAATACAAATAATTTCAAAATAGTATACAAATAATTTCAAAATAGTATACAAAATCTTTACTCCAATATAGTTCTGTTCCCTTTTCCCTCCCTTTTACTTTTATTGTAACATAAATTACATTTTTATACATTATAACCATGTCAATACAGTTCTACAATTATTACCTTATGCAGTTGTCTTTTAAATCGATGGAGAGAAAAAGAGTTACAGATATAAAATATTTATACTGTCTTTTATATTCATCTATGTAGTTCCCTTTATCAGTGCTCTTTATTTCTTCATGTGGATGCAAGTTGCTGTCTAGTGCCCTTTCCTTTTGTCCTGAAGGACTCCCTTCAGTGTTTCTTGCAGAGGGTCTTTTAACAAGATATTCTCTCAGTTTTTGTTTATCTGGAACTGTCTAAACTTTACTTTCATTTCTTTAAGGATAGCTTTGCTGGATTTAGTTTTTTTGGTTCCTAATCTTTTTCTTTCAGGATTCTGAATACATTATCCTAATACCTTCTAGCTTCCATGAGAGTCAGATAGTAATCTTATTGAGGATCCTTTGTAGGTGATGAGTTACTTCTCTCCTGCTGCTTTCAAGATTCTCTTTGGCTTTGGCTTTTGATATTTTGACTATAATGTGTCTAGGTATGGATCTCTTTAGGTTTATCCTGCTATCAGTTTGTTGACATTCTGGTGTGTGTAAATTAATGTTTTTATTGAATTTGGAAAGACTTTAGTCATTACTCCTTCAAATATTCTTTCTGTCCTTTTCTCTCATTCTTCTTCTGGGACTCACATAAGCTATGTTGGTAACTTGATTTCCTGCAAGTCTAAGCTCTGAGTTGGCTATAATAAAGACAAGCATTGAGAATGGATCTTCTCCAGGGATCTGCCAGGCAGGTCAAATAGTGACCCTTTTCTGGGTATGAGGCTTTCTGAAGAGCTCCAGACTCATTCTGTTTTCTTCAGTGGCCACTAGGCTCCTGGTTTTCATAGCACAGTTCTGAGGCTAGCTGGTTTCCAAGATTACTGAGTAGCTCGTAAGAAGGATAGGATAAGTTTAAATGCTACAAAAATGTGCTATTCTTACTAACATTTAGTCATTTCTTAAATAAAACATTTTCAAATTATTGCAAGTTTTTGGTTAATTTCCAGAATTTTGAAAAATTAATTTTGACTATTTTTTTCCAGAGTTCCTGTTGCTTTTATGAAGGCAAAGATTTTAAGAGGTTCTCACCTGATCATTCCAGAGTGCTTTAAATTGTTTATGTAAACAGGGCCCTAAACCCCTAATGGTGGCTCTATCTGAAAGAATGTCAGTGAGATAAAACTTAAGCCTTGGCAGCCAAAGTTATAAGGAAACAGAAATGATAAATAAGATGAGGAAGAGTAAGCAGAAGCTATAAAGTCAACAAAAATAGAGTACTGGGGAAGTATAAGGTATTGGTAGAGAGCCAAGTAAGGAGCAGATACACAGAGCTGCTGATTCACTTAATGGTCAAACAATAGAAGAAAGACACACAAACAGATGGCTTTGTGGTGCAATGAATAGCACATTGGACTTCTAGTGATGAAAGAAAGACACACAAATTTCTTCTGCTCCTCTTGCCCATTCTGCCACCTTGAAATCAGAACCATGTACTTGTTCCTGCTCTTCCTGAGATCTGTTCAGCTTCTTTGGGGATCTTTAAAATGAAATGAAGTACAGTTGACCTCCTTGAACAACACAGTTTGAACTTCACAAGACCACTTATACACAGATATTTTTCAACCAAACAGGGATCAAAAATACAGTATTCATGAAATACAAAACCTGTGTATATTTCAGGCTGACTTCTCATATACACGGGTCTCACAGAGTTGACTGTGGGACTTGAGTATGCACAAATTTTGGTATCCATGGGGCGTCCTGGAACCAATCCACCCATGTCTACCAAGGGATGACTGTAATTTGAGTGAGTGCCTATGCCTTCTAACCAAAAGAGACAAATAAAATAGCCAGACAGAGAAAGGGAAAGGGCATTCCAGGCACAGCCAAGTCATAAAACAGCCTGGAATTTATGAAAAGATGAAAACTTCAATCCAGAATAGAAGAAAAGGCTGAGAACTAAGAGAAAGGAAAACAGTCAATAAGACTAAAAATAGGTTGCTTAAGTGGTTTCTGTGAAGAAGGAACAAAGTACACAGCTTTATGTCCTGCATTGCCAGAAATATGCCCAGGGTTTGGTTCCCTAAATTGGGTTAATACCCACAGAATCCAGACTGAAAGGATCTTGTTTCTTTAAAGCAGAAATTCTCAAAGTGTGGTTCTCAGACGAGCAGCATCAGCACCACCTGGGAACTTGTTAGAAATGCAAATTCATGGCCTGGCGAGATAGCTCATGCCTATAATCCCAGCACTATGGGAGGCCAAGGAGGGCGGATCACTTGAGGTCAGGAGTATGAGACCAGCCTGGCCAACATGGTGAAACCCCCGTCTCTACTAAAAATACAAAAATAAGCCAGAAATTGCTTGAACCCAGGAGGCAGAGGTTGCAGCGAACTGAGATTGTGCCACTGAACTCCAGCCTGGGCGACAGAGGGAGACTCCATCTCAAAAAAAAAAAAAAAAAAAAAGAAATGCAATTTCACAGGCCCCACTCCAGATCTACAGAATCAGAAACTTTGGTGGAGGGTCCCAGCAGTTGGTGTTTTGATGATCTCTCCAGGTGATTCTGATGTATGCTGAAGAACAACAGCTCTGTTAGCCAAGAAAGCCGGCCTTTGCTTGGACTTAGCAGGGAGAAGCCCAGGCACAATTAGGGGCAACATATGCACGGAGCTGGGCAAGGTGAGATTATTCACCCTCTATGGAGCCCACCTGCATGTGGCTAGTAGTGAAAAAGCCTCACTCTAGGTCGCAGAAGTCTCCTGCATCCCCACCACTGGCTAAGTGTAGAAGAGTGCAGAAAGGAGACAAGAGGGGGAGAACTGTGTGTAGTGAAAGCAGAGACCTCTACTCACCCTAATGAGAGGAGGGATCCAGAATATCCTAGATCCAGACTGATATTCACATTATTGTAAGTTCAAACCTCCACTTGAGTTTTACAGCTGCTTGGAACTGAACTGTGCTGATTTAAACCTAAACTCAAAATTATAAATGCAGAACAAGTCCTCCTTCAGGATATGCCTCTTATTTTCTTAATTGGTTATTGGAATGTTCCATCTGCCTGTGGCTAAAGGGTTAGAGTGCCCTGGTCAATCCAGAGACTGTTCTACCTTGTGACAGGCCAGATCTCACTCCTGGCTGATCAGGCAGGCCTCTGTAACAGCTGTTTCAGCACTGACTGAGTGGTTAAATATTAAAAGCTGAAGAAGTCTCCTTATACAAAGACTAGAATGTAACAAAAGCCCACCAAGAGTTTTGCCTAGGCCTTTCCTGGGCCTTGAAGCATGACAAGATAATGAAAGAATTCTTAACAGGACCCATTTAGGATTAAACAAATTTTTATTGGAGGTCTGAAGAGACTCTCCAGACCTCCACAAACAAGTTTATTGGAGGTCTGAAGGTTTGGAGGTCTGAACTCCCCAAACCTCCATGATTTAGCAGGAGACAAGATAAGGGTAATCACCCCAGCACTGGGATCCATGTAGATTAAGTAAATTTACTTAGGTTCCAGAGGAATGTCTTCAGGACTCAGACCTTAGTTATAGATTAGAAGAAGTTAATCACTTATATCTTTAGATGCCTGCACACTTACACATAGACATATAGCTTAGAAGGTATATAAGCTCTGGAAAACTTTGTAATTTTGAGTTGGTCTGGCGATTTTTTCCAGGTCTTCTCCCTGTACCCGGTTACAAAAATAACTCTCTTCTTTCCCAGTTCATCTGCATCTCCATATTGGGCTGCAAGAATAAGCAGCCTGACCCTCAGTTTGGTCTGGGAACAATGTCTCCTCCAACCTCAATGGCAGGCTGTTGTGCAAGACCCTCATTCTCTAGCCTTCAGTAGCTTCGAGTTCACATAGTTTATTGATCCTCAACAGTAGAATCAACAGGGCAGCTTAAAAGGAAATTTTAAGTCCAAGCCACATCCCAGAGCAGTTAAATCAGAGTTTCTAGAAGTGGTTCAATCATTGCTATTTTCAGAAAGCCACCAAGGTGATTCTAACATGCAGCCAGGGTTGAGAACTGCTGAGGATTAAAGTTTTTGTGTGAATCCCACCTTCCTTCTGTCTGGTCTCTAATGCTTAAGAAAGGAGGGTCCCCTATGATAATGAGACCTGGACTCTTGGATAAGGAGGTTCATGAGACTTAATTATTCCAAGGCTATGACATGGCAAAAGTGTCCAACAACTAATATGTATAATTAAAATTTATGATATATTTTGTGAGTCAATCATTCAACAAATATCTATGGCATGCTTATTACATATCAGACATTCAGGATATAATAAATAGACAAAAATTCCTGCCTTCATGAAACTTACATCCTAGTCGGGGGAATAACAAATTAGTAAAATATATGCTATGTTAAATGGTGACAAGTACTATGGGAAAAAATAAAGCAGAGAATAGGACCAGGAATTGCCCAGGACTAGGGAGGGTTTGCTCTTTTTAGAATGGCAGAGACTTAAGTCAGAGAGAGGAAGTAGCCCTGCAGACATTTGGAGAAAGAACAATCCAGGCGGTGGAGGATTACCCTAGGGTAGGAGTATGCCTACCATGTGCTAAGCTCCTTGCAGACATCATTGTATTTTATTCTCACACAACCCTTTAAGGGTGGTATTATCCCCATTTTCCAGTGTTCAGAAAGGATCAGCAGGCTGGGTGCAGTGGTTCACGCCTGTAATCCCAGCAGTTTGGGAGGCCGAGGTGGTGGATCACCTGAGGTCAGAAGTTTGAGACCAGCCTGGCCAACAAGGTGAAACCCCATCTCTACTAAAACTACAAAAATTTGCCGGGCATGGTGGTGCATTCCTGTAGTATCAGCTACTCAGGAGGCTGAAGCAGGAGAATTGCTTGAACCTGGGAGGCAGAGGTTGCAGTGAGCAGAGATCACACCACTGCACTCCAGCCTGAGTGACAGAGCAACAGGTGCTGGAGAGGATGTGGAGAAATAGGAACACTTTTACACTGTTGGTGGGACTGTAAACTAGTTCAACCATTGTGGAAGTCAGTGTGGCGATTCCCCATGGATGTAGAACTAGAAATACCATTTGACCCAGCCATCCCATTACTGGATATATACCCAAAGGATTATAAATCATGCTGCTATAAAGACACATGCACACGTATGTTTATTGTGGCACTATTCACAATAGCAAAGACCTGGAACCAACCCAAATGTCCATCAATGATAGACTGGATTAAGAAAATGTGGCACATGTACACCATAGAATACTATGCAGCCATAAAAAATGATGAGTTCATGTCCTTTGTAGGGACATGGATGAAGCCGGAAACCATCATTCTCAGCAAACTATCACAAGGACAAAAAACCAAACACTGCATGTTCTCACTCATAGGTGGGAATTGAACAATGAGAACACATGGACACAGGAAGGGGAACATCACACACCGGGGCCTGTTGTGGGGTGGGGGCAGTGGGGAGGGATAGCATTAAGAGATATACCTAATGTTAAACGACGAGTTAATGGGTGCAGCACACAAACATGGCACATGTATACATATGTAACAAACCTGCAAGTTGTACATATGTACCCTAAAACTTAAAGTATAATAATAATAAAAAAAAACACCCCAGAAAGGATCAGTAGCTCATCCAAGGGCACAGTAAAAGTTGACGCTGAAATTCCAGGTCTGTGCAACCTCAAACGTCCTGCTCTTAACCCCTACTCTACTGCCCCTGTCAGCATCACGTCTCACCCCTGCCACAGAGATGTCACAGGCAAGCAATGTCTGGGGAATGATGAGTGTCCCAAGGAGTAAGGGTGCTTGCATGCCCCATAACACAACTTGCCTCCCCACTACCACCAGTGCCAAAGCCTGGCTCCCATGCCAGGTGTTGATGCTGTCCTTCCACGCTTCTCTCCTCCTAAAGACCTCCAATACACACACACATACACACACACACACACACGCACATGCACACACACAAGCACATCCTTTATCAAACAGGCCCAATCCTGTTTCCTATTCTTTCTGCTTCTTTCACTGATCTGCTCCCCACGGGGCGATCTCAGACCAGATCACTCACTATTTCAGAGCTGTCAAGTTGACATAACAGAATCCTAGTATCTCAGAGTTTCTGTTTGGTGGTTAAGACCATCCTTCAGGGGCTTCCTCGGCCCCTAGGTACCTCTCTCAGCCCTAAGAGTGGGGTTCTAGGGGCAAACACTCAGATTACTCTTTTACTCTGACCTGAAGTCATCTCAAGGCATTCTCTTCCTCATCAGTAACTACAGAGTTGTTTTGTTTTGTTCTGTTTTGTTTCTAGTAAGAGTGGCCCAGAGTGTGAGTACCCTGTGAGAGCCCAATAAAAGAGGTAGTTGGGGGTATGAGCTTTGGATTTGTTTGTTTGCATTTAAAAGGCACACTTGCAAGTGAGTCCTTTCTATATCCAGGAATTGACTAAGCCCTAGGAGGGGCAGTCCCTCCAGAATCAGCCAGGCCCCAGATGTCAAAACATCAAAAAATACAGAAAATAAAAAGACATGATGAAGTCAGTGCTGATTTATTTATCCATCTCCTCCTGCCTGCAGCACAGTGCCTGGCCATAGCAGATGGCTCAGTGGTTGCTCACAGAAAAGACTAAGAAGAGCAGCACAGAAAAACCAGTTATGTCTCGGGAGACACACAAGGGTCGGAGTGGGAGGTGTTGATCACACTGTTTTCCATCCCTGACAGGCAGCAGACAACAAGATTGGAGGGACAGGTAGCAGGAAGGGGAGTTCTGATGTAGGATGAAGGAAGTACTTTGAGAGAGAGGCAATCTCAGTAGGACCCCACCACGAGCAGGCAAGTGGGACAGCTGGAGATCAGGAGGGCTCCAGACATCACAAGGGCTCCTCCTTATACCACTGAGCCCAGGTGAGCCACAGTCCTTCCCAGGGTCTACACAGACATCACCTCCTGCATTTGCCATCACTACCCCCTCCCCAGTCTAACTCTTGAAAGTCCTGAAATGCCTGTGATTCTGGCTGGAGCTGCCGTCCTCATCCCAGGTAATGGACTCATCACCTGCCCTCCCCTCTTGCCTGGTGCCTGGGCAGCTTCCATTGTTCTCTGGAGCTTGGCTGGCTGCCAGGCCTTAAATCCAAAAGTTACTTTCTTTCCTATGGTGGCACAAAAGGAAGTTTTGCCCCTTAGATGGATTTTTTTTTCACCATTCTTCCCCACAATGACCAGACTCTGAAAGGAATAGCAAATGACTTTTTCCTCTTGGCAGAGTAGTGAGATCTTGATCAGTCCAAGCCCAGAATGTTTGTGGATCAACATTCACTCAGCAAACCTCGATGAATCGTGATGTGGGACGAAGAGGGTAAACTCACAGCATTTAACAAGGGTTATTCTACAATCAAATGCATGCTTGACAGTGGCAAAGTGCTTCTGCACATTTGCTTTTATCTTAGATCTATCACAGCTCTGCAAAGAGGTGAGGGAGTATATTATTCCTATTTTATCCATGTTGGAAACTGAAACTCAGAAAGGTCAAATAACTTGCCCAAAGGTCACGGCAAGAACTAAGAGCTTCTAACTCCCCTATGGAATATTCTGGTCTCATCCCTGCTGGGAGACACTGCTTCTAGACTTCAGGGCAAAGAGGGGGAGCTTCTTGTCTTCTGTTCAGGAGGCAGGAATAGTAGAAGAGCACAGATTTTGGAGCCAGAAAATGTAGACTTGAATCCGTTCCTACCCCTCACCAGCTGTGTGACCTTAAGTGTGTTACTTAATATCTCTGAGGCTCCATCTCCTCTTACGCAGAGAAGAACAGGCTACCCCCTCACAGGGATTTTGTAAAGACTCAGTGAATCAACTCTAATAACACACCTGGCTTAGTGCATGACACAAAGTAGCGGTGCAAAAAGTGCTGGTTCTCTCTGTTCTTCTGTGCTGGGGCAACAGTTTAGCCACATGCAAAGGGGCCACATACTCATTCTCAGAGTCCTGAGCTGGACAGGAGCCCCAGGAGCTGACAGTTTGAGGTTTGTGGGCTATGACTAAGGGGTGTGAGATTTTCCAGCATGATGCTCACACAAAACCCCGAATGTGAGGTTGGGGGTGAGTACAGCATGCTGGCGCCTGAGCAGAAACCCTCAAGGGACACTTGGAAATCATGACTTAAGAATACTTGGGTGTGCAGTGGCATCAGAGGGGTCAGGGGAAGCATGCTGAACTTCACAGTGGCTCTCCCACGCAGTTGGGCAAATTCTTTGGGCCTCCCTGATTTTCCTTAATAAGCCCTTTCTGTCTTCACTCTCCAAGAACTCATTAAATCCTTTCTTGATGCTATTTTCATTCTGTGGTTCGAATATCAGAGTAAGGAGTGCCATAAAATTGTCCCCAGCAGGAGATTTCTTTCGTGAATCCTGAAATAAATTTTGTCCAGCTTTAAGGAGTGGTGGCCACTCCGAGACTCAGCAAACATGTCAGCTTCGACCCTGACTGTGACTTGATTTTACAGCATGTTGCTCCTGCCAATCAGTGCGTCCCTGATGGACATGTCTTCATTTATTCAGTCAGCTTGGCTTAGTGTTCATTCTTGAGAAAATCCAGCCTGGTCCCTTAGGACCTTCCATTAATAGACTGGCTTTGTTGCAGTCACTACTCCGACCCTGCTGTTTCCTCTCAGTTTAGTTGCTTTGCCAATTCACTTTCACTCCAGCCTTCTCTTACACTTTTCAGCCTCCTGTCACAATGGAGGCTTAAATGGGCAGCTTCTCTCTACTTGGAAGGACGAATGCCAGATAAGGGTGGGTTTGAGAAGGATTCAGGGGCCAGGACCACACCTTACCCAGAGCCTGAGCATTACCCTTGCTGTTCTGGGTCTGCTCCATCCTTTTTGTACCTTGGATCCTGCAATTAAAAGAGAAAGCAGAGACTGCCTAGCTCACAGACCCCGAGGATAATTTACTGACTTCATGGCACCTGAGAGTGTCATGAATGCCTGGCTCAAGCCCAGCTCCAGAGAGTACATTTCAAAAAATGTCAAATAGATGTAAAGTACCCCCTCCCCACTGGTATTGCATATTATATGATTTCACTGAAACCCCATCCTGAACATCGCCATAAGAACATCATCATAGAACCCACATTCTCTGACTAGCACTGGGGGCATGATTAGGGACAATTAAAGCACAAATGCAGTGTTCATTCCCAATTAAAAGAGATTTGACTTCAAAGGTCCAATATGAATTCTTTCCTTAAAGAAGCACACTAGAGCATGGTAATTAGAGATTCGGGTTCTAGTGCCAAACTACTGGATTCAAATCCAAGCTCTGCCACTTGCTAGCTGTGTGACTTGGGCAAGATGTTTAACCTCTTCTGTGCCTCAATTTCCTCATTTGTAAAATAGAAATAATAATAGCAATCAACTTGTAGGGATGCTGTGAAGAATAAAAGTGTCAGTACATATAAAGCGCATAAAACAGCACCCAGCAGATAGCAAGTGCTCAGTAAAAGGAGCACTCGCCAGTCTCCTCTTGATGGACTTTTATACTGCATGGAGCTCCCTGGGAGTACACAGACAGAAGTTTCCAGATGGATGTGGGGTCTTTCAAAATCCTGACATCAGCAACATTTTATGTGAGTTCCCCAATGTCCACAGTCATGGTTCAGACAATGACCAAGATTATGCACATTTCACACACTGTCTATAAGAAAGATGAGCCCAGTGTAGTCATCCCCCACCCCGCTTTCCAATATTTTTGAGAGAAGTTCCTCAACTGCCACAGTAAAGAAGTCTTTATCAATGCAACCCCAACAGTCCAGCGTCAGCCATGGTGAAGGCCAATTGTGGTCTCCCAGTGAATGACGGACACAAATAAGTCAGAAAATACCCTTCACTCTCAAGGTAGGAATAATTTCATATATCTTCAGTTCTCATATATGGCTAGGGGGGTTCTCAAACATTTTATTTAAATCTCATTTAAAATTTATTTTAACCATCTAAACAAACCATAATGACAATGTGGTATATACCCAATTTTGATACATAGAGGCCACCAGCCCATTAGCTTAGGATGCCAGATTAACTTATTTTTATGCAGGCCTCTGAATGAAGTTTTCTCGTTTTAATTAAAAATTACCCCGAGACTAAAAGTCAAGCTGTGAAAAGGCTATTGCTGTTTGCAACTACTCAACTGTATAAATCGGGATTTCTTGGTGCTATGCAACCCAAACCAAAATCTAGAGAGAAACTGGTTGCCAAGACTGATACAACTCTGTAATTTGATGCATAGGCCCTGATTTCAATTTCCTGTGCTCATCAAAACAACATCATTCACATCGATACAGAGTAGGTATCACCAATTACAAAATATATGCATGCTCATAAAATACTGCTCTCATCTCTTATGTGTTTAAGGGTTCCAAATAAATATTTTATTATTGAAAGAAGTCTGAAATCCCACTATAATTGTTATAATGTATGCCAGTGTCCCTCAAAACCCTCCTCCACGCCTCTCCCAGAGCAATGCAATCTCTCCATTATACGCCTATGATTGTGACTCTCTCCTACTTGAAAACTTTCAGCAGCTCCTCCCATTCCCCATAAGACAAAGTGAGGACTCCTCGGCTTGGCAGACAAGGGCATAGCAATCTCATTCCCACACACTGTTCACTGGCATCTCTTGTTCCCTGGCATCAGTCCCTGCTCCAGCTGCACAGAACTACTTGGTATTTCCTAGGAAATGTCAGGTATTTTCATGCTATTCCCTTGGTCCCAAATGCCCTTATCTCTCTCCCGCTCCCAGCCACCTCCCCTCACTCCAACTCAGTTCTGAAATTCATCCGTCAGGACCCAACTCAAGCAGCATCTCCTTAAGCAGCCCATGGCTCATTGGTGCCCCTGTAGTGCCTTACGCCTGGCTCTATAGTGAAATCATCAGCGTGCATCTCCACGTTCCCCACCTGATTGAGAGCTTCTGCTGATGTAGTGATGTATTTGTCTTTATATTCTGGCACACACAGGTGTTTAATAACGTAGAAGGAAGAGAGGGAGGAGAAAGAGGGAAGAGGGAAGAGGACAGAAGGGGAGGAAGTGACAGCCAAGCCTCTCATGCCATGCCTGCCCACCTCCCAGGATCACAGAAATAGCCCTTCCAGATTAAGCTGTGTTCCTGGACTACCTGCATGACTACTCTTTTCCATGCTCTTTCAAGATAATAATACCTTTGATTCCATTTCAGCGTGGTGACACTGAATAACGTTTGTGAAGCAGCGTTACTCCTATTATACAGATGAGGTAACTGAGACCAGAGACATAAGGTGATGGGCCAGAATTCTGCCAAGGGCCTGGTCTAATTCCTCTAAGGGCCCAGTTTACCATCACTGTGTGTTCAGTTCATATGTATGTGTGTGTAAGTCTGCACACTTTGGTGGGGCACTGTGGTGGGAGGAACATGGCTTAGTCTTTTCTATTAAAGAGATGATTGAGCCAAAGCTACCATTTCGTGAATTAGAAGCAGCATTTTGCCTTGGGCTTTTTATTCTGTGCAAATAGGTTGGTATGGAAACCATGCTTCTGAGGTTGCAATCAAAACACCATTTGCCTCTATTGGTGTTCTTAAAATGCTACATGCTGATAGTAGATGAGAAATTTTTACATTTACCACATCAATTCTTTCTTGTCAACAAGCATCTATCTATAAATGGTTGTAAAGTAATTGTAGCAAACTCTTTCAAAATATTCCATATTTGTGCTCTAACAGCAAACAATAAATATAGCTACTTTGACTAGATGGTAAGCTCCGTGAAGGTAGTGATATTTCATTCATCTCTGGGTGCTCAAGGATTAGATAGGGAATGGCACCAAGGAGACATTCAGTAAATGGGGTTTGATTGGATAAACAAGACAACTGGCAGATTTGCCAACACAGGTTAACCACAACCTTTTACACTGTCCTAGCCCTACACAACCTTCAAAGCCTTCTTGCTACTTTACTTGGTCTTCCCACCTTTTCCGCAAGTTAAACAGGCGACATATTATTAGTTCCATTATGCAAAGGAGAAAATAGAAACTCAGCAAAGTCCAGTGACTTAGCTGGGCTGGTCAACAAGCACCGGAATCCAGGTTAGAACCCAGACTTGCCAGCTCCTGGGGAAACACCCTCCCCTCCTCCTCACGCAGCCCCCCCGCCCTGCCCCACTCCACCGAATGCCTCCACACACTGAACAGCCAGTACCTGCTCAACAGGCTCCAGAACACCCACAACTGACTCCCATACCTTCTCCGCTGTTTCATGAGCACCTCTATGTGATTTAGTTTAATGCAGACCTCTCCAAAATGCATCTGGACTCACAGCCCAGCTCCTCTTCCACAGCTTTTCCTTGACCCTGCACATCCCTTTTTTCCTAATTAGCTTTGGCTTACCTTAGTTTTCACTGAAGTCTGCCCTGCGAGAGTTCTGGAGTACGGTGTATTTGTACACTAGAGTTTTTTTTGGTGTTTATCGACATTAATTTCTAGGAGGCTATGTGAGTGGGGATGATAATGAATCACTCTGGGTACTTTTCCGCAGAGAATGAGCCCAGGGACCACCATGGTGGCTGGGCTGATGCGGACGTGGAGCTCCCTGAAATGTAATCAGGGGATGCTTTACAGTGCTTTAGGGAAGTAGGGACTCACAGGAGAGAGGTCTGTTTCTGTCATCTTGCCTTTTTGTCTCACTCCAACGGTTAGGAGTAACCATCAATACCCATGGAGACCAGATGGGAGAAGCCCTTCCTGCTCCGGGCTGCTCACTTTAGAGGGCCCGCCCCCCGCAGGGCCAAGACCAGAGTGAGGCAGGAGCCAGCCTGCCTTTGTATGACCCTGAGAGTGATGCCTCCTTCAATTTTGCACTGAGGCACGTCACCTGCCTCACCCTAGTCCCAGCCCTGCTGTCCTGGCCCTTCTTTGACCAGACCCACCGTAAGGGGAGAATTTGCAATGTTGACGTCCTGTGCCTACCCAGACCTGCGTCTCTCTCTCTCTAGATCCTGAAATTCCCAAGGTCCCTGAGCCCGCTTCCAGAGGCTGCACAGGTACCCCTGCTGGGCATACCCCTAAGCAGGATGGAGTGTCTGCACGGCTGTGCAGACAGCCCTTAGCTGAGGGCGTGGGGAGAAAAGGTGGCCAGAAGCCTACTCTCTTCATCAACCAAGCTCCAGGACAGAATCCAAAAATTCAAGGATTCAAAATTTGGATCTGACCTTCCATATTTTTATATGGTCTATTTTTTATGGTAGGAAGATAGAACGTTTTTAGTTTAACAGTGTGTTAGGGTGATGTATTACTCTGAACTATTTAGACATGTGGTATACGGGCCTCTATCCACACTCTTGTCTGGACCCCATAAATGTGAGCCTGGAGGAGTCTTGAGAGAGGATGACCCAAACGTCAGAAGACTCTGTGGAGAAATGACCCCTACACACACACCTACTACTATAGGTCTCTATTGCTTGTATAGGACCATTGCAATGAATTCTTTGTCGGATTTATGATCCTGCCTGCCAGGTAAAGTGTCCAGGTGGTATGTAAGCATGTGTATGAGGGGATAGGCTTAACATGGTCACTCACGAAGGATGAGCCATTTTTGCTGAGGATGAAGCATGGTCATTTGCAAGAGAATTTCCCTGACATTGTCCATTGAAGGAGGCAGCTAAACATGGTGGGGCCCTGCACATGGAAAGTGGCTAGAATCAGATCTGTCCCTCTCACAATTAGGGGAGCAGCTCTGCAGAGTCTTACCTCGGCGTCCTTACACTTCCTCCCTTCAGTCGAGCACAGTGACACATCTATAATCCCAGCACATTGGGAGGCCGAGGCAAGCGGATCATTTTAGGTCAGAAGTTCGAGTCCCTCCCTTTCTCCACTTCCTTCAGGCCCTTCAAGCTTCCCACAAAATCAACATACACGCATGCACATGGATCCTGTGATCTCTCAGAGCCTCCCAAGCCCCCAGGCTTTCCACTCTCCTGCTACCTTCCGCCACCAGTTTTGACCCATTAGGATTGACATCATGCAAATTGAGGCCCATCTTTTGGTGGCCCCAGGGACAGTACAATGTCACCAAAACATGGGCTGTACAGCCTTAGACACACATGCAGGGGTAACATACCTGCAATGTCATCTTCAGCTGCAAGGTTCCAAGTCTCAGCCACCACCCAGGCCCACCCAGGCAGGCTAGGCCGTGATAAAAGTTATTTCTGGATTGCGTCCATTATCAGGAGCAGGAGTGACAGACGAGCTCAGCTGGAGCCCTTTCTTCTGGGATCCTCACTGGTAACACACCCTGTCGGGCCCACCATGTGCCGCTGGGTTTGGAGATACTTGGACCCCAGCTGCCTGCCGATGGTTCTGCTAGCCCAAAACTTTGTTCACTGTCCCACCTCATGTGGGAAAAGGCTGGTGGCTGGTGGGGACACTCTGGCCCCTGATGGTTGGGGAGGAGTTGGTCTAAATCCACTCCTCCCAGCCTCACCTTCGCCCTCCACCACCCACCTGGGTCCCTCCAGAAAACTTTGCAAGGTCTGACTTTCTGCCTGGGCCTCAGCAGTCCTCTCAACTGTTCCAGCCCCCTCCTGGATCCACTATACAAATACAGGCTCACTGCCAAGAAGTGAGAACAATAAATCTTCCCTCATTCTTTTATTCATGTCCTCACCTCTGCAGGGACTGCTGAGGAAAAACAAACCCCACAAAATCCCTGTGGGCTCTGGCAGTCTGGCAGTCTCTTCTTTGCTCCTCTCTGATGATCTTTGGAAGGCAGAGGCCAGGAGAAGAAGCCCATCCAGCTCCCGTACGGGCGGCAGGCCCTTCTCTTCCTCCTCCTGAGTGGGCTCAACCACTCGAAGCCAGCACCTATAACATGCTGAGCCCGCACCGGGCTCTAGGAACCAGAAATCAGAGTGACCAGGGGAAACTGGGACATCGATATGCATGGCTTGCCGGAGTAACACTACACCTGACTCACCTTCCTAGCCTCCCGCAAATTGCCAGAGAAGTTCTGGGCCTAGGAGGGCCAGGCTGTTTGCGCAAAACATTAGGTAAGGTGAGGGAGGGCTGCCCTGGCTGCAGGCTCAGAAGCTACCACAGGGAAGTGGCAACCAGGGAAGCTGCAGGCCCTGAGGAAGGAGGGGCTCTCTCCTTAAGGGCCTCCAGGGCAAGGCAGCATCTGCTGGTGTCACAGCCTTTGCAAAACAGTTCAGACCTTGAGAATTCCCAGGACCTTCCTCCTCCAACTCTGTGCACCAGGGAGTGCTTCCTCAAACTGAGGAAGGATAGTAGGATTCGGGGATGCACTGAATTTTGCAGAACTCCATTTATACAGAAGAGATGCATTAGACTTAGGGTGAGCCACTGTCCTAGTTTGTCCAGGACTGAAAAGTTTCCCAGGACATAAGCTTTTCAGTGCTAAAACCAGGACAGTCCTGGGCCAACTTGGAAGATGGGTCACCCTAACAGAGGGGCTGTGGGAAAACCGATCCTCCCTCCCTGAGCCTGGCATGTGGCTGGGTCCAGAGCAGGGTTTGGATCCCAGATGTTTTCTAGCGGTTCTGCTAACCCACAACTTTCCTCACTATTCTAGGCATGAAGAAAGGCTGGAGGAAGGAGTGGGTCCTCATGGCCAGCTTAGGAGCTGTCAAGGAAAACAGAAAGAAGGAAAGCGTTCACGGTCTTCGTGGTAGAGAGGAAATTCCTTTGGCTGCCTTTGCGGAGCTGGGGCCCATGAGGCTTCAGACAGAGCCTGGGGTATCAGAAAGTGAGCTGGAGAGCACCTAAAAAACTGCCAGATTGAGGGGCTCAACCTTTCCTTGAATCCTTGCCCAGGGTACAAATGCTAGGTACAGCAACATGGCGAAAGCTGCCTTCCAAGTCTTTTGCCCAGTTTCTATTGCTCCCATGGACCCAGAGGGCTCCCAGGGACGGCAGCCTTGCAGTGCTGTGAAGCTATAGCAAGCTGACTTCTGTAGATCTGTCCCAGGGAACAGGCTGCTCCTAAAGGTTATCCAAACTGGAAGTGGTGGGCAGACATCTCAAGAGGCAAAAGAAGTTTGAGTTAAAGCTGGTCTAACAAGGCAGATCCCGTGGAGACCATCTTGCCCAGACTTCTAAGTTGACAGATGAGAGACCAAAATCCAGGGAGACTGAGTCACCTGCTCGAGCAGCACATTCCCACGTGGGATGTGATGGGACTCTGCATCTAGAACCATTGTTTCCTACTATCAGATGTCACAGCCAGAGGTTCCTTGGAAGGGAGAAAGCTCCGAGATGATGCCAGCCTTTTGCAAGTCTCTGCCTTCCTGGAGCCCACGTGCTGTTCTGGGAGAGGCTAAGTAGCAAGGACTCTGTGCCTCTGCAGCCACGATTTCTCTCTCCATTCTGTTTGATTCCCCAGCTTGGTTCCCTCCAGCACCACCTCCAGGTGAAAGCCTCCACAGATCCCCCTGGAGTGCTCCACCCTGGGGAGACTCCGAGCAGGCAGGCCTGCTTGGCCTCTCTCTTTCCCAGCCTTGAATGTATGAGAGAGACCAGCCTCAGCCCTCAGGAGTAGGAAGCTGCTGCCTACCTACTTCCTTACGAACCTGCCTAGAGGTGGAGGGATTTAACACACAGTTGAAAAAGTCATTAACAACACCTGGCTCTGATTAGTTTAGTAGGAAACAGAGTCCTGAGGGTGCGGCACACCCTGAGTGTTCACTGCAGCATGTCTGCTAGGGAGGTATAGATGGGGCTCAGGCCCAGGATGCTGGACTGGAAAGTGGGGGCAGGTGAAGGTAGGTTTTCCTTTGAGTAGCTGTGGAGCAGCAAGAGGGTCCTGAGAGCATGGCCAGGAGACGGCAGAGTAGAGAGGAGAGAAGAAGCATCAGAGGGACTTGGGAAAACATCTGACAGCTACCAAACCAGTTCTAAGCATTTATAGCATTTCCAGTTTTGTCCTATTGTGGGTGAGCCAAGCACCTCCAAAAAGAAAATATAAGAAAGAGCCTGAGAAATGTTCCTGAGGAATGGCAGGGCCGCCCCTTGTTCCCAGAAACCCTTTTAGGAAAAGCACGACTCCACAGAAGGTGTCAGGAGGGGAGAACCTGAATCTGATGCTAGAGGGATGCTGAACCCTCTAGCATCCTTGAGACCCCACAAGCACACAGAAGAAGAGGGAAGGGATCTGCACCCATCATGGCAGCCAGGAATGACCCTCTTGGAACATCTCAGGAGGCTCGAAAGCTCTGCCCAAGCAGGTGGGATGCTGAATCCTACCGGAGGAAGGCAGAGGTTTCCCACATACAGAATTACTCTGACTTCTGTAACAACAGGCTCTTGGAACTCCCTGAGCAATTACTACCTCCCCACTCAGCTCTCTGCCTGGCTGGCTACTAGTAATTTATTGCAAATAAGTCTCATTTCTCCAATAAGACAGTCGGCTTTTCTACCTCCGAATTCCCTACAGAGCTTAAGATAGCTGGGAACCCAGCTGGTCCTCATTAAGGCCCTTCTGAACCCGAATCTTCCCAACCTTCCTGGCCCCACCTCCACCCCTTCATTCCAGGAGCAGGCTCAGGGGAACGGAGCTGGCCAGGCCACTCGCTTCCCTTCCCTTTCCAAAGAGCTGGACTGGCAGATGCTAATAAGGAAAGTGAGAGATTCTGCATCTGCAGATCTGACTGGTAGCCTGGCCAAAGAGAACAAGAACTTCTGTATAGGTAAGCAAGGAATCTTTATTAGCAAATTCTCTAATTAGGGTACCCTTTATAGCTCTCCTATAGGAGATATTCATTTGTAAGTTTTAGTCAAGACCGTGAATCTCAGGGAGAACTGAAAATTTCTAAGAATATTGTTGAGAAGGGTCTTTGGCAGGAGCCTCTTAAATTCCTGGGTTTTGGTTCCTTCATCTATAAAAAAGTAGGTGTGGGAGGCCGGGTGTGGTGGCTCACGGCTGTAATCCCAGCACTTTGGGAGACCAAGGCAGGTGGATCGCTTGAGGCCAGGAATTCAAGACCAGCCTGGCCAACATGGCGAAACCCCATCTCTACTAAAAAAAAAAGTACAAAAAAAATTAGCCAGGCTTGGTGGTGCACACCTGTAGTCCCAGCCACTCAGGAGGCTGAGGCATGAGAATCGCTTGAACCTGGGAGGCAGAAATTGCAGTGAACCAAGATCATGCCACTGCACTCTAGCCTGGGTGACAGAGTAAGATTGTCTCAAAAAAAAAAAAAAAAAGGTAGGTGTGCCAAGGCATTACTATAAGCAGGTGACTTACACCAGGTGACCTGAGCAAGTACCTTCCAATTCTATTCTTCTGTGCAATACTGGACCATCTCATTCATTCATGTGCATGACAGTAATGTGGATTTAGAGTAAAAAGACCCACGGTTGACATCCTGGCTCTAGTGCTTACCAGCTGGGTGGTCTTGGGGGAGTCACTTAATCTCTCTGAATTAATTTTCTTATCTGGAAAATGAGGACAATAATAATAACATCTGCACCACATAGATTTGTGAGCTCCCACATATGGGCATGTTTTCTAAACTGTAAAACACTATTCAAATGTTACTGAGTATTGAAAGACCTTGATGGCTGTAATTTTTTTAAACTTCCCTTTAAATATGCAAATGATTATGATTGACATCAGAAACACAAAAAAGATCACAGCTGCTGGATTTGCTGTTAACTTATCCCTGCCCAGGGGGATCTACTACCCCATCAGTGCCTCCTGAGGCAGGGACTTAAGGGAGCTGGGCAGTAAATGTTGATCCCAGGGTAGAGGCTGAAGGTCTGACCTCCAGGGACACAGGGCGAGGCTATTTTGCCATTCAGCAGAACTTCTCCCACGTTGCTTCTACAGTTTGACAGCAGACTCCCAGCAACTACTTCCCTGGTTAATAAACTGGCAGTAAATTGAAACCTTCATTTTCTAGTGCACTTCATGTAAAGGGAGCAGACCCTCTAGAAATGAGTAATCATTTGTACAACTCCTCAAAAAATATGCTGATAAACTCACAAAGTTCTGTTATTGCTAAACACTAGTTGCATTTCCTTGGGTAAGCACCATAAAAAATTCACTGCAGTTTTTAGAAAGAAGATGCCAGTCACATTTTAACTGCTAGAGAGGAGAGAGTTGGGGAGAGGCTTACCCAAGGAAATGCTAACTGGGCATAAAACTCAAAAAGAGAGGCCAAGTCAAAGGCCCAGTTCCAAAACAAGAGCTAAGAAGGAGAGATGGGTCCAGGTGCGGTGGCTCACACCTGTAATACCAGCACTTTGGGAGGGCGAGGCAGATGGATCACCTGAGGTCAGGAGTTCGAGACCAGCCTGGCCAACGTGGTGAAATCCCGTCTGTACTAAAAATACAAAAAATTAACCAGGCATGGTGGCTGCAGTATGCCTGTAATCCCCGCTGCTCGGGAGGCTGAGGCAGGAGAATTGCCTGAACCCGGGAGGCAGAGGTTGCAGTGAGCCAAGATGGCACCACTGCACTCCGGCCTGAGTGACAGAGCAAGACTTCGTCTCAAAAAAAAAAAAAAAAAAAAAAAAAGGGGAGAGAGAAGGAGAGATGGGCCTTGCAGGGAAACCAGACCTTCCCAAGAGAGCATTGACTTAAGTGCTTCTCAGACTCAAGATCTCAGAGCACCTGGATGGCTAAGGCTTTTCATTGCAGATCATGACATGTAGATTTTTTTTTTTTTTTTTTTGAGACAGAGTCTCACTCTGTCACCCAGGCTGGAGTGCGGCTCGGCTCACTGCCATCTCTGCCTCCCAGGTTCACGCCATTCTCCTGCCTCAGCCTCCCGAGTAGCTGGGACTACAAGGCGCCCGCCACCATGCCTGGCTAATTTTTTGTATTTTTAGTACAGATGGGGTTTCACTGTGTTAGCCAGGATGGTCTCGATCTCCTGACCTCGTGATCTGCCGGCCTCGGCCTCCCAAAGTGCTGGGATTACAGGGGTGAGCCACCGCGCCCAGCCAACATATAGATTTAACAAATTTAAAGAATTAAACAAACCCCATTTCTACAAAAGATACAAAAGAAGAATTAGCCGTGTGTGGTGGCATGCACCTGTAGTCCCAGCTACCAGAGAGGTTGAGGTGGCAGGCACTGAGCCCACAACATCGAGGCTGCAGTGAGCAGAGATGGTGCCACTGCACTCCAGCCTGGGCAAAACAAATAAGCACAAACCAAAATTCTCAAGTAGATGAACAGGAGTCAGCACCAAAGCTTCAATATGTATAGAAGATAGAAGGAAAATTGTAATTCTACCCTGTAATATGTGTTTGTGTCTGTCTGTCTGTCTGTCTGTCTTTGTGCGAGTGAGAGAGAGGAGACAGAGAAAACTGGACCAAGACCATATATCACTTTAATAACAGAACTCCTTGGACCAGTTCACAGAACTGTCATTTAAAACCAATGTCCTAGACCAACTCCAACCTTCTTGTTTTCCAGTGTACCCACCCCACACAGGGCCAGCCACAGCCAGGTGAGAACAGGAAGGGGAGTGGAGAGGGAGAGTGGAGAGGGTCCTGACTCCCATAGGCTTCATCTGGGCTGGCCCAGCCTTGACCCCATCTGCCCAGGAGCCTCTCAGCCATGGAGTCCTCTAGGGAGGCACTTAGCCCACCTAGAGCACAGGAAAAAGGTGGGACGGGGGGCACCTCCCAGCACCCTCCCAAAAGACTCACACAGGGGCAGGGAGGGGAGAGGGCAGAAGGGCAGGCTTCCTGCTGCTTCTAGCAGCCTCTTCATCTCCAGCTCCTACCTCTCTCCTCCCCCTCATCCCTCAGCAACCACAGCATGCCCAACCAAGTCCCAGCCTCTCTTCTGTCATTGAGTCTCTAGTGAGAAAGAGGACTCTGAAATCAGGGCCCAAGAGGAGAGACCTGTTGGCTGGGTGGCTGGCCAGTGGGTAGTGACTGTTCCTCACACACAGTAGTAGGAGGTCCATGCGTTCTGTGTCGGAGGCTACTGCCTCTCCTCCATTAGTGGAGCTGCTGGAGGCCCCAGGAAGCATGAGGCAGTGGTGTGCAGTGAGACTGGAGGAAACAGCAGGACTCAGAGGAGGGAGTCCTAGACCAAAAGGGAAAGGAACTGATTCACAGCATGGCTCTACACTAGCCAAGCGACTTTTATTTTAGTAAATCACTTAACCATGCAGGGCCTTGATTTTCACTTCTATCAAATGAGGCTAAAAATATCTGCTGCTCAAGATTTTTTGTAAGATTTCTTTGAGAAGATCAATACATACATTCCCTGTAAACTCCGAATGTATTATCTACCAACCCCCACCCCTGCCCAACCTTAGAGGAAGATGCTTTTCATGATCATGCCCTAAATTTGTAAAATACTTTAGGTAAATAATGTTTTTGTTTTGTTTTGTTTTTGAGACAGAGTCCTGCTCTGTCGCCCAGCCTGGAGTGCAGTGGCACGATCTCAGCTCACTGGAACCTCCGCCTCCCAGGTTTAAGCGATTCTCCTGCCTCAACCTCCCAAGTAGCTGGGTGCGTGCCACCATGCCCAGCTAACTTTTGTATTTTTAGTATAGACAGGGTTTCACCATGTTGGTCAGGCTGGTCTCGAACTCCTGACCTCGTGATCCGCCCACCTCGGCCGCCCAAAGTGCTAGGATTACAGGCGTGAGCCACCCCACCCGACCAGTAATGTGTTTTTATACACATTATCTCACTTGGCCTTCCCATTGAACAGATGAAGGAGAGTGGCTTGCCCGGAGTCACACAATTTACGTAGGTGCAGAACCCGAACTGCTAAATGCTGAGCTCTCTCCACAGTGCAGGGAATGTGGCCACTAGTAACTGCCTTAGAGACCAGGGATGAATGATGGTAACAGATATACACATAAATAACACGATAGGCCGGGCACAGTGGTGCATGCCTGTAATCCCAGCACTTTGGGAGGCCAAGGCTGGTGGATCACCTGAGCTCAGGAGTTCAAGACCAGCCTGACCAACATGGTGAAACCCATCTCTACTAAATACAAAAAATTAGCCAGGCGTGGTGGTGCATGCCTGTAATCCCAGCTACTTGGGAGGCTGAGGCAGGAAAATCGCTTGAACCCGGGAGATAGAGGTTGCAGTGAGCTGAGATTGCACCATTGTACTCCTGCCTGGGCAACAAGAGCAAAACTCCATCTCAAAAAAAAACAAAAAACACTGCAGATCACTCACTCTAAGCCTAGCACTGTGCTAGGCATTGTACGGGTCTTATTTAATAGCATATAACAATAGCATATAAGTAGCCATCATGGTTATTATCAGGAAATTAAGGTTTAACAAAGTTAGAAATTTGCCAAAGGTCGACACAGGAAATGGTAGATCTGGGATACAAACTCAGGCATACTCTTACCCAGTTCATCCTTAAACTGATAGAAATCCAATGGATTCCATGTTTAAGCTTCACTTCTTCCTCCACTCACTCTGGGGAATATGTCCTAGCACCCTCCCCAGTCCCCAGCAGGGCCCGGGCCTAAGGGGTAAGGTTCCTTGCATTCGAGGGCAGGTCCTTTAGAAATCTCCCTGCCCTACTCCTGCCCCCACACTCACCTGAGCAGTGTCATGGATCCAGTCCAGAAACTCAGCTACCTTGGCGTAGACACCTGGGTGATTGGGCTCTGCGCAGCCACGCCCCCAGCTGACCACCCCCACTAGGCGCCATGTGTCCCCATCTGGGCACACTAGGGGGCCCCCGCTATCTCCCTAAGGGATCCAGGCATGGAGACACAGAGAAACAGCCAGTTAGTTCTTCCTGATGGAGAGCACCAGACCACTATGGCAAGTGGAATCTCCTTACTGGGCCCCGCCTGCTTCTAGCTGAGATATCTGCTGGCCTCACCCCTCCTTAAACCCTTAGCATGAGCTCCAGACTTGCCTAGGTGCCCCTCCTTCTAGAGAGGCTGTCTCACACCACTGACAAGCTCAGACCAGGGCAGGGGGCCAAGTCACAGCAGGCCCCCTGCCCTCCCACCCCCACCTCCACTCCCACCCTCACCCCAGCCACCACAGGCCACACCTGGCATGCATCAGCCCTTCCGTCCAGGTAGCCAGCGCAAAGCATGCGGGGGGTGAGGGCTCCGCTGTACACGCAAGAGCTGTTGCAGAGCTGAGTGCTGAACAAGGGCACCACCGTGTCCTGGAGCATATCCGAGCTGTAAGCTATGAGAGACACCGAGAAAAACTGCAGGGCACAAAGCAAGGCCCAGGCAGGCAGAGCAGCAAGAGGGGAGGTAATTCGAAGTCCCAGAGACAGGGAGACCCAAAGAGGCGAGCCCAGGGTGGGAGCTGTGGACGCTGAGCAAGGAAGCAGTAGGCTATCGGACTTGGGGGCTGGGAGTGGGAAGAGCAGGAGGACTCACACATACACCAAATGTGAGACCATGGCGCTCCTGGGACAAGGGGAGGGGGAGTAAAAGGGTCTGGGTTTAGGGAAAACTTGCAGTAGATGTTCTCCCCAGAAAGGCCCAAGCAGGGGAGACTGGAGACCCTAGGCCTGACCAAGGGTGATGCCAGGGAAAAACAGGGCTGGCACTGTCATGTGGCCAGGGGATGTGGCCTTGCCTCACCCTGGGGAAGAATGCCTCCCACACCCGCCCCTGCACCGAGGGCCCAGGGAGCTGACTCACTATGGCTAGGGTGGGTGTGGCCCCAGCCAGACACCCAGCACCGCGAGCCCTTCGGAAAATGCTGTTCCTTGGCCGGCAGGCACACAGCGCCCACAGTGTCTGTAGAGAGGCACATGGTCCTGGTCCCCAGTCAGGCTTGGCTTCCCCCACTGCAGAGCCTGGGCGAAGGACCCAGGACTGGCAAGTCCTCCTCAGCCCCCTTCTCAAACAGTCCTGGCTCCTGGGTTCCACCAGCCAGGCCTCCTAGATGGCTATGCAAGTGGGGCACTGTCCCATCTTTGGGGTCCCCTGTCACAGAGGACAGCATGCAAACTGCAGTGTGCATGGCGCCCTCTATGGGTGGACAGGACCCATGCTGCCCCCTCCCCACACCTGGGGATGGAGTGGGGGTGAAAATTCTTTCAGGCCATGGGCACCCAACTTCTAATGAGGACAGTGTTTCCAAAAACGTGACATATCCCATGGGTGCAGCCATGCATGATTTTAGGTAGTACATAGGCACACTATTGAGTAAAGCATTCACTTGGGGAGAACGCCATGTCCTTTTCAATTCTCTTTCAGTCCCTCTAACCGCATCACAGAGAAAGACTTCATTTGGTGCTGGTCTGTGCCTTTCTTACTGCCTGCCGTCCTCCCACCAAACAGGAGACAGCACGCCCAGGTGCAGCAACTTCTGCAGCGGACTCAGCTACCTAGAACTTCCACACTGATTTCTTTTCATGCTACATATTTTTGTGGTTAGGATCTATTTATTATAAGTAACATAGGTTCTCTAGTTAGGTAAGTAATATAGGTTCTCTAACTAGAGATACTAATTATTATCTATTTACTATACCTATTTTGTATATTTAAATAGTAAATATGCTATTTACTTACTATACTATATAGTAAATATACTATTTATTATAACTAAATAAGTATATTTAAAAGAGAAATACTACTACAGTAGATACTCATGTAGTATCTACTACTTAGATACTAATATAGTCGTATTTTTCTTTTAAATACACTTATTTCGGTCAACTAAGAAAGTTTTCTTTTCCTTTTTTTTCTTTTTTTTTTTTTGAGACGGAGTCTTGCTTTGTCACCCAGGCTGGAGTGCAGTGGCATGATCTCAGCTCACTGCAATCTCTGCCTCCCAGGTTCAAGTGATCCTCCTGCCTCAGCCTCCCGAGTAGCTGGGACTACAGGCATGAGCTACCACACCCAGCTCATTTTTGTATTTTTAGTAGAGACGGGGTTTCACCATGTTGGCCAGGCTGGCCTTGAACTCCTGACCTCAAATGATCTGCCCACCTCACCCTCCCAAAGTGCTGGGATTACAGGCGTGAGCCGCCATGCCCAGCCTTAGAAATATCTGTTGAACGATAGTTCACGTATGTGATACAATTTGTGAAATGTGTATGGCAATGACTGTTATTTGGGAAACTTAAGGCTACAGGTAATGACGGGAGGAAGGAGTGTTAAGTATATGTGAACGTATATGTGTGTGTACAGTGTGCATGTTTGTGTGTGTGGTGTGTGTGCGCAAGTGTGTTCATGTGAGCACGTACATGTGAGCATGTGTGAATGCTCACGTGTGAGTCTATGTGCACATGACTGTGTGAGTGCATGTGTGTGTGTGTTTGTAGGTGAATGCCCACATGCACGTGTGTGTCGGGGAGAGTGGCTGCTGGTATAGCTCCAGCCTGGGCTCACGGGCAGGTGCAGCAGCAGGAGGAGCCCTGGCATCAGGCTTAGGAACTGTTTGCCACATGACCTTGAAGAGAGTTGCTTCCCTCCCTGCACTGCAGTGCTCTTGTCTGTATCTACCTGTTTCAACTATCTATCAGGGTTGTTACGAGGACTGAAAGAGAAGATATTTGAAAAAATGTATCTCATAAACTGTAACATGGCACCAAATGGCTAGGACCCGAGGCTAGCCTGGGGACAGGGGTGGAGCAGCCTATTGGTGGATGGGGCAGCTGCTTCAGACCTCAAGGCAAAGCCCACCTGCCCCCTAGCCATGAAATGGGTCTGAACCTCTTTTCCCAAAAGAGCCTGTACAAGAGTTGATAACAATTTCAGAACCAGATGATGCCAAAATTCACTAGTCCCAAAATAAATAGAATGTTTTAAGGTTTACAGTGTTCAGAGGAAACTTCAGAAATCAGCTCACCACTCTCCCACCCAGCCCCCGCCCTCTCTCGCCATAGTCTCCAGCCTGCCCACCCTCAAGCCAGTGCCGCACCTGAGAAGTTGAGAGCGGTCTGGAGCCTCAGGAGGGCGACGTCGTAGTCATGATTCTGGGCACTGTAGAGGGGGTGTGGGATAATCCTCTCCACCAGAGCCCCTTGGTGGGGCCTGACGGCACTGTGGCTGACCAGCCCCGCATGAACCCGCCAGCTGGACAGGCGGGCCAGCCTGAAACTGCACACAGGGGCCATGCTGAGCGGGGAAGGAAGGGGCAGAAGAGGTGTTCCTAAGCAAGGTAGCAGGTGGAGGAAGCTGGCCAGAGCAGCCATTGGTGGGGGGGCCGTCAGCAGGCGGTGAGCTCCCAGGCCCCACAGACTATGCCTCTTAGTATCACCCCAGCAGCCGGCAAGACACTGGGCATGCAGTAGGTGCTTAATAAATGCTGCAGGACTGATGGATAGAGAAGACTATGGGTCATCTGCAACCACCACTCCCTCTTTCCTGCATAACTTCCCTCCAAGTTTTATAACAAACACATAGAGGGCCTTGTGTTGGAAAAACTTCCCCTGGTCCCATCTCTCAACTTACTGTGTGTGATCATGGGAGAGGCACTTCTCCCTCTCAGCCTCGGTAAAATGGGGATTACACTCTCTGCCCTGTCCGGCACCAAGAGAAGATCAAAGAGCTCATTCACTCATCATTCATTCATTCCTCCAAGTCATATTTATTAAGCACCTACTATATTCCAGGGACTGTTCTAGACCCTGGGGACACAGCAGTGGATAAATCTACAAAGAGATTTAGTGGTAAATAAGACTGAGAGTCCCTGCTCCTGCAGAGCTTCCCATCTAAAGGGGAAGAAACATATTAACCAAATAATTACATGGAAAATGATTGAACCAAAGATAAGCCTGAAGAAACACAGGATACTGTGAATGTGAAAGTATTTTTAACACTTAAAAGCTAATGAGGCCAGGCACGGTGGCTCACGCCTGTTATCCCAGCACTTTGGGAGGCTGAGGCAGGCAGATCACCTGAGGTCAGGAGTTCGAGACCAGCCAGGCCAACATGGCGAAACCCCATCTCTACTAAAAATACAAAAAATTAGCTGAACATAGTGGTGCCCAGCTGAGGCACAAGAATCGCTTGAACCCAGGAGGTGAAGGTTGCAGTGAGCCAAGATTGCGCCACTGCACTCCAGCCTGGGCAACAAAGTGAGACTCTGTCTCAAAAAAAAAAAAAAAAAACTGATGAATATAAAGAACAAATCTTCATATTATTACTGTTATTTGTGCAGATCTGTTCTTGATACTGAATGAGAGAACTTCACAAACACCAGTCTTACCCTTTTGGAGCAAAAAGCTGGAGACAGTTGGACACGAACATTTGATACAGGACATACCAACAGCCGAACAGAAAGGGCAACTGAGGCTCTCTGTCCTCAGCAGCCACAGAGACTTGCCTGTGCATACAATGTGCAGCAGTCACCACCCAGCGTGGCGCTAGCACAGAGCCCCCACACGTGTGCCGGAAGCCCAGGGCCACGCTGGCCTGCCACGGCCAGCGCCCAGGAGCCACAGACTGCCCACCAACTATCCGGGAAGCCAGGGGCCTCGCTCCACACTCTGCCAACAGAGATGGGTGAGATAGAAAGAGAGAGAGAGGTGAGTGTCAGCATGGTCCTAACTCTCAGGAAGCGTGGCCCAGTGCTAAGCCCCAGAGAGCCAGTGTGGACAGCTCTCCTTTCTTATTCCTGGTCCTAAGTATGGGGGATGGGAAGGTAGAAGTGTTGATTTCACCCCTGCCTGCCCCATCCAGCTGTGGGCCCACTGAAAGCAGAAACTGTATCTGCACTAATGGAGCCCTAGTACCTAACAGAATGCCTGTCCTGTAGTAAAGGTCGAAGTGTTGGTGTGTGGAAGGATGTGTGAATGGACAGATGAAGAGACGGGTAGATGAACGGGAAGACCAATGAAAGGAACTCCACAGATTGCTTCCCGTTTGGTACCTGATTCACCACCTGCCCTTAGTTTCCTGAAGCTGCTAACAGGTCACTCAATAGCCAATAATAATTTCACCTCTGGGGCTTTCCAGAAGAAAGATGGAGTTGGTGTCAGAGGCCAAGGAAGAGAGTGGCAGGTAGTGAAGGAAGGAGATCATCAGCCCAGATCTGTGGCTGGTGAGGGACATGATGGAGGCTTAGAAAGGGTTCGGCTGGGGCAGAACAGCAACTGCAAGAAGGGGCCTGGCAGGCAGATGGGCAGGTGGGCAAGACCCCTACCCCAGGCCCAGCAGAGTCTCACCATAGGGCTCTTCCACACTTGAGGCAGGGGGAACACCCCTTCCTCTCACCGCCACCTCCCCTAGACCAAGATATGACTCACCAGAGCATCTGAGGGAAACAACTTGACCAGAAGTGCAGTTGTTCCTGCAAAACAGAGGTACCAACAAGAAGCTGGGCAGGGGCCGCCCTGCAGCCACACACATCCAAGGACGTGAAGAATGGGGGAGGCTGGTGGGGGTGGTGGACAGTTCTTAAGGCTGTCATGTAGCCACAGCCTGAAGAATACCACCATTTCCTTCCTGCCCCCACCCAAACACTCAGACCCCTCCTCATCAGTGGTCCCCAGGACAGGAGCACACCTCCTGCCTAGTCTCCCAGAGGGCAACAGAAGGACTTCATGGTCCTTGCAGATCAACTGGGACATAGTGTGTTTACAGATGAGAAAGCCACACTGTTCCCACTAAGTGTCCTGAATGAATACACACTCAATGAATGAATGAACGGATAGGTGAGTGTGTGGGTGACTAGGGTTCTTCACCCCATGCTCCTTCCTAGGTTTGCTGTATTCTCCACCCTGGTCCCTCTGCCTGGGCTTTGCATATTCATATTCTTGCTCTCCTCTTTCCCCTCTTCTCTCTTAGCTCTTAGTTCCTTTTTTGACCAAAACTCTCTTCTCTTTCTTTACTCACCTCTTGCCCCTAGCAGTCCAATGTCTAGACCCTCTTAGTTTCTCCTAGTTTCCCAAATCCATAGCCCTCCCGGCTCTCCTGGAGGAGTCAGCCCCACCCCTACTTCCATTTTCCCATTCAGGTATCCAAGACAAGAACCCTGTCAGAACCTTCCCAACTCCAGCCACATTCCTGAGCACAGGAGCTGGACAGGAGGGGCCTGAAGGAACAGTTCAAATTGGAAATGTGGTAATGGGGGTGCCCACCTTTCTATCCCAGGAGGCTGATAGGCAGATTGAGGAAGCCTAGGAAGGCACAAAGACCCTCTCCGCTTGTGCCCCAGTCATACCAAACCATCCCCAGGATCTGGGGAAGGGGCTGCTCCATTCCACAGCCCTCTTCTCTAGGAGACTCTCCAGACTACAAGCAACTCTTAGCCAGAGCAACTCAACCATCTCTTTCCTGAAATATCCGAATTATCCAAATAATGTGTGGCAGGATTCAGAGAGCACTTAGCTTGGAGACAGGAGCCTGGTTTCAAGGCTTGACTTAGCTGCTTATTACTTATGTGACCTTGGACAAGACTCTTTAACCTTATTAAGCCTCAGTTTCCTAACCTGTAAAATGGTGATGAGTACCATGTCAAATCTTGTGACAATAATAACCAACCCTACATTTCTTGTGAAGGGCAAATAGCAGATGTGAAGTGGTGACAGACAGGGCTCATGTGAACTGAGTTTGTAATTTCTAACTAGGAAATGTTCCTCTTTGTCCTCCTATCATAGGCCACCAGTGTCCTCCCCACCGGCATCCCAAGAAAGGAGATTTTTGCTGGATTGACCACCAGGAAGTAAGGGACCCCACTCACCTAACAGCCTCAGTAGTCCTACCTGGGCTGCCACGCCTCCTCCAGGAAGCCTCCCAGTCTAGGAGAGAGCTGAGCAAACTCCTGGGAACTGTTGAGTTTGATGTCAGTGAGGTTTACTCCCTTGTGGTGAGTGAGTCTTGGCAGAAGAAGGGAATAGAACAGGAGGAAATCATAACTGGAATATGTACGAGATATAATACTAGTATAGTGACCGCAAGACTGTGATAATGATTACTGCTGGGGTTTATGCTTGTTAAAAAGCAGTAATACTCCAAACAGAGAAATGGGCTGGGGCACCATTGTGCCCAGAGGCCAGAAGATGGCCAAAAAGACCTCTTGACATTTCCTGAGCACATTGACCAGTGACGGGCAGGTAGAGGTCTCCAATTCCCATCCCACACCAGCCAGGCCTCCCCCTTCACAGGACCCACATCTAACTCCTGTTACCTGAGATGCCCAAGGCTCCAGCAGATCTGCAGCCCCAGGGCGGGGCTCCAGCCCTCATGGCAGACCAGGAGCCAGCGTGGCTGATCCCTCACTTGCGCTTCCAGCAAGAAGTCTTCGCTGTTTATTCTGAAAGATACTGAAATCACAGCATGAAAACCACATGGGAGAGGATGGTGGTGGTAGGGTGGGACAGGAAGAGCTGGACCCAGGATTCTGTAGTACTTGAAGAGGCCTTAATGACAGCATCTGGATCACCCAGTGCCAAGTTCCCTGCTCCCCGGAGAGTGAGACCAGTCCCAAGAGCAGTATCACCCCTTTTGGTAGAGCATTTCAGTTTTCTATTTTAACCATGTGTTTTTAAGCGTGGTCTACCATTCATTGTCACAGCAGCCCTGTGCAATGAGTACTGCCATCCTCTCCATTCTGCAGAAGGAGAACTAAGGCATGGAGTTTAAGCAACTTCCCCAAGATCACAGTGTCAGGAAATGATGGATCCAGGACTTAGATCCAGGTCTTCTGATTTCAAATCTTGTGATAATAATAATTACCAGTTGTTGAGTGTATGCTTTTTCCAGGCTATTATGGACTGACTCATGTCCCCGCCCCCAAACACACACACACAAATTCATATGTTAAAGCCCCAACCCTCAATGTGACTGTATTTGGAGACAGGGCCTTTAAGAAGGTGATTAAGGTTAAATGAGGTCACGAGGGTGACGCCCTGATCCAATAGAGCCAGTGTCCTTATAAGAAGAGGAAGAGACACCAGAGAGCTCCCTCTCTCCTCAAGAGCAGAGGAAAGGCCCGGGGAGTACACAGGCAGAAGACAGCCATCTACAATCCAGGAAAAGAGCTCTCTCCTGAAACCGAATTCCACAGCACCTTGATCTTGGACTTCTAGCCACCAGAACGGTGAGAAAATAAATGTGGTTTAAACCACCCGGTCTGTGGTACTTAGTCATGGCAAACCAAACAGACTACTACACAAGTTCTGTGCTGATATCTTTTCTTAGATTAGTTTGTTTTATCCTTAAACAATTTGTGCAGTAAATATTTATATTTCCATTTTATGGAGAAGGAAACAGAAGCAACAAGAAGTAATGTGCCCAAAGTCACACAGTCAAAGACAGACTCCAACCTTATTCTAATGAGGTTATTCTAAGCCCCAGCCTCTGGACAGCATTGTACCTTCTGATCCCCAACTCTTACCTGGAGGGGAGGGGACAATCAGGAGAGGGAGAGTGGGGATGAGGTGGGCTGATGTTCCCAGGTCCCTAGGTGGCCCTGCTGGTCACACACTGGCTCCCACACACACACACCTGATCCCTCCTCCCCCATGTCCCTGGCTCACTCTGCCCCAAATGGCAAGTTTCCATCCCTCCTGCCAGCCTGGTCTCCGGACCTTGCCCCAGCTAGAGATCAGGACAGTCCTCAGGCAGTGCTGAAAGCCCCAAATCAGAGATCACTGCAAGGTGACACCTTGTCACTGCCCTCACACTAGAGGAGGGAAACACATATGGTTGGCAGTGAACAGATGGCCCTTCAGTGTCGGTTCTCTTGCCCTCAGCTGTGACAGGTCCCTGCTGGGGAGGGAGGCCCGTAGCCTTAGGGGTGCAGCCCACCTGTTTTGGGAAGTGCAGGGAGCAGAGCTTCCTCAGCGCTGGCCTCTGAGCAGCTCAAAGTTATCTCCTCATCCTGCAAGGTCCCGGAAATGGGCTGAGAGGCAGCAGGACACAGATACAGCACTTTAGAGAAGAACAAAGAGAAAGGGTCTGATTTCCAAAGGAAGGTGTCAAGGTGCTGACCTCCTCATCAGCCACCTTGCTCTCAGGCAGCTCCCCAACCAACCTGCTGAGGAGGGGCATAGCGCTCCATCTCTCTCGGCCTCAGCCTCTATCTCTGCCTCTTTGACTCTCCTTTGTCTGTCTGTCTCTCTCTCTCTCTCTCTCTCTCTCTCTCTCTCTCTCTCTCTCTCTCTCTCTCTCTCTCCCTCTCTCTCTCTCTCTCTCTGTCTCTCTCTCTCTCTAGCTGTCTCTCAGTATGTCTCTGTCTCTGTCTGTGTGTGTTCTCTCTGTGTCTCTCTCACTGGGAAAGATTTCCAGAAAAAGTCTGACTACGGCCTCCTTGGATCATACACTTTGTTCTTCTTTATGTAGAGCCTAGATCCCTCCTGCTGCAATTTCACCCTTTCTCCCCTTGTCTGCACAGAGTAGTTGAGGAAGACAGTTGTCCCATTTACCTTTAACACCTGCTCAGCACCTGCTTCTCCCTTCCAACCTCCCCCACACCAGAGAAAGGCCCCCAGCACTGACCTAGGAGCCATGAGCCAACACCTGCACCGGCCAGCAGCCCCAGGGCTCCCAGCACTGCACAGCCACGTCGCATGGAACGCCAGCACACTGCCTGAGAAACTGTGGGAAAGGGCAGAGGGGTATCTGGGTCCCCTGCTCCTGCCAGCCTGCCTTACTTCACCCTAAGTCACCACTATGGGGCTAGGCACCCACAGAGCTCCAACAGGACACCTCCTCCTGCCCCATCAGCCCAGATTAGGGAGGGAGTGGGGGCAGGGGAGGATGGAGAGGGCCTGATCACTGAAGCCCACAAATCCCACTCAATCCCTAAAGTGGGAAATGGGGAGCAGAAGCAGGTCTGGGGATAAAGAGTGAGACAGCCTCTCACCATCAATCATGTGGGGCTGACCCCAAGGAGGATCCGGGGAATGTAGGATGATTGCCCTCCACTGTCCCCACCCTGTCATTCCCCTATGGCCCAGTCTGGCCTACTGGGATGCTGCTGGTCTCCAGGCTCTGCTCTGAAGATCCCAGGTCCTGGGCCCTCCTCTGCATACTGGGCCTCCATAGGGGGTTGGTCATCCAGCATCAGGCTCTGGGGAAATAAGGGCCAGACACCCAGGATCCCCACATCAAGGACTGCTGAGAGAAGTCACAGCCCAGTCCAAGTCCCCATTCTTTAACCCCAGCCATGATTCCATTGCCACTTGTAAACCTCTACTCATCTTGGAGACTCCCTGTATATTCCCACAAATACCTTGCCAGGCTCCCCTGTGCCCTCCTGGGGCCCCTAACCCCAATGACCTTACTCTCACATGGCCAGTAGCAAACACTTGAATGCAGATTTGGCCCACTCCAAAGCCTGCACTCCTAGCCACTCCTTCATCTTCCATAAACATTGAAGGCATCTACTAAAGTCCCTCAACACACTCCTTCAGCTTCAAGATCCCACCCTTCTTCATTCCCTCCTATCTCAGAGGAAGAAGTGCCCCTCCACCATGCACCCACCCATCCACCCATTCATTCATTCCATAGATATTTGGTCCAAGTGCACAGGTCACTATAGGGGACACTATAGGGAGTTCAGAATAAACCAACGTGGACCACTCCCCACTCTGACTGTGTCAAAGAACCTGTAGTCTGGTCCTGAAGATAAGTCATGTAAAGCACTATATGTTAAGTGACAGAAGGAAAGTTCAGCTAAACTACCTGATATGGTTTAGCTGTGTCCCCACCCAAAATCTCATCTTGAATTGTAATCCAAATTGTAATCCCCATATGTTCGGGTAGGGACCTTGTGGGAGGTGATTAAATCATGGGGCTGGTTCCCAAATGTTGTTCTCATGATAGTGAGTGAGTTCTCACAAGATCTGATGGTTTTATATGGGGCTTTTTCCCTCTCCACTCTGCACTTCTCTCTCCTGCCACCAGTTGAAGAAGGACATGTTTGCTTCCCCTTCTGCCATGATTGTAAGTTTCCTGAGGCCTCCCAGCCATGAGGAACTGTGAGTCAATTAAACCTCTTTGCTTTATAAATTACTCAGTCTCCAGTAATTCTTTATAGCAGTGTGAGAACAAACTAATACAGTAAATTGGTGCTGCTGTAAAGATACCTAAATATGTGGAAGTGACTTTGGAATTGGGTAACAGGTAGAGGTTGGAATAGTTTGGAGGGTTCAGAAGAAGACAGGAAGATGTGGGAAAGTTTAGAACTTCCTAGAGACTTGTTAAATGGTTTTGACCAAAATACTGATAGTGATATGGACAATGAAGTCCAGGCTGAGGTGGTCTCAGATGGAGATGAGGAACGTCTTGGAAACTGAAGGAAAGGTGACTCTTGCTATGCTTTAGCAAAAAAGTGAAGCATTTTGCCCCTGCCCTAGAGATCTGTGGAACTTTGGTGGTTTTTTTTTGGCGGGGGGGGGTGTTTTGTTCAACTTTATTGAGGCATAATGCACACTCAAAATATTACATACATTTTAAGTTCTCAGATCAAAACTTTGACAAATGTGTACACCCACATGACCAACACAGTCAAAATATAGGACATGAAGGTCACCCCAGAAATTTTCCTTCTGCCTTTTTGCAGTTAACTCCTCCCCAACTCACAGCCCTGGAAAATCACTGATCTGTTTCTCTCACTGTATATTAGAGTTCCCTTTTTTATAGTTTCATATAAATGAAACCATGTGACATATAGTCTTTCTTTTTTTTTTAATTTTTTTATTTTACTTTAACTTCCAGGATACATGCACAGAACTTGCAGGTTTGTTACATAGGTATACATGTGCCGTGGTGGTTTGCTGCACCCATCAACCCGTCATCTAGGTTTTAAGCCCTGTATGCATTCGGTATTTGTCCTAATGCTCTCCCTCCCCTTGTCCCCCACCCCCAGTCAGGCCCCGGGGTGTGTTGTTCCCCTCCCCATGTCCATGTATTCTCACTGTTCAACTCCCATTATGAGTGAGAACATGTGGTGTTTCTGTGTTAGTCTGCTGAGAATAATGGCTTCCAGCTTCATCCATGTCCCTGCAGAGGACATTATCTCATTCTTTTTATGGCTGCATAGTATTCCATGGTGTATATGTGCCACATTTTCTTTATCCAGTCTATCATTGATGGGCATTTGAGTTGGTTCCAAGTCTTTGCTATTGTAAATAATGCTGCAATAAACATATGTGTGCATGTGTCTTTACAGTAAGATGATTTATAATCCTTTCAGTATATACACAGTAATGGGATTGCTGGGTCAAATGGTATTTCTGGTTCTAGATCACACTGTCATGAGATCTGTGGCTCTTTGGACTTGAGAGAGATGATTTAGGGTATCTGGCAGAAGAAATTTCTAAGCAGCAAAGTGTTCAAGAGGAAAGAGAGCATAAAAGGTTGGAAAATTTGTAGCCTGATGATGTGATAGAAAAGAAAACCCATTTTCTGAGGAGAAATTCCAGCCTGCTGCAGAAATTTGCATAAGTAATGAAGAGCTAAATGTTAATCACCAAGACAATGGGGAAAATATCTCCAGGGCATGTCAGAGACCCGCAGAGCAGTCCCTTCCATTACCAGACCAGAGGCCCAGGAGAGAAAAATGGTTTTGTGGGCCAGGCCAGGACCCCCTGTTCTGTGCAGCCTGAGACATGGTACTGTGTGTCCCAGCTGCATCAGCTCCAGCCATGGCTAAAAGGGGACAAGGTACAGCTCAGATCATTGCTTCAGAGGGTGCAAGCCCAAGCCTTGGCAGCCTCCTTGTGGTGTTGAGCCTGCGGGTGCACAGAAGTCAATAACTGAGGTTTGAAAACCTCCACCTAGATTTCAGAGGATGTATGGAAACACCTGGATGCCCTTGCAGATGTTTGCTACAGGGATGGAGCCCTCATGGAGATCCTCTGATAGGGCAGTATGGAAGGGAAATGTAGGGTTGGAGCCCCCACACAGAGTTCCCACTGGGGCACTGCCTAGTGGAGCTGTGAAAAGAAGGCCACCATCCTCCAGACCCCAGAATGGTAGATCCACCAACAGCTTGCACTGTGAGCCTGGAAAAGCTGCAGCCCATGAAAACAGCCAGAAGTGGGGCTGTGCCCTGCAAAGCCACAAGGGCAGAGCTGCCCAAGGCCATGGAAGCCCACCTCTTGCATCAGCGTGACCTGGATATAAGGCATGTAGTCAAAGGAGATCATTTTGGAACTTTAAGGTTTAACGACTGCCCTATTGGATTTCAGACTTGCATGGGGACTGTAACCTCTTTATTTTGACCAATTTCTCCCATTTGGAATAGGTGTATTTACCCAATGCCTGTATCCCATTGTATCTAGGAAGTAACTAACTTGCTTTTGATTTTACAGGCTCATAGGCAGAAGAGACTTGCCTTGTCTCAAATGAGACTTTGGACTTGGACTTTTGGGTTAATGCTGGAACGAGTTAAGACTTTGGGGGACTGTTGGAAAGGCATGATTGTGTTTTGAAATGAGGACATGAGATTTGGAAGGGACCAGGATAGAATGATATGATTTGGCTCTCCCCTCACCCACAATCTCATTTTGAATTGTAATTTTGAATTGTAATTACCACGCACTGGGGGAGGGACCTCATAGTAGGTGATTGGATCATGGGGGCAGTTCCCCTATGCTATTCTCATGATAGTGAGTGAGTTCTCACAAGATCTGATGGTTTTATAAGGGGATTTCCCCCTTTACTCTGCACTTCTTTCTCCTGCCAGCATGTGAAGAAGAGTGTGTTTGCTTCCCCTTCCACCATGATCATAAGTTTCCTGAGGCTTCCCCAGCCATGCAGAACTATGAGTCAATTAAATCTCTTTCCTTTATAAATTACCCAGTCTCAGGCAGTTCTTCATAGCAGTGTGAGAACAGACTAATACACTACCATCATCATTCAAAAGAATAAGGGCTTACTTCTCATTGAGGTGATCACAGAAGGCTTCCTAGAAAAAGCAGCCTCTGAGACAGGCCCACAGGGATGAAGAGGGTTTGAGCTGATATAATGGGCATTGGGCAGTCCAGACAAAGAGGATTGAATCAGCAAAGGCAAAGGGATAAGAAAGCATAGAGCAGAGTATGTCATATGTGTGTCTGCAGCTCATGAGCCATGAAGAGGAGTAATGAAAATAAGATCTTAAAAAAAACACCAGACAGTTCAAAGCTAAGTCTGCAACCTACTATGTGAACTTGGACAACTCAGGCCATCTCTTCAAATTTCAATTTTCTCATTTGTAAAATAAGAGTAATAACTCCTGCTTTCCAAGGAATAATCTCCCTCCTCGAGTATCTTGTCTCTCTCTGTTATTCTCCATGCCATAAAGTCAGAGTAATCTTTCTAAAATGCAAATATGAGCATGTGAGCCCCATCTCTACCCCATGAGTCTTTGTGGCCTTCAGGATCAAACAGGAGCTCCATGGCATCGCTCACAAAGTCCTCCATGATCTCGCCTGGCCTCACCTCTCCATCCTCACTGCCAGCACTTGCTCCCTCCACAGCAAAATTTGGGATCACACTGACATACGTGCCATACTTCAGTGCCTTCAGGCACTCTCACAACAGAGAGACTTTGCATCTGCTCTCCCCTTTCCCATGTAACTGACTCCAACTGACCCTTCGAGACTCAGCACAGACATCACTTCTCCAGGAAGCTTCCTTCTATGCATACAGCACCTGTTGGGCCCTATATTGTGCTCATTTACTTCCTTCTCTCTCCTTTCTCACTGGTTTTTGCATCCCAGGGCTAAGCACAGAGCCTGGCACAAAGTGGGAATTCAGTTAAAGTACATTAAAGGAGGGAAGGAAAGAAGGGAGGGGGGAGGGAGAGACAGAGGGGGAGGTACAAATAAGATAATGTGAATTAAAATGACTTTAAAAATTGTAAAGCCCAATACAAATGTTAAGTATAATAATATTAATAAGAACTACACCTAAGCTGTGGATCCTTCCCCCCAAAATTTATAATCCAGTAGGGTAGATAAGATCTCTCAAAACTGAAGCAACTCCCGTTTCCCCTGCAGACTACTGTCTCCCCTGCATCTTTCCCTGTCAACACATAGGGTTGTACCCAATGAGGATAAAAGCCTGAAATGCTGACTCCAGGACAGTATTGGCTTAAATGTGATTTTCATGTGTCACATGAAATGTTCTTTTCACGCCAAAACCTCCCCAGTCATGCCTTCGTACTCCACTGAACTGTCTTCCTAACCCTCCAGCAGGAGGAAGGAAAGACTTTGTCAGACTCACCTAGGTCAGTCACCTCCAAATTGCCCCGAAAATCATTCCACTGGACCCAGAGCACCCATGCCAGTTCAGCTCACAGACAGCGCAGCAGCCCCAACATCTTGCCTATAGAAAGAGGTACCAGCCCCACCTCCCTATTCCCTACACCAGCCACAGCCCAGGACCTATAGGACTGGACCTCCCAAGAGCTGCAGGCCTTGCTTTTCCAGGAGAAACAGAGGTCATGGTTTGTATCAAACCACACACATTCTTTCTTGTGCCTACAGATGAGACTCACAGGACACAGGCAGTGAGGCTGCAGGACAGCAGGCTTGGGAGAGCCAGTCAAGCACCCATAAGATAGTAGAGAAGCAGCAACAGAAGGTGAGGTTTGGATTTCTTCTCTGGGGTTGTGTGATTGCTCTTGAGCTGATGTCCCTCTGAGTGGAGAGGCAGGCCTGATCTAGAGAGAATTCCAGGGCATGGCCAGTCTTTTCTTCTGCCTCAGTACCAAGGAAGCTTGGCTTTAAACCCAGCCTCTGAATAAACTGGCCTCACCTCATGTACTGCTCCACCTCAAAATTCAACTGCCCAAGCTCATGTGCTAGCCTAGAAAAAAAAATGGCCTTTAAAATTACAGGACTCCTTGCTCCTCTTTTTGAGTGGAAGTTCAACGTAATAACGATTTGTTGAGCACCACATATGTGCAAAGCACTTGATAGATCTAAGAGGGATGAAAGAGGATAATAAAGGGCAGTCCCTGGGGAGGAAACAGGAAATTGGCCACACAGGGCCCCTGCTAGGATCCAGCCCCTGTACCAGAGCTGCCTCAGGAGGCTCTTTCCACCAGCCTAGAATCCCAAGGGCAGAGGAGGGAGAGAGAAAGAAAGAGAGAGAGGCCACAGCAGGGATGGCACAGAGACGTAACCTTACCATAGGGGTCAGTGGCACTGTTGTAAAGCCTCAGGGTCTACTAGGCAATGTTCCGCTCCTGTTCTCAGGCCAGCATTGATTAAAGCTAGCCCAGCAAGCTTGGTTGGAAGATGAGGTCTCCCTGGTTCGCACATGGCCCCTCCCTGTATCCCTACTCCAACACTCACACAGACACGCGCCACAGAGACAATGAACTCTGCTGAGGACCCATGAATAGGCCCCTTGTTGCAGGAAAGGGGGACAAGGGCTGGGCTGGGCTAGGCAACCCCAGCCCCTCCCATCTGCTAACTGGAAACTCAGAAACAGAGGAAAAGGTTATGGGGAGGAGGGGAGGCCAACTACTGTTGCTTAGCAACAAGGTCCCTTGTGCCAAAAAGTGTGCCCCATGCATGCATGCTGGCAGAATTCTCCCTTCCTGCTGACAGAGCTGTATTGGAGAGACCGATATTAGCATTTGTTGAAATGTTTCTGAGCCCTCTGGATTTTATCTCGCCTCCATGTGGGTTGGCTTTTCTAGCAGTCTGGGGCTGTCACCATGTTGGAATTGTTGGGGTGATGATGGAAGATCTTTGTCACCTCTTGCCCGAGGGCCACATCTGTCTCCCCAATGCCAGGGAAGTGGGGCCTCTACCCCTGTCTGCCCTGGGAGCCAGTTGCAGCAGGAGCCCTCAGTGCTATCTTGTTTCAAAGCACAAGGTGACCCAAGTGAGCCCACACGGGGCTAAACACACCTGGGAGCAGGCACATCTCTTTAGACAAGGAGGCAGAATAGGTCCTGGGGAAGGCAAACACAGGTGGGGCTTCCTTTCCTCCAACTGGCTGCTCAAAAACCCCTCAGAAGGGACAGTTAAGAATATAGGCTTTAGAGTCAGGCCTTCATCCAACCTCAGTTCTCCCACTTCCCTTACTCAGCCTCACCTGTAAAATGAGGATAATAGTACATGCCTCATAGGGTTGATGTCAGAATTCATTGAGATATTGCCTATAAAGCCCATAGCCTGGTGTCTAGCACAGACTGTATTCAGCAAACAGTAGCTGCTATTATTATTGTTGTTGTTGTTGTTGTTGTTGTTGCTGAATGTCACCCACACAGGATTTAACTTTTTGCTCCCTATTTTCCTCATACACTGTATTAGTCAATTCTTGCACTGCTATAAATAAATACCTAAGACTGGACAATTTCAAGAGAAAAGAAGTTCTCACTGTTCCACAGGCTGTACAGGAAGCACAGTGACTTCTGCTTCTGGGGAGGCCTCAGGAAGCTTCCAATCATGGTGAAAGAAAAAGGGGGAGCAAGGCCTCTAACATGGCAGGAGCAAGAGCAAGAGAGAGAAGGGGGAGGTGCCACACACTTTTAAACAACCAGATCTCATGAGAACTCTATCACGAGAATAGCACCAAGTGGATGATGAATCATGAAGGTTTCTTGATCATGAAGGATCCACTCCCATGATCAAATCACCTCCCATCAGAGTCCACTTTTAACATTGAGGATTATAATTTGACATGAGATTTGGGTTGGGACACAGATCCAAACCATATCATACACTCAGTGTGTCAATTCTGAACTTACTCTCATCACACCAGAGCACACATAAGACAATGAAGAGATAGAGGTCAGCTGTGAATTATAGAAGAAGGAGAGAAATGGTGGCTGGAACTCAGAAGCCCTTGGCTAGGCTCTGAGGTCTCCTAGGACAATACTCTTCAGACTACAAACCTGAATATCTACCGTGTGTCAGAAACTAGCCTGGGCATGGAGGATGAACAAGTCACAGACTGGGTGCTTACAGACTGGAAAAAGGGATAGAAACAGATGTAAGTAACTGTTATTATGAAAAGTGAAATAACAAAGACATAAACCCAGAGGTATAGGAGAATAGAGGAATAGCTGCCCTGAGGATACAAAGAAGAGGGCTTTGCAATGGAGGAGACATTTGAACTGAGTTTTGAGAAGTGACAAAGCAATCACAAAGAAGGGTAATTAAAATATATTGCACGTAATGTCAATGAAAATGGTAGGAGTAAAATCCTCTGAAAATTTCCTCCCCCCTAAAAGCAATGAGAAAAATGGCAAAAAATGGTGAGAATCAATTTTTTCAGAACTCTGGAAATTAATCAAAAGTTTATAGCAATCTGGGAAGTCTTCGTTCAAGAAAAAAAATGACATAATTATAGAAAGAAGAGTGAGCCTTGTGGCATTTTAACTTGCTCCAATTCCATCCCCCTCACCCCAACTCTGCAGTAGCTTTGAAAACCAACAAACCACAATCATCATGGAAACCAGCAGCCTGGCAGCTACAAGAAGGGGTAGAACAGCCTTGGAGTTCCTTCAAAGCCTCATTCCCAGAGAGTTGTAATTATTTGACCTGTCTAGTGGTTCCCTGGAAGATACCATTTGCAAGACTGTCTTTATTTCACCTGTCTCAAAGCTTGCCTGGAGTGAACAGCTTTTTCCTTAAGGGTATTTGTTGAAAACAACTAGAGACAATTGTTGGACTTTGTGGCTGCCTAAAACAATGGATAACAGTTGAGGCAAAAAAAAAAAAAGGGCTAAACAAAAAGCTTAAAAAGAAAATGTGGGGGAATAAAATATCTATAAAGGGCCTTGAAAGGCTCTGAAATATCCCAAGGAATATAGAAAGCCATATGTACGCACAGGAGGGTGCACATGCCCAGGGCTGTGCACATGTGCAGGAAAAACTAAGGAAGGTCCTGAGCTCTCACCCTGGGCTAAGCTTAAGGCTCTGCACAAGCAGGAAGGCTAAGGTGGAGTTGTCAATGTCCTGTCTGAGAGTTGAAGGCATGTCCCAACATACACACAGAGCCACTCTGCAAAAACAAGGTGACTTATTGGTCTCAAGCATCAAGAAACTCTCTGTCTAATTACTAGCTGAACACTAAGCAGAGAGAGATTTCAGTGGCCACACATGACAAAAAACACAGACTTTGCAGAATTAGCTCAGAAAAGTCACTAAACACACAAAGAAGCAACATCAACAACAACAAACCCTGAGGAAGGGAGAGAAGGTTATTTCCAAAGTTGCTGTATTATATTATGTTATTTAAAATGCAGTTTTCAATAAGAAATTATGAGGCACACAAAGAAACAAGAAAGTAAGGCACATACACCGGGGGAAAAAATAATTGATAAAAACTGTCCCTGAAGCCCATATATTGAACTTATAAGATGAAAACTTTAAATCAGCTATTCTATATACATTCAAAGAAGTAAAGAAAACCATATCCAAAGAACTAGAAAAAGGTATGAGAATAATATCTTATCAGGTAATGAATATCAACAAGGAGATAGAAATTATATATTTTTTTCAAGAACCAAATATAAATTCTGGAGTTGAGTAGTATGATAGCTGAAATGAAAAATTTACTAGAAGGGCTCAACAGCAGATCTGAGCAGGCAGAAGAAAGAATCTGTGAATTAAAGATATGTAAATTGATATTATACAGTCTAAGGGATAGAAAGGAAAAAAGAATGGAGAAAAATGAACAAAGGTTCAGAGACATTTGAGATAACATCAAAAATATGTAGTGTGTGTGTGTGTGTGTGTGTGTGTGTGTGTGTACGTGTGTGTAATGAGAATCCAAGAAAGAGAAGAGAGAGGAAGCAGAAATAATATTTGAAAAAATAATGACCAAAAACTTTACAAATTTGATGAAAAATATTAATCTGCACATGCAAAAAAACTCAATAAACTTCAAATAGGATACATCAAAGAGATCCACACGTAAACACATCATAATCAAATTGTTTAAGGCCAAAGACAAGAAAGATTCTTGGAAGCAGCATGAGGAAAGCAACTTATCACATACGAAGGGATCTTCAATCAACAGTTTAACAGTTAAGAGTTGGCTTCTCATCAGAAACCATGGAAGCCAGAATGGCATATTCAATTCCTTAAAGAAAAAGATTGTCAACCAAAATTCTGTATCTAGCAAAACTACCCTTCAAAAGTGAAATAGTAATTTAGATAATCTCAGATAGACAAAAACTAAGAGAATGCATTGCTAGCAAACCTGTCCTACAAGAAATACAGTCATGTGCCACATGACAGTCAACAATGTACCACATATTCAACAGTGGTCCCACAAGATTATAATGAAGCTTTTATACTGTATTTTTAATGTATCTTTCCTATGTTTAGATACATAAATACTTAGTATTGTGTTACAGTTGCCTTCAGTACTCAGTATGGTAATATGCTATCCAGGTTTGTAGCCTCAGAGCAGTAGACTATGCCACATAGCCTAGGTGTGTAGTAGGCTATACCATCTAGGTTTGTGTAAGTACACTCTATTTCACACAATGACAAAATCGCCTAACAACACAGTTCTCAGAATGTATCTCCTTCATTAAGTGATGCATGACTATACTAAAGGGAGTCCTTTAGGCTGAAATAAAAAGATATAAGACAGTAACTTGAATCCACATTAAGAAATAAAAAATGCTAGTAAAGGAAAGTATATAGGTAAACATAAAAGACAGTATAAATGCATTTTTTTGTTTGTAATTCTTTTTGTTCTCTCATCTGACTTTAAAGACAATTGCATAAAGCCATAATTATAAATCTGTATTGATGGGTATATGGTGCAAAAATATATAATTTGTATGACAATACAGCACAAAGTAAGAAAAGAATGGAAGTAATAAGAGCAAAGATTTTTATACTATTAAAATTAAATTGGTATTAATCTGAATGGATTGTTATAATTTAAAATGTTAATTGAAATTATCAGGCTACTAAGAAAATAACTTAAAATGTATATAGTAAAAGAAATGACAGAGGAGTTAAAATGGAACACTAGAAAATAACTGTTTAACACAAGGCAGAAATGAAACAAAAACACATAAGACATATAAAAAACAAATAGCAATATAATAGACATAAATCCTACCTTATCAGTAGTTACACTAAGTGTAAATGGATGAAACTCTTCAATTAAAAGGTAGAAATTGGCAGAATGAATTTTTAAAGCCATGATCAAGCTATATACTATATATAAGAGACATATTTTAGTTTTAAAGACAAAATACGTTGAAGGCAAAGGGTGGAAAAAGAGGTTCCATGTACACAGAAACCAAAAGAGAGCTGGAATAACTATAATAATATCAGACAAAATAGACTTTAAGACAAAAATCATTGTGAGAGACAAAGTAGGACATTTTATAATGATAAAAGAGTTAATCCTGCCAGGCACGTTGGCTCACACCTGTAATCCCAGCACTTTGGAGGGCTGAGGTGGGTGGATCACTTGAGGGCAGGAGTTCAAGACCAGCCTGACCAATATGATGAAACCCCTTCTCTACTAAATATACAAAAATTAGCCAGGTATGTGGCATGCACCTGTTATCCCAGCTACTCAGGAGGTTGAGGTGGGAGAATCACTTGAGCCCAGGAGACAGAGTTTGCAGTGAGCTGAGATCGTGCCACTATACTCCATTCTGGGTGACAGAGATAGACTCCATCTTGAAAAAAAAAAAGAGTCATTTTCTGTGGGGCACTGCCCGGTGGCTCTGGCCCCATGGGGCCATTGGCCCAGCTTGCCATTCCCTGAGCTCCGGTGGCCCATTGTTGGAGGAGCTGTTCGCCCAGGGCAGGCCCTTGTGGACCTTTCTCAAGCTCCAGGCGGGGTCTGAGGCCCATTTGAAGGTCAGGAGGCCCGAGCTGGTGACAGTGGTAAAACTGCTGAACGAGAAGGAGCAGGAGCTGCAGGAGACCGAGCACTTGCTGCACCATGAGAATGAAGATTTAAGGAAACTTGCAGAGAATGAAATAACTTTGTGTCAAAAAGAAATAACTCAGCTGAAGCATCAGAAGAAACAGATGAAAATGATTTGATCCTGGAAGTAACTGCAGGAGTTGGAGGTCAGGAGGCAATGTTGTTTACTTCAGAGATATTTGATAGGTATCAGCAATATGCTGCATTTAAAAGATGACATTTTGAAACCCTGGAATATTTTCCAAGTGAAATAGGTGGCCGTAGACATGCGTCTGCCAGCACTGGGGGTTCAGAAGTCTATAGGCACATGAAATTTGAAGGAGGTGTGCACAGAGTACAAAGAGTGCCAAAGACAGAAAAGCAAGGCTGCATCCATACTAGCACCATGACAGTAGCAATATTACCCCAGCCTACTGAGATTAATTAATTGAATTGATCCCTTTACCATTATGTAATGGCCTTCTTTGTCTCTTTTGATCTTTGTTGGTTTAAAGTCTGTTTTATCAGAGACTAGGATTGCAACCCCTGCTTTTTTTTGCTTTCCATTTGCTTGGTAGATCTTCCTCCATCCGTTTATTTTGAGCCTATGTGTGTCTCTGCACGTGAGATGGGTCTCCTGAATACAGCACACTGATGGGTCTTGACTATTTATCCAATTTGCCAGTCTGTGTCTTTTAATTGGGGCATTTAGCCCATTTACATTTAAGGTCAATATTGTTATGTGTGAATTTGATCCTGTCATTATGATGTTAGCTGGTTATTTTGCCCGTTAGTTGATTCAGTTTCTTCCTAGCATCGATGGTCTTTACAATTTGGCATGTTTTTGCAGTGGCTGGTACCAGTTGTTCCTTTCCATGTTTATTGCTTCCTTCAGGAGCTTTTGTAAGGCAGGCCTGGTGGTGACAAAATCTCTCAGCATTTGCTTGTCTGTAAAGGATTTTATTTCTCCTTCACTTATGAAGCTTAGTTTGGCTGGATATGAAATTTCCGGGTTGAAAATTCTTTTCTTTAAGAATGTTGAATATTGGCCCCCACTCTCTTCTGGCTTGTAGAGTTTCTGTCGAGAGATCCGCTGTTAGTCTGATGGGTTTCCCTTTGTGGGTAACCTGACCTTTCTCTCTGGTTGCCCTTAGCATTTTTTCCTTCATTTCAACCTTGGTGAATCTGACAATTACGTGTCTTGGGGTGCTCTTCTCGAGGAGTATCTTTGTGGTGTTCTCTGTATTTCCTAAATTTGAATGTTGGCCTGCCTTGCTAGGTTGGGGAAGTTCTCCTGGATGATATCCTGAACAGTGTTTTCCAACTTGGTTCCATTCTCCCTGTCACTTTCAGCTACACCAATCAAACATAGATTTGGTCTTTTCACATAGTCCCATATTTCTTGGAGGATTTGTTCATTTCTTTTTACTCTTTTTTCTCTAAACTTCTCTTCTCATTTTATTTCATTAATTTGATCTTCAATAACTGATACCCTTTCTTCCACTTGATCGAATCGGCTATTGAAGCTTGTGCGTGCATCACGTAGTTCTTGCACCATGGTTTTCAGCTCCGTCAGGTCATTTAAGATCTTCTCTACACTGTTTATTCTAGTTAACCATTCATCTAATCTTTTTTCAAGGTTTTTAGCTTCCTTGCAATGGGTTAGAACATCCTCCTTTAGCTCAGAGAAGTTTCTTATTACCGACCTTCTGAAGCCTATTTCTGTCAACTCGTCATTCTCCATCCAGCTTTGTTCTGTTGCTGGCAAGGAGGTGCAATCCTTTGGAGTGGAAGAGGTGCTCTGGTTTTTAGAATTTTCAGTTTTTCTGCTCTGGTTTCTCCCCATCTTTGTGGTTTTATCTACCTTTGGTCTTTGATGTTGGTGACCTACAGATGAGGTTTTGGTGTGGATGTCCTTTTTGTTGATGTTGATGCTATTGCTTTCTGTTTGTTAGTTTTCCTTCTAACAGTCAGGTCCCTCAGCTGCAGGTCTGTTGGAGTTTGCTGGAGGTCCACTCCAGACCCTGTTTGCCTGGGTATCACCAGCAGAGGCGGCAGAACAGCAAATATTGCTACCTGATCCTTCCTCTGAAAGCTTCATCCCAGAGGGGCACTCACCTGTAGGAGGTATCAGTCGGCCCCTACTGGGAGGTGTCTCTCAGTTAGGCTACACACGGGTCAGGGACCCACTTGAGGAGGCAGTCTGTCCTTTCTCAGAGCTCAAACACTGTGCTGGGAGAACCACTGCTGTCTTCAGAGCTGTCAGACAGGGATGTTTAAGTCTGCAGAAGTTTCTGCTGCCTTTTGTTCTGCTATGCCCTGCCACCAGAGGTGGAGTCTACAGAGGCAGCAGGTCTTGGTGAGCTGCGGTGGGCTCCCCCCAGTTCAAGCTTCCCCGGCCACTTTGTTTACCTACTCAAGCCTCAGCAATGGCAGACGCCCCTCCCCCTGCCAGACTGCTGCCTCACAGGTCAATCTCAGACTGCTGCGCTTGCAGTGAGCAAGGCTCTGTGGGCGTGTGACCCACCAAGTCACGCATGGGATATAATCTTCTGGTGTGCCGTTTGCTAAGATCATTGGAAAAGCGCAGAATTAGGCAGGACTGCCCCGTTTTTCCAGGTACAGTCTGTCACAGCTTCCCTTGGCTAGGAAAGGGAAATCTCCTGACCCCTTGTGCTTCCTGGGTAAGGCGATGCCCCGCCCTGCTTTGGCTCCCACTCCATGGGCTGCACCCACTGTCCAACCAGTCCCAATGAGATGAACCAGGTACCTCAGTTGGAAATGCAGAAATCACCCATCTTCTGCGTTGATCATGCTGGGAGCTGCAGACCAGAACTGTTCCTATTCAGCCATCTTGGAATGGAGAAAGAATATAGCAGCTTAGTTCTTGACCAGTTTGGTCCTCTGTCTGCCCCTTTCATCTAGATTCTCCCTCAAGAAGGCTGGTAGTGGCTTGGGTGCTTAGTGGGGAGATCTCATATCACTTTTACACAAGTCTTGGCAGCCAGCATCCTCCCTAACTCAGCCCCCAGCTCTGGCCATTCTCATTACCATCAGGCTGGCTGTGACTTAATCATTCTGGAGGAGGCTGTATTCAAACCTTTGGTTTCTAGTATAACACAAGTTATCCTAGAATAGGCCCTATTAAACCCCTTGGTTTCTAGGTTTCTAAGGATAATATAGCAATTTTTATGTAGATTCTAATTTCTATTAACCTGGGTAATGAAAATGGAAAGGGGTCACTAAAGACTCCAAAATAATGATTAAAACAAACTACAGCCAACTGTCAATTATCCAAAGAGGAATTAAAACATGGAAACTATGAATACATTGTAGTCCCTGCTCTCAAAGGAGTTTATAATCCACTTGAGATGACAAACAAATACACCAAAGGGAGTGACCTGAGAGGATAGGTGGTAAAAGTAGATAGTGTGGGCTCAAATAGAATCAGCAGCCCTGAGTTCCACAGTGTCATGCTGAGGTCATGGTTTACACTGACCGTATTGAAACCCTAACCCTGGGAATAGTGCATGGTAGCATCTGCAGGCTGACAGTACCTAACCAGCCCTGAAGGAGTGGCTCAGAAGTCAGGTTCTGCTGGAGGGACAGGGTTTGGAAAGAGCTGGCAGAGGAATGACAGAAGGTCACCAGGGAAAGGAAGGCTGAGACAGGCCTATTTCCAAATTTTCCAGGGCAAGCTCTAGCCAGTGAACCCTGAGTTTGCTCTGGACTTGGTTTTTCCTATTGAAGATACCCAAGAAAGCATCAGGCAACATGACTGATCTTTTCCCTCACAGTTTTGGCCCCCAGGCCAATGGCTCTTAACCCTGGGTGGTTCACTGGAATCCCCTGGGAAGCTTGATACTAAAACAGTCATCCCTTGGCCCTATTTGAAACTCCCTGAAACATCACCCCTCTAAATGGGGGTCCTTGTGTCTGTTTTTACCCTGGTGATTCTGGGGAAGCAACATCTCAGCTAAGCTTCTCAGTCTTCTTTAGGCCTAGTAGGAGCAGCAGGAATTGGAGGAGGGAAAGTTGTGTCACAAAAGAGTTATTTTTAAAATCATCAGTTACCCTGAGTATCTTTCCATGGTATATGGTGTGCCATTACCTTGGACAGACTTACATCATCTTTGTAAAAAGAGCTGTGTTCCTCCATCAGCTGCCACACAGCCAAAATTCTACTCAAAGAGATCCATTGTGTTGGAGTGAGGCATTGTGTCTCCAGTGTCTAGCACAGTCTGGTACATATTAAGCGTATAGGCCAGGATAGGCCAGGTTATGCTGTAGTAGGGAGCACCTCCCAGGTCACAGTGGCTTAAAACAACAAAGGTTTATTTCTTACCTATGCTTCAGGTTCACAGGGATCAAGCTGGGGACTTTTGTCCACATATCCTCAGTTAAAAACCCAAACAATAGAGTAGCCTCCATCTGGAATGTTACTGGTCACAGTGGCTGAAAGAAAGAGGGTTCTGGAGGACTTCACACTGGAAATTAAATGTTCTGGCCACTTTCAGTTCATTAGCCCAAGATGTCACATGCTTCTGCCCAACCATGAGGAGACCATGAAAATGCAATCCTACAATATGCAGCGAAGCACAGAGCCAGAAATACATGAACAGCACTAGTAACTACCACAATGGGTATTCAGTAAATATTTGTAAAATAAAATAATGGATGAGCAGAAATCACCTTACAAGACAAGGTCATTAAGTCCACCTTTAACCCGCAATGACATTTTTTTTTTTCCCCTGGGATAAGAAAGAGGTAAGTGAAAGCAGGACTAAATGATTGAGCACACAGCTCTCCATCTTCTTTGTCACCCTGGTTGGCACAGCCCGTAGGGACTCTGGCTGGCCCTCTTCTCTCTGTAAGAGTCCCACTTCTGGAAAAAGGTAGCTCAGTTGCCCTGAGCCTCTGTAAGTCATGTTTGAGTAGTGTGAGAGATGGCTCTGGTGTTGCATGACAGTGGAATACTCACAATTATAGGGCGATCAGGAGCTGCTGAAACCAGCTCTGCTCTCCTTCAAGAGCAGATTTTAGATTAACCAGAGCTGGTTTCTTTCTCCCTGACTACCCAATTCACTGCTATCCCTATCAAGCTACCATTGACTTTCTCCACAGAATTAGAAAAAACTACTTTAAATTTCATATGGAACTAAAAAAGAGCCCACATAGCCAAGACAATCCTAAGCAAAAAGAACAAAGCTGGAGGCATCACACTACTTGATTTCAAAATATACTACAAAGCTACAGTAACCAAAACAGCATGTTACTGGTACAAAAACAGATATACAGACTGATGGGACAGAACAGGGGCCTCAGAAATAACACCACACATCTACAACCATCTGATCTTTGACAAACCTGACAAAAACAAGCAATGGGGAAAGGATTCCCTACTTAAAATGGTGTTGGGAAAACTGGCTAGCCATATGCAGAAAACTGAAACTGGACCCCTTCCTTACACATTTACACAAAAATTAACTCAAGCTGGATTAAAGACTTAAATGTAAAACCCAAAACCATAAAAAAAATTAGAAGAAAACCTAGGCAATACCATTTAGGACATAAGCATGGGCAAAGACTTCATGACTAAAATGCCAAAAGCAAGGGCAACGAAAGCCAAAATTGACAAATGGGATCTAATTCAATGAAAGAGCTTCTGCACAGCAAAAGAAACTACCATCAGAGTGAACAGGCAACCTACAAAATGGGAGAAAATTTTTGCAATCTACCCATCTGACAAAGGGCTAACATCCAGAATCTACAAGGAACTTAAACAAATCTACAAGAAAAAAACAAACAAACCCATCAAAAAGTGGGCGAAGGATATGAACAGACACTTCTCAAAAGAAGACATCTACGCAGCCAACAAACATGAAAAAATGCTCATCATTACTGGTCATTAGAGAAATGCAAATCGAAACCACAATGAGATACCATCTCACACCACTTAGAATGGCGATCATTAAAAAGTCAGGAAGCAACAGATGCTGGAGAGGATGTGGAGAAATAGGAACGCTTTTACACTGTTATTGGGAGTGTAAATTATTTCAACCATTGTGGAAGACAGTGTGGCGATTCCTCAAGGATCTAGAACCAGAAACACCATTAGACCCAGCAATCCCATTACTGGGTATATACCCAAAGGATGATAAATTGTTCTACTATAAAGACACATGCACACATATGTTCATTGCAGCACTATTCACAATAGCAAAGACTTGGAACCAACCGAAATGCCTAACAATGATAGACTGGATAAAGAAAATGTGGCACATATACACCATGGAATACTGTGCAGCCATAAAAATGGGTGAGCTCATGTCCTTTGCAGGGACATGGATGCAGCTGGAAACCATCATTCTCAGCAAACTAACACAGGAACAGAAAACCAAACACCACATATTCTCACTCATAAGTGGGAGTTGAACAATGAGAACACATGGACACAGGGAGGGGAACATCACACACTGGGGCCTGTCGGGGGTTGGGGGACTAGAGGAGGGATAGCATTCGGAGAAATACCTAATGGGTATTGGGTTGATGGGTGCAGCAAACCACCATGGCACGTGTATACCTATGTGACAAACATCCACATTCTGCACATGTATCCCAGAATTTAAAGTATAATGTTTTTTAAAAAGTTTCTTTTCTCTTTCTCACTGCTATGCCCTTCCATTCTAGATGATCTATTCTGGTTTGCCCTAGCCATTTCTCTGGTTTGCACAGAATAACCACTCTAGGATAAGGCAGGAGCCCAGATGCAGAATTGAAGGACTTACTCACTAGCAAGTGGAGTGCCAGCATTTGAATTGTCTAAGAGTGAGGCCTTCTTAAATTGTGTGCCCTAGAGTGCCCTATCTGAAACTTCCCAAAGCATAACTCCTCTGAATGGGGGCCTTGGGGTCTGTATTGTCACCCTGGTGATGCTGATGTAGCTTCACTCTAGTCCTGGCCCTGCTCCCCTGCCTCCTCCCACTGATGACTCCCTGTCCCACCAGGCCCATCTGTGGATGAGCTTTGAAATTCTTGCTTCCTCTCCTTCTTCAGTCACTGTTTTGATATTTTCAAAAACATCAAGGCTTTTTCTCAACTGTCCTTCAGATGGACCCTGCCACCTTTAAACAGGTCACAATGTCTTTCTCTTCCACCCAAGCAGAAATACCCAAGTTCTAGTTCATACAGAAATATCAGACTTGCAAAATTTGTTGACAGAGACCATTGAATCCACCACTTCTCCGATCAGAGAAAACTGAGGCCACAAAAGCTGAATATGCCACAGAAATGTGGAGGCAATTCAAGTCCAGGTCTCCTGACTCCTAGTCCAGGATCTTTTCCTGTTTTCATCCCACATGCCACACAAATCATGTATTCACTGAATAGACAGGCTCGAAGAGAAGAAATTCCACCTGTGGACCACAGCTCTGGCCAGTGCCTATGGAGTTCCATCCTGCTCATGATCTTCTCTTCCTATCTGTAAGTGGACAACAACTTCAGCCCTTGTCTGTGGATTCAAGGTTGCCCATGACCTTCCCCATCCTGATTCCCTGCACTTTCTGACTTGCTTAGACAGCCCCCATAATCACATGAACCTCTTGTAATATCTCTCTCTCTCTCTCTCTCTCTGGAAATGTTGGAGGTTGGTGCTCCAGGTGGTGGTGATGAGACAGCATGGATCTGGGGAGATGAAAAACTGAGAATCTGAAAGCTTTGTACATTGCCCTTGGTCCCATGCTATTTCCCCATTTGTCTTCGTCTCTATCAATAATGTGTCCCTCATTATCATCTAGTCTCTACCCGTAGTAAGGTCCTCCTGCATCCACAATACCCCAGTCCCCTCAAACAAGTCCCCAGCCCCTTCAAGTTCAGTTTGTGTCATCCTGTTTGGGTTAGTTTAAGCCACCAGACACTCTGCTGTCATCCCACAGCCTGATGGGGCCCGACCATACACTCTTTCCATCCTACCTTCTGGAGAGTGGTTTTCTCAATGAAGTAATGAATAATTCAGAAGTCTAAGAAGAGAAAAGCTTTAAGGAATGAAAAATTAGGAAAATATTCGATCCAGTTAACTTATTCCAGATCCAGACCATTGACTGCATATTTATAGACAGTGAACAAACCCCAAGTGACCGTTGCCATTTTACCAAAAAAATGGATTAAAGTATATTTAAAATGAAAAGAAAAATTGTGTGGTCTCATATAGTAGTGAGCTGCCTTGATTAGCATATCACATTCTTTTTTTTTTTCAATAGTTTTGGGAGCAAGTGGTTTTGGTTGCGTGGATAAGTTCTTTAGTGGGGATTTCTGAGATTTTGGTGCACCCATCACCTACCCTCAGGGAGCTTATAGTCTAACTCAGTCAAGCCAACAATTCTAGTGCAGTCTCTGATGGCAGAAGAACAAGGTGTCCTTAGCATGGCATGAAAGGTTCTTTCTAGGTACCCAACATACCTTTTGTCCTCATCTTTAGCCCCCTCCATAAGCCAGCCACTTGTTGTTCCTAGAATATCCCCAAAATAAGCCACAGCCCCTTTGCTCATGCTGTTCCCTATTTCTGAAATACCCTTCTGTATTAGTTGTTCTCACATTGCTATAAAGAACTACTTGAGACTGGGTAATTTATAAAGAAAAGAAGTTTAATTGACTCACAGTTCTGCAGGCTGTACAGGCAGAATGGCTGGGGAGGCCTCAGGAAACTTACAATCATGGTGGAAAGTGAAGGAGAAGCAGGCACGTCTTACATGGCCAGAGAAGGAGGAAGAGAGAGTAAAGGATGAGGTGCTAAACACTTTTAAACAACCAGATCTCTTGAGAACTTTTACCTCGAGGCAGCACTAGGGGGATGGTGCTAAACCATTAGAAACGACCCCCATAATCCAATCACCTCCCACCAGGACTTACCTCCAACACTGGGGATTATAATTCAACATGACATTTGGGTGGAGACACACAGCCAAACAATATCACATTCCTTCTTTAGTTATTTTACTCCAGCAGTCAGTCAATATATATTTATTGAGAATATTCTATGTGCCAGGCACTGTCCAACACTGAAGACACAATGGTGAGCAGAGACATTCATGAAACAAAGGACCACATAAATGCAAATTTATGACTTTGATAAAGTGCTATGAAAGACCAGTACAAGGTGCTAAAGAGAGTACGTACCAGAAGTCTGACTGAGTCTAAAGACTCAAGAAAGACTTCCTCAAGGAAGGCAGATTCAGCTGGAATTTGGGAGAGGACAGTGAGCTCCAGACAAAGGCAAAGGCAAATTTTCTGTGTCAGGAGAGAATGTGGTGCCTCCAAGAGACTGGAAGCAGCAGAGCAGGACAGCAAAGAGAAGATGGTGGAACAGAGGCTGGGGCAATGAATGGGCCAGGACAAGCAGGGCCTTTAGTGCCACAGTAAAGATCAGTCTTTGCCCCCAGAAGAATGGAAACCATTTTTAATAAGCCACCTAAAGACATAATCAGCTCACCACCATCCTTTAAGACCCAGGTTAAATGTCCCTCTCCCTTCCCCAGTGCCCAAGGCAACCCTCGCACTGTATAGCCCCCTCTGGAAAAGCATGCACCATGTCATGGTACATGGTGAGGGTTAACTGTGTTTGGCTCAGTCAGTGGTAAGTTCTCAAGAGCAGACATCCTGTCCTCTTTATCTTTGTAGCCTCAACTGCACACAGTGCCCAGAATATGGCAAGCGTTCCATAAAGTTTTGTTGAATCAATCAACTGACATGTGCAGATGCTGGTCTGTTTTCAATTTCCTCCCCTCTCTCTTCCTGCACATTCAGGAAAGTTCCATCCCCAACCCCTCACCCCACTGCCAACAATCTCCCTGCCTCCCTTCTCTCCCCAACACCACCCATCCCCCATGTGGCTACCAGGTTTCCTTCCTAAACAGGTCAGAGCAGGCCACTCTACTCCTTACATAAGTCTTCACTGATTTCGCCATTGCTGGCAGGATCAAATTCAAATTCTTCAGGCTGATTATCCAATGCATTCATGACCCAATCCCAAACTTATCTTCTTGGCCTCATGTTTCATTGCACTCTTTCTTTCCTGTACTCTATGTTCCAACTGCAAAAAAGCTCTAGAATATTCCTCAAGTCAAACACCCACTCCCACCTCCATGCCTTTGCTTAGGCTGTGCTCTCAGTCTAGAATGCCCTTCCCTCATGCTTCCCTAATTAGAAAATTACTGGTACCTCAAGACACAGCTCAAACACCAACCCATCCCAAAACCTCTCCTCTCATTCCCCAAAACCAGAATTCATGGCTTCTGTTTGTATAGGTATATTTATCCCTAGCACCTTTCCTAGGTGTGTAAATGGCACATCATAGTTCTCAAATTAAACAAAAACAAAAAAAAAGCCCCATTCTGTCCCTGCGCTGCAGTCTCCCTGCACCAGCCACCATGGCAGCAACAAAGAGTGGGAGAAATGGGAAAGCAGCTTTCTCCTCCCACGCGGGAGCGTGCATTCCCAGGAAGAAAGGGAACACAAGGCTTCCCTTGTTACAATATACAGACAAAAAAATGACCCAAGTTGTATTCTAGGAAATTATCTCTAAGTCTACAAAGAACCATCCATTGTTTCTAGACTATTTTTCTAGCTCAGAGATAAAATATGAAGTTTATAATTTACATACTATAAATTAAAATGCCCCCCCCAAAATTGCTCATTTTGTAAAGCAGTTTTTTACTTTGTTTAAAAACCAGTTACTCTGGGAGCCTTTCAAGTTTATATGTAAAGACTTAAGCTTATAAAATACTCAGCTGACTATGGACTATGACAACAAATCCCCACAGTCAGTGGTGTCAATATCAAATACACAAGACATTTTTCATCTGCTTTAATTAAGACACAAAGGAGCAGCAAAAAAATATTAATCATGCAGTTGATTAAAAATAACTTCCTAAACATCTGCTCTTGGTAAATAATAGCTATCAAATACTTTAAATCAATGTTTAATGACTGGCATAAATGTAAACCCTTTGTGACTTACATAAAATAAGTCACTCCATGTGCAATCTTCTTAGATACCCCCTTTTCACCCACTGGTCTTTTCTTTATTCTCCAAGACTGGCTTTCATCAATCATTCCAAGTCTTCTATACCTGTTTGCATACAGTGCAGGCTGGACCTCGAACAAAGTGCTCTGCACTCCTGGAATTCACAGTCTGACTCAGACACATACATGCAGAGCATACAGACATCAAAGTGATCCCACTCGTATGGTAAATACAATACAAGCAAAATCAGTTTTCTTCATTTTTCCATCAGCTTGTGCTAGGGGCAGCTCCACTGAGGTTTACTCTGTCTTCATGACCATCCTGACAGGTAAGCAAGCCAGGGATGCCTATGTCCATTTGATTAGCGACCACACTGAGGGCAGGGAGGCTAAATGGTTTGTCCAAGCTGACACTGGTCAGTAAGTGACAGACCAAAAATGAAATCTAGTTCTTCTGAATGCACACCTAGAACTGTCTCCCCTCCTGTAGGAAGAACAGTGGTAGATTGATAAGGTCAATGCTCCCGGGACTGAGAAGTGAGTCAAGGACTAGGTTTTAGAAGAAGGAGGCAGGGAGAGATTGAAGGAACTCTACCAGCTTGGCTGGCTGGGATGGAAGCAGCTGACAAACCTAGTGTACGGGCCATGGTTTGTAGTGAAGGAAATTTTCAGGACACTTTTAAATTATGGGAGAGCTGAGTTGATATATGGCAAGATGAGGAAAGAGGGGAATGAAGCTGCAGGGCCTTGACTTTAAATCTATTTTCCACTTAATCTCAAAAGACACATCCAAGACAGAAAATCCTAAATGCCCCTTCAGTGTCCCTCTGTTTTCCTGCCAGAACAGGAGCAAAGTTCCTAGGGCCTGGGGTGGCATCAGCAATCCCTGGAATCAACAATGAACTCTGCCAGTCCCGTCTCTGTTCTCTGCCCGTCTGTGAATCACAGTTACAAGGCAGCTGTCACAGTAACTTGGCTAATTAAATTAGAGCCCATTGAATGCTTTATTGACCTGACGCTCATTCCAGTGAGCAGGCCCACTTTGAAGGTGACTAAATTCAAGGCTGTTAGTTCACAGATTAAACAACATGGACAAAAACAATAAGGGGCCATCGGAAAAGTCTCTTCAATGTAAACACAGTGTCTAAAGCACAGCTGCCAGAGTGTGTGACCTATAGGAGATTTATTTGGTATTATGGGTTGAATTGTGCCCCTCAAAATTCATATGTCAGCGTTCTCAATCCAGTATCTCAGAGTGTGACCTTATTTGGAGGTAGGGACTTTACAGAAGTAAACAAGTTTAAAAAAAAGGTCATGAGGATGGGCCCAAATCCAATGTGACCAGTATTCTCAGAACAACGGGAAATCTGGACAGAGAGACACAGACAGGGGGAAGGCCACGTGAACAGACACACAGAGAAGATGAACATCTACCAGCCAAAAATGAGAGGCCTGGAGCAGAGCCTTCCCTTTGAGCCCTCACAAGGAACCCATCCTTCAGAGACCTTGTTTTGAACTTGTAGCCTCCAGAACTGTAAGACAATACATTTCTGTCGTTTATGCCACCCGCTTTATGGTATTGTGTTACAGCAGCCTAGCAAAGCAACATCTGGAGATGTATAAGAGGCAGAAAGAGCCCTGGATAAAGAGGACTTTTTATGAGAACAATGAAAAGAGCATTAGTTCTAGAAGCAAACAAACCTGGGTTGAGACCCTGACCTTGCTATTACCCACAGTGTCCTCAGCCAAGACACCTAACCTGTCTGTGCCTTGATTTCTCCTCTGTAAAATAGGGATGATAACATTTTCCTCACAGGGGTGTTAGAATAAAACGTGAAAACCTACAGTCTTTGGCTTATGTAGATCCAGGTCCCATAAGGCCCCTCACAACCAGTTATAGTCACCACTGTAAATTCTGACCACCTACCAAATACTGACAATAATGAACATGAGACACTTTTGTAAAATAACTACAAAACGCACACTGGCCTGAGGCTGCCATGCCCTCTAGGGGATTCTGTACGTGTTATGATGAATGCTACCATTCTCAGTTCTTTCTGCTCCACTTAATTTATCACTTGCTCTGTCTCTCTGACTGGAGACCTCAGTTTTATGCTGAGAAGTCCCTCTTCACCATTTCTCCTGCCAAACTTGGGCCAGGAGGGGATGGTCCATTCAGCAGCCCTCAGGGCCTGCCTCTCACTACCTCACTCTCATGCTCACTCTTGTAGACAGCCATATAGACTTTGAGACAAAAACTGCACTTCTGTCTTTTTGCACTGCCTGGTTTAAAAAAAAAAAAAAAGGTTGTTACTTAAGCTCTCCTATTTGCACTCAAAAATGGTAATAATCCTAATAAAACCAAATGGAAAATACCTCCCATGACAATAAAGCTCTATTTTGTCCAGAATTGTGGGGAAATTGGCTATTTTGGTTAACTGCCCACTCCACTTAGAAGTTACCCTATCGGAACTGAAGCCTAACTTTTAAAGAATTAGAATGTAAATCAAATACACCGAATGCCAAGAGGCTGGGATGGCTGGGTCTTTACTTGGTTCTTTAATGGTCTTGCAGAAATTGATGGTGTTTTGGGGACACTGTCAGGGCCTCAGTTATTGCTGAAGTGTTCTAATAACAAAAACTGGAGGTGATTTGTGCCTCCTGGTGGTATGAATTCTTTAAAACACAGGTTTTTAAATAGATATGCAAATATAAATATCCGTACAGCCAAGGGAAGCTCTCCTGGAACCCAAAATCAAATCCTTCTCATGTTGGAGCTCTCGTGGGTTACTTTCAAGGACGCCCCAGCTCACACCACAAAGGGACCCCCATTCTTTTCTCTTTATTCGGGCTGCATTGCCACACATTGTATGGAGTGACCTCAAATCAGCCCATATTTATTAAGCTTCTCTTCCCAGCTCCACAACAAGAGAAGCATTAGACGCTATTCCTGCCTTCCAAGGAGCTCCAATTTAGTTGGAGAACTGCCTATGTTATTAAATTCTGCATTGTGTGCGCTGAGCTTTAAGTGCTGAACAGAGTTGACTTTTATGATCCCTACCCTGTGCTGCGTGTTTTACATAGATTACCTCACTTAATCAGCTCATATTCTGAGTCATATTATTATCCTCACTTTACAAATGAAGATTCTGAGTCTTGACAGAGAATATGTAACTGGCCAAAGGTCACACAGCTAAGTAAATGTCAACTTAGGTATGAAACCCCAGTCAGCATGACCCTACAGCCCGCTTCACCCCCCTAACACTGCCTCTTTCACCTGTCTGCTTATCTAAGTCCTGTAGAGCAGGTAGCCACAGCAAAAATCCTACAAAGGATCAGAACAAGCTCCTTTGTGCCTTTCTTCCCCTTCCTTTTTTGATCCCCACATATTCCGCCCACAGCTCCTAACAATCTCTCCCAAGATTAGATTTTTAAAAAACAGAGAACTAAGAATAAGGGCTTCTCAGGAGCCCTTTTCTTATACTCTGAAGCAAACTTCATCGCAAATTTAAAAAGAAGGTGTTTGCTAACTTTGCTTCATTGGAAGAATAACATTTTCTCTCAATGAGACCATAACTTTATCTTTATTTAAAAAAAAAAAAAAAACACTGTCATATAGGTCTGCTTCTCCTCCTAAATGAACTATTCTTTCCTTCTTACTGCTTTGCTGGCAGAAATCAGTTAAAAAAAAAAAAAGCCAAATAAAAACTAAGAATCTATTGAGTTCTTAGGGATCCCAAGTTAATTTCTCACAAGTTGATAAAGTGAACATTAAACAACCAGGCACTTGGGGTGATTAGAAACAAACAAAAAAAAGAATCAGAACTAATACTTCCATATGCATGTACTGCGGCACCACCCAGCCAGCTAGAAGAGGTGGCTGATATTTTTCTTAAATTAACAAAAAATTGACATAGATGATTTCAGTTCTCCCTAGTTAGCTAGAGGTCCCACTCTGCTAAAAATCAGAATGTCCAATGTGATTTTTAATTGCCTTGCTAATAACCACCTTTCAGAAAATCAAAGGAGAGGGAATTTTTTATCCAAAATATCAGTTAGCAAAATATTGCAAATTTCACAATAGGTGAGGAAGACATGCTGTGGCATAGGCATAGGCCCTGGCTTTAGAAAACCATGTTTCAAAGAGCACAGAAAAATGCCAAGAATAATCTCACGGTCATAGAAAAACATCGTACTATGGATGAAAAGGGGAGTGAGAAGGGAGGTTTTCAAATGGAAAATATGACCATAAAATAAAATATGATGATACAATAAAAAGCAGAACTGCAGCTGCAGGTGGAAACCAGCAATAAATTCTATAACATTCTATGACAATATAAACAAGACAACAAACAGTCCCTTCGTAAGCAAAACTATAAGAATAGCCTGAACGTGGAAAATTAATAACAGGAAAATCAAAGGCCAGAAAAGCATTATTTCAAGGAATTTGGGGTGGGAGAAGGGAGTATGGTCAGTGAAAGAAGAGGAACAAGAAAGAGATTATGCCTGAAGTTGATGACTTGATGTTAAAAAAAAAAAAAAAAAAAGGAGATGCCAGAGGCCTGGTAGAGTGGCTCACTGCCTGTTATCCCAGCACTTTGGGAGGCTGAGGTGGGAAGATTGCTTGAAGCCAGGACTTCAAGACCAGCTGGGCAACAAAGCAAGAACCCAGCTCTGCCAAAAAAAAAAAAAAGTTTTAAATTAAATAAAAAAGTTTTAATGACAGAAAGCTGAAGGGCTCAAGCAGTATTTTCCTTTTATATTCTCTATCGAGAATGACCTTCAACTTGAAAAGGCTAGAACGAATGTAGTTGAGAGGAAAATGAAGCCTAACATAAATGAAAAGATAGGAAAAGAAGCTGGGCACGGTGGCTCACGCCTGTAATCCCAGCACTTTGGGAGGCCGAGACGAGCAGATCACGAGGTCAGGAGTTAGAGACCAGCCTGACCAACATGGTGAAACTCTATCGCTACTAAAAATACAAAACTGAGCTGGGCATGGTGGTGCATGCCTGTAATCCCAGCTACTCAGGAGGCTGAAGGAGGAGAATTGCTTGAACCCGGCAGGCAGAGGTTGCAGTGACCTGAGATCACGCCACTGCACTCTATCCTGGGGGACAGAGCGAGACTCCGTCTCAAAATAAATAAATAAATAAAATAGGAAAAGAGAACCTAGGTTTTCAGTGAGTTCACAATACCAGACCCAGAGAAATTATATCCTATGGGACTTACAAATAAAAGAAACTGCAAATGCAATAACAAAACCATGTTACATAGTCCTTGAGATGAGCAAATACTCTAATTTTCAAAAAGGGGGCAAAAGATCTACTGTGACTTCAGACTAATGCAACTGAAGCCAATTTTACAAACGATCTTAGAACAGATTACTATATAAATAGTTGGTAAGCAAAAGTTCTAATTTTTTTAGTTTTAAGCAATAATGTAGATATAGATATGGCAAACTAGACTGTGTTTAGGAACAGAGCTTAGTATTGAAATTAAATGAAATTTATAATAGTGAATGACACACTTAATGTTATACATAATTTTTATCATCCTGCACGGTAATCAAGCATAAATGGAACCCTTCATGCAAATAGAAACGATTCATATTCTTTTAAAGCATCATTTCTAAAGCAGGGAATGGGGAATGGGAAACAGAAGCCAGCCAGTGGCTGCTCCACTACCGACCATTCCACTCAGACAGATCTTAGGGAAGGGGTAGCTCTGCCTTAAACCAAGCCAGTCCCAGACTCCAGCAGCCATCAAGTCCTAGGACTCAGTAGGTGAAGCTGGGTAACCATGCCTTCTGGGATTCTCTGTGAAAGTAACCCCAGATAAAGTGGTTCTAAGAGTACAAGGGATATACTCTCTGATCAAACAATCAGTAAGAGGAAAGCCTCCCATGCAGATTTTGAACACCCAGAAGCTATGGGATTGGGTTAGGTAGAGCAAGTGGCTGAGGCAGAGGAAAGGAGCAGACAAAGGGGAAGTGGAGGCATGAGTCAGCTGTCAGCTGCTTTGGGGGTGTCTGTTATTTAATACTGAATGTTCAGGGAATGGGAGTGGAGTGGAGATACTAGGATGAGCCTGAGTGGAGAAGTGCGGTTGGGGGCAAGAGGAGGAAGGAAGACAGCTCCTGGGAGCAGAGGCAAGCGGGAATGACAAGAGCGAAAGCTGAAAGAAGGATGCCACAAGAGAAAACTGCACAGGAAACAACATTCAGACTATGGAATGAGTCCTGAGTTTCAAATACACTGCCTGGCCTTTGCTTCAACAATCTGCTGTGTTTGTGGGTTCAGGGGAAGGGAGGTAGGATAAGCACAATGAAGCATGACTGGCCACGTGATAATAATTGTTGAAGCTGAGTAATGGGTACACGGGTTCACCATACTATTCTACTTTTATGTTTCCATTTTTTAGTGTGTTTTTTTTTTCCTAAGCTACTAAGCGTTTACCATTTAACTCGGAGTTTAAAAACAAAACAAAACAAAACATAAATTCTTACACTGGTCTGTAAGGCCTGACACAATCTTGCTCCTCTCTTCCTGTTACTGCTCTAGCATCCTTGCTGCCTACCTGCTCCCTCACTCTCTGCTATTCCCTGAGCTCATCAGACATGCTCCTCTCACCCCAGGCTTTGCAAGAATTGGTCTCTCTCCCTAGCATTGTCTCCACCCAGACATCCACACAGCTTACTCACCTTCTTAAGGAGATGCACTCTGCCCCGCCTACGGAGAACTGCAGCTCGCCCCTTTGCTCCACCTTCTCTGGAACTCCTAATCCTCATCACCGTATGCTTACTTTTTCCTAGCACTTATCATCTTCAAACGTATATATATATATATATATACACACACATATATATATACACACACATATATATACACATATATATATTTCATGTTTATCTTTCATCACTGGAATTTAAATTACCAGAGGGACAGGAAATTTTTGTTTTGAGGTTTTGTTTTGTTTTTTTTGGTTGTAGTTCAGTGACTAGAATGCCTGGCACTCAATAAATGTAAGTAGAATGAATGCAGAAAGTTTAAGAACAACTTAGAAGCCTGTGGCAAGGGAGGGTGTAGGTGTCTTTGGCCTTGTCTTCTTCAATAGCTAGAGTAGCTAAGACCCAACTGCTCCCACCCTACTCTCATGAGCTAAACAAAAAAACTAGGGCACCCAATTTCTGAAGAGGAGTGAAAAACTTATACATAGCTCATCAGAATTATTGCCCTCCTCCCCAGCTTCTAGGCAGAGATTTCATAACTTGATTTTGAGACATCTAAGGCTATTTCCAGCTATAGCTTGTGATTATCACAAAATTCTTAACCAAGCTCTTCATGATAAAGTGAGGAATTTCTGTCTCAACTATTAAACAATTGGAAAATTTCTCAAAACCAGAACTTTGTAGTATTTTGGAAATTTTAGGCTTTGGCAAAATGCCTATTTTTAAGAGAAACTTATCACATAACAAATGTTTAAAATTGGTTTTGTGATTAGGGAGAATGTGGGCATCAAAACCCAATTTAGAACTACCTGGTGCCAAGACTTTTTGTACATGAGACAATTTCCAATAGGCTTATCCCTCCCTGCATTGACAGCTATGTCCCATGGCTAAGAAGTTACTCCTACACATCTCCACAAACCAGCTATGGAGTTGAACAAATTACTTCCTTGAGCTGGTTTCATGATCACAAAAATATCGTGTGTGTGTGTGTGTGTGTGTGTATGTGTGTACGCACACATCCTCACATATTTGTGTGTACCATTCTACTTTCAGAAGACGGACAAAATCTTGGGAAATCAGATAAACAATAAAATAAAACCCACCCCCAAAAAGCTGGGAATCATTGCCTTAAGTGATAGCGTAAGTATTTGCAAGCATGAGAAAGGGATTATCCAAAACTCCTTTAACAGTGTTATTAATGAAAGAAAATACTGTTTGATCTATTCACAAGTGATTGCTGAGCAATGTGCTGCAGCATATAGTACAGATGTTGTTCAGAGTATGGATGACCTTTCCGGAGCTGACCAAGGTCAGAATATAAGCTCAGGGTAAAACGGTCAGGTTTCTCTGGCTTGCATTTCCACAGATCAGGTCTAGATGCCTTGTGAGGCTCCCAGGCTGAGGTAAGAGTGCCATCTGGAGGATCTCCATTTCAGAGAGAAATGCATTTGCAAAACTGACCATAAAACAGGTCACCAAGTCGGGATCCACACAGAAACAGGAACCATTATCAAATAATTGCATGGATTTACACTGTTTGCACACTTGCCTTTTTAATAAAAACTTTCCTTTGGGAAACCTTTCTTGAATTTCATCTCTCAAAGTCATTTATATAGTTCTTGTTGCTCTTTAGGAAGGAGGTTTCTTCTACTTGGCCCATAGATCCACTGAGTCAAGCCCCTTACAGTTCCCCTTCTCCCATAATCTACACTCTTTTCCTAAAAAAAGAAAGTTTGATTCCCAGGTGGGACAGGTACCCTCAAGATCCCAGGGAATTCTCAGGTTCCCCATCAGAACAGGTACCCTCAAGGGTCATGTAACAGTTGCCATGCCAACTTCCACATGCTCAATTAGATGATTCATCTCTAACCAGAATGAACATGCACTTAACCATCAGCTATCAATTGCCTTGACCAGGGAAGAGGATAGGGTCTGCCTACTCCATGTGCCATAATACATTACTTTTAATGGCAAAAATTGCAATTACTTTTGCACCAACCTAGTATAAACTATTCATTAGGTGAAACAGTCCCGAGGGACTGCATCTGCATAGGCTAAGAAGAGCTGCAATGCAGTTTTCTGTGTTACTGTGAGGAAGGAGTGAAAAGCATGCTTTTCAGTTACAAGAGATCCTACCTCCAAATTGCTGTACCTGTCAGGAATAGCTTCTATGAAGAAATCTGCTGTTCTGTGTAATAGCCCTGTGATGCATTTATTTCAGTTCTACCCTTAGTTCCCCATTCTCTCAATTGCTGAGAAAAGTAATGCTACCTGAAATTACATGAATTTTCAAAAATGGGTATTTTCTTCACCTGCGAAAATGGGCCCTTCCTCCTCTCTTAGAAAGCCAACTTCTTTGTTCCTCAAAAAAACAAAGCTGATTCAGACAATTCTTTTCTGCGTTCTCATAATAGGACATGCAGAATATAGATAAATAGCTTCTTGTTAACCACAGCTGAATTCTTTCACAAAAAGAAAACCAGTCTTCTTTCTTAATAGTTCTTGTATGACCCTTAAACAGGAAAAAGAAAGACTAGGCAACCAGAATGACATGATTAAAGGGGCCGAGCCAGAACTAAGAAAAAGGTTAAGGGCAGGAGGAAGAACAGTTTGTTCCATGTCTGCAAGGAACTGGAGGACCGTCTGCCTGCAAGGCTGAGGACTAAGGAAGCACACCCACTGGATTAGCAATTTTTTTTTTTTTTTTTGGAGACAGGGTCTTATTCCGTTGCCCAGGCTGGAGTGCAGTGGTGCAATCTCCGCTCACTGCAACCTCCACCTCCCGGGTTCAAGCAATTCCTCTGCCTGAGCCTCCCGAGTAGCTGGGACTACAGGTGCCCACCACCATGCCCAGCTAATTTTTGTATTTTCACTAGAGATGGGGTTTCACTATGTTGGCCAGGTTTGTATTAGCAACTTTCTTCAGACAGCACCTACCTCAAAAGGACCTAAAGGTCATACCCCTTATCCTCTTTTCAGAATAAGAAATTGTATTTCAGTATGAAGAGATACAATCCAGAGTCCTAGACAGGTTCAGAATAACCTTAACATAATATATTCCTCCAATGGCTGCAAGGAGTTAAAAACACAAAAAGCTGAGTTGAAGGATTACCTATGTCCACCAAATAAAGGATTAGGCTATAAAGACCAGAGTCAGCATGTCATGGCACATACATTCCAAAGGAACATTGGCAATTTAAGACCTTTGCCATTTGACAAGATAAAGAAACAGTGTTGAGAAGGAGGAAAAGTCCAACCAAGAAAATAAAATTTAATTGAAATAGCAAAAAGTGCCAAAAATGTGTGCTTAAACAAAGTCCTAGGAGTCCCAAGAATTCTGAGAAATTATCAGGTAGTATTATGATGAATGAAGATGACCAGTCAGTGAGTCCTGTGTGACGGTCATATACCTCAATAAAAAGGATGGCATAGAATGTAAGAAATCTCGTTGTTCTCTTTTGTCAAAGCTCCCATGTTATTAAAGACACTCACCCTTAATTGTAAAAAGCAATATTTATTGGAAAGAAATATTACAGGAAGTCTCCTTAATTCCTGTAAGGCCAAATATGGTGGCCCATTCCTCCCTTCCCCTCCTCCACACCCCTAAAATATCTCCGATTTGCTCAGAAATTCTCTACCCTGACTCCTGGAATCTCCCAATTCCTCGTTCCAAAGCTAGGGCCTGCATTTACAATGTATATAGCTCCCAGAGGGCTCTGGAAGCAGCATGAAATAATGCTGCCTGACAGTTTGTTAGCTAATCAAAGGAAGATGGCTAGAAAGTCAATGAATTGAGGTGCTTTACTTGACAATTTATCTTAATAAACAGTTCTTAAACAAAGCCTCGTACAGGCCAGGAGGTAAGACGTTCTTCTGTAAAGTCAAACTTCCAAGATGTACTGGTTCACCAAAACCAATGGGCGATTCAAAGAAGTCTTTAAGGGAGTAATTATGCCAAGGGAAGAATCCACATATTCAAGACATAGCTTTCTTAAGAAGATGGAGCTATTTAATTTTAGCAAGGGCAGCTGCTCTTCTTTCTGTGTTCTGAAACAAGGCACGAATTAAAGCTTTTACTTCACTGGAAGAGAACGCAGCTGCCAGGGGTCCTTTTCCATCTGCCCACCTGCAAAACGAAAGATAGAGTTCCATTTCCTATTAGGTCTCTGAAGTATAAGCAAGACTTAAAAATTGCCTGTTTGATCCAAATGCTTATTTGCTTGAAATGGAAATAAAACAAATCCTGGGCATCTTTCCTCTTCTTTATAGAACTGCCCCTCAATGTGTCTGACCTCTTTGCTCACCCACTACAACTGGTTATCAGCACAGCCAGATGAAGAGACCAAGTGAGGAATATGAGACTATTCTCCCTTATTCTATACCAAGGCCTCTTTGAACTAATAATGATGACCATACTCTCATGCCTTAGGCTTTATAACTGTATTACAAAGTAACCACAGGCAACCAATTTTAACTGATGAAGGACTAGTACAAAAATATATAAAGAAGTCCCATGAATCAATAGTGAAACCACAAACAACCTATTAGAATAACGGGCAAAAAAATATGAACAGGCATTACATAATAGAAGAAACATGAATGACCAATGAAAAGATGCTCAACATCATTAGAATTTAGGGAAATGCAAATTAAAATGACAATAACCTATCATTGCATGCCAATTAGATCAGCTGAAACTTTCCAGTCTGATAATTCCAAATACTGGTGAAAATGAGACTAAACAGGACAAATAAACTATGAAATATTTGTACAATGGAATGATGCGATGGTGAAAATGAACTGCAGCTACACATACCATCAAGAATGGATTTCAGGCCAGGAGTGGTGGCTCACACCTGTAATCCCAACACTTTGGGAGGCCGAGGAAGGCAGATCACATGAGGTCAGGAGTTCAAGACCAGCCTAGCCAACATGGCAAAACCCCATCTCTACTGAAAATACAAAAATTAGGCGGATGTGGTGATGGGCACCTTTAATCCCAGCTACTCGGGAGGCTGAGGCAGAAGACTTGCTGGAGCGTGGGAGGCAGAGGTTGCAGTGAGCCAATATCACACCACTGCACTCCAGCCTGGGCGACAGAGTGAGACTCTGTCTCAAAAAAAAAAAGGAATAGATTTCAAAAACATAATAATAATATTGAACAAAAGAAGCAAGTTACAGATGATTCTACTTATACCAAGTTCAAAAAAAGGCAAGTCTAAACTTTATGTTATTTAGGATACATGTAAATGGGGTAGAACTATAAAGAAAGGTAAGGAAATAAATAACATAAAAGTCAAGATAATGGTTACCCCTCATGGAGAGCATTTGGAGAAGGGGATTCATGGGTCTTCAAAATACTGGTATTATTTTTCTTAAGTTGGGTAATAGGTACATGAAATTTATTCTTTTTCTTTACATTATAAATACAGAGTATATCTACTGTATTCCTTCATATGTATATTTTACAACTTTAGCCTTATATTTACACAAATCTCTGGGGGAAAAAAATTTCCTAGGCAGTAAAAAGAAGTTGAGTTGTACTAGTGTTATAATTTTTCTTATAACAAGGAATTAATGATCATTCTTAGACTGCAAGAAAGCCCTTTAACAACAGAAAGAAAAATTCTTATCTGCTGCCCTCTGGAGCCTATTACTTAAAGGTGTCTTTGTTACCTGCTAAGGACTTGTAAATAATAAATGAATAAATCTAAACTTTGTAGTAAATGTGATTGGAGGTATTCTGATGTGATTTTTTTTCAAGCAGAGATCTCATTGACATTGTACAAATGACTAATATTTGCAGCAAACAACTCAGACACATCTAGGATGACTGGTCTAATATAACCAGACATCTGTAGTAAACCAAGCTAAAGCAGATAGACAAGTACCTATAGGGATGGAGATGACCTTAAGGCCTCTACAGAGAGTCCTTTATGCAAGGTATACATACTGACCAATAATCTACCAAGACAATATAAAATCATCCATGAATGTGTAACTGACCCACATCTATTCTGCTTTGTGCAACGGCCTCTGCACACTATGATATGATATAGCATACACTCACTGGGCACAGCAACATTAACTGATGGTGTTGAGAGAAAACATCATCCACTACGTTTGAGAAAAGATGAATCCCTTCTAGGTATATGGTGCTTAACCTCTAAAACTACTGCACTCCCTGCAGAAAGACTGCAGGTCAATCAAACAGTAGTCTGATGCTCAATATTTCAGACAGGTAAAAGTCACTTCTCTGTTAATATATCAAAGTAATTCTGAAAATGCATCCAGGCTGGCTGCAGTGGCTCATGCCTGTAATCCTAGCACTTTGGGAGGCCAGGAGTTTGAGACCAGCCTGGACAACACAGAGAAACCTCGTCTCTAAAACAAAACAAAACAAATAAATAATAAATAAAATAATAAAATAAAATAAATTAGCCAGGTGTGGTGGTAGGCACCTGTAATCCCAGCTACTCAGGAGGCTGAGGTGGGAGGATCCCTTGAGCCCACGAGTTTGAGGCTGCAGTGAGGAATGATTGAGCCACTGCACTCCAACCTGGGTGACAGAGTAAGACCATGTCTCAAAAAAAAAAAAGCATCCACTGCTCCTTAAAGTGAGCAACAATTTCCATCCAGATGTCAGAAGGCTATAATTCTTACAGTTGCCAGATCACTTGTACAGCATGCCAAACCACATACTCAAGACCAAAATAATATGGATGAGAAGTCTTTATGCTATCAAATATGGGAAAGTGGTAATGAGATCTGCATTATGATAGATCATGAAAAGGCCCCAGCTACTGCTACTCAATATGAAAGTCTTGCATGACTAACATCAGGAAACAGGGAAAAGCCCTGCTATCAAGGGCACTATTACTCTCTTGTAGCTATGGAGAGTTATATGCCTCTATAGAAGGGTTATACATACCGATCCCCAATTTCTTGCAAGCTGGCTTGTAGCATCATCATCAATTCCTTGAATGGCATCCATTTTGGCACATAGACTGGAACCTCTTCTTGATATTTCTTGTTCTTGCTTTCTTCAGATAAAGGTGCAAATACTTGGGGTCCTTCATCCATCACTGTTTTGCATAAGGAATATAACCTATCACCATCTTCAGTAGATATGTCCTGGTTTTGCACAGAGGAAACACAATAGAATAGAATTGGGCCAGCTCAGAAGTGGGGAAAGGGCAGCAGATCTTTGATGCATGCTGTCCAGGTGGGTCAGCTACAACATGTTTTCCAACCAATTTGGAACAACTTACTAGACACTACATCAGTTCTCTGACAATACTTCTATATAAGAATGACACAAAATATGTTTCAACAGATTGTCAGTAATTTAGTTTGCCTGCATGAAAGAGCCTGTTTCTCCAATAGAATGTCGCACAGCTTGTTGCAAAGCAGGGGATGTGATTACAAATAGGGATTTAGTCAATCTATGATTTAGAGGCATCAGCTGGCCAAGTCCAGACAATTTTCCTGAAGAATCACATGTAAAATTTAAACTGCAACAGTGTGTTGGAAAAATGGAACCTGCACAAGACTGCATTCACTTTACTAAATCAAATTATTGAGTTTACTTGCAAATTAAATGACTTTACACTATACAACGCATCTCAGGACCACTACCCAGTTTCTAACTTCCTCATTTATAATCTAGATGGTAGGCTGAGAAATAGTTCAATCCTACTTTCATATAAAAGAGATTAAACAGTTTCTAGCAAAACAGATATAAAACAAAACTGAAAAAAAAAAAAACAGCATGAGTTAGACATGAAACATGAACAATTTCTTCAACATCACTTTCTTAGCAAAGTCACAATCTGGGACATGAATTGCATCTCAAGGCTAGTGTAGCATCTAATGGCCCTTACCTCTAGGGCAGTAATTTTGCCAATGACCTCAGAAATTGCTGTATTGAGTAAAGTCCCCATAGCCTTGCAATATATATTCACTGGCAGGACATCCTGCCACACAATTCCAAGTCTCTTTAGTTGGTGCAGTACCTGTAGAAGAATACAGCTATTTACGTGGAAGAAAGATTACTGTGACTCGTATTTTCCAGATTTACATTTATCATTTGTGAGTTCATTGGGAAAGTGGCATTATGCCAAAATGAGGTAAAGTAACTAAGGACATATGCTTCTTGAACATTTAACCATAGTGATATCCCTGGTAGATGAAAAGCAGACTCATCAACCTGAGGATAGGAAAACTGCAGCAAAAAAGATAAATCACTTAAGAAAGGGGAGCATTAAGATAAAAGCCAATATTTCAAATTCCCAAATCTAAGTTCAGGAATCAACTACTTGCCACAACAGACTTTCTAGGTAACAAGTTGCAATTATTGAGTCAATGAAAAGATAGTTTCGTGTTGTCTTGGTGGGAGAGGGGAAGAAAAAGTTCTTAAACATGATTGTAAAAGGTATCTAGATTTTCCAAAGGTGGGGGTGCAGGGAATCAACTGAATACTTGTTACATATTGTTTTCTGCTTTAAAAAAGCAAACAAAAAAAAAGGCATCTAAGGATAGAATACAAATTTCAGTGCTAGCAAGAGCCTCCTACCTGCCGGACTGCTTTACTTGCTGCAGAATAATTCTCTTCATCGTCCATATTTGAAAAGTTCCTAGCACTTGATAATCTTTCCAGAAGTTCACCTTTCTGTGCCCGCATTTGGGCCAAAAAGCATTCTGTCCCTATGATGGAAAAACAGAATAAAAAATTTTAAAAGCTGCTCAATTACACACTGCAAAACCAGGATAGACAAGAGATGCATAAACCATGTATCTGTTCTGCCTATATAAAAATAATTGCTAGATAATATCATAAAGCTGCCCTAAAGCTACTAGAAACAATCACTTTGAATACATTAGCCCGTTCCTCAAACCCCACCCTCCAGATAATATTTTCCAGTAGTTTGCTTAGAGCCCGAGTCAGCTAAGAAAAATTACTATAGAAAAAGGAACTACTTATTATTCTGATGTATCTATACCAACTAGGGAAAAATCAAGAATTGAAAAGCTAAGTGAAACACATAGATTCTCTGCTATGATCAACATATTGATTTACTCCACATTTCATTTCTTTTGACTTTTAGTAATCCCAAGTAAAACTAAGGGAGATGTAAGATGGGGGAGCTGTCTTGGGGTTTTGCAAAAGAACTAGCACTGACATTAGTGAGCTCTTACCAACAATACAAACAAAATTGTCACATTATAAATCCTATTATGTGAATCCTGACCTGGCAAATTCAATGCACACTAGGACTGCAGTTTGGAACTCTAACGTACCATGAAATCATGTTACAAAAAAGTAAAAAAGTCTCCCACAAAGACTACACTCACCTTATAAAATTATATAACTGGAAACACTTGCAAATTAAATGCCCTCCCACTTTCTGATACAGCTCAGGACCACCACCTAATTTCTAATTTTCTCATTCAAAAACTATAAAGATACTATGTTGACAAGCTGCATAATCCATATGCTTTCCTACATTGAAAGTATCAGTTACCAAGTCTCCTGAAGCCAGGTACAAGATCCACAAAAGTAGCAGTGCCATCACAAAGAATGGGGGCAAGACGCAATCTGAACTGATGCCCGAGGGTCAGCAAGTGGTGAGCAATGTACATACAGTTGTTGTGATGAATAGCAGCCAACTGGGGAAGTTTTTGAAGGTTCTCCCTAGGCCAGAAGGAGGGGTAGAAAAACAAAGCAACCACCTGTTACTGAAGCTGGGGTTGATGAAAGTCACAACTTCTCTAATGTATTTCTAGGCTTTAATAACTGTCTAGTTTCTAAATGCTATACATAACAAGATACAATCTCATCACTCCCACTCCCAGAGGGAGGCTGTTCTGCCTGAATGGGATTTTATCCTATAAAACTATCCTGGTGATTAACAATAAAGAAAGATTAAGGGAATCAAGATGTTTGCCTGAGTCAACTTTTTGCACTGAAAACCTAGCAGAGCTATGCATAATAATGTCCTTGAAATTTTACACGGATACATCTATGGAAATACAGGTTTACTTCACCTTTCTCCAAATTCCTACTTCAGTCATATAATGAAGTGTTCAATTATTTTCTAATTCACTAGTTTTCAAAAACTGACTAGATTAGAGTCACCTGGGAATTTTAAAAAACCACAGATGTTTAGACTTTACCCCAAACAAATTAAATCACAAGCTCTAAGAGTGAAATCACAGCATTTATATGTTTTAAAATCTTCCCAGGTGATTTTAATTTTCATCCAGGATTGAAAATCACTACTTTAATTCTTCTACACGTATTAGTCTTATCTACCCAGCTTGGGAAGAAATTTTGTCTTATATTTCTGCTATCTACCCACTAACAGTCATTCAATTAACAGTTTCTAGTTTGCTAACTCAATATAAAACTAGGATATACAAGTCAGAAGCCAACAAACTAAGATAACTAAGATAGTCCTCTTTTCCAGCTACACATCAGAATCACCTGTGGGGCTTAAAAAAAAAGAAAAAAACACACCTGGGCCTTACATCAGACATAAATCAAATGCCCTAGGAAGAGAGTAAATATGTATATTTTTAAAGCTCCATAAGTTATTCTAAAATACTGCCCAAAGTCTGGCCGGTGCAGTGGCTCACAACTGTAATACCATCATTTTGAGAGACCAAGGCAGGAGGATCACTTGAGCCAAGGAGTTCAAGACCAGCCTGGGCAACATATACAGACCCTATCATTACAAAAATATGTTAGACAGGTGTGGTGGTGTGTGCCTGTGGTCCCAGCTACTTGGGAGGCTAAGATGGGAAGATCACCTGAGCCCAGTAGGTCGAGGCTGCAATGAGCCATGATTGCACCACTGCACTCCAGCCTAGGCAACAGAGTTAGACTCTGTCTCAAAATATGAAATTAAATGAATGGAATGAAATTGAAATGAAATGAAACGATATAAAAATACTGCCAAAGCTGAGAACCGTTATCTAAGGACAGTGGTTCTCAAAATGTGGTCCCATGACAGGCAACATCAGCATCACCTGGAAATTTGCTAAAAATCCAAGCCCCATTCCAGACCTACTGAATCAGAAACCTTGGGCATGGATCAAGCAATCTGTGTTTTAACAAGACTTCCACGTGATTCTGATGCACACTAAAGTTCCGAGGTTATACGAAGGAGAAAGACAGGCAAATCTAACTCCACTCCTGTCTTTAAATCCCCAAGGACAAGGCTGTCAGCTAATGCAAATATGTTTTCTCTTTTCTTTTGCTTGACTAAGTAAAAAATGAAATAAGAATGTTAAACCACAGTAAAGAGAATACAAATAAAACTAATAAGGTTCACAATAAGCTTTTATAATAAAAACAACAGGTGAGCCTAGTTAAAAACATCCCAATATTCAAAAATCTGAACTAAAAAATACTTTAAATAGTAAACAGCTTTTGTTTTTTTTTTTGGTTTTTTGTTTCTTTGTTTTAATTAGAGGCGAGGGTCTCACTATGTTGCTCAAACTAATCTCAAACTTCTGGCCTCAAACAATCCTCCCACCTCTGCCTTCCAAGGTGCTGGGATTACAAGTGTGAGCCACTGTGCCTGGCAGATTTTTGTCTCTGAAATTCAGAGTTCTTGGCTAAGGAATAGCTTTGTTGACATGTTATCAAAGATATTTATGAAAAACATCTAAACATTTTAATTCAAATAAAGAAAACTGAACTAGAGGCTGAAAGTTAAGTAAAGGCAGTTCTGAAAATGCTTAGCAGCAAAACAAGGTAGTTCTTTTGAGTTTTAAAATGTGCATCATGAACTACACTGCAAGATTATAATACCCTAATTAATTTAGTAATAAATGACCAAATCCTTTAAATATGCGTTTTAAAATGATTTACTGCATTTTAGTGTGAATGTTAGTAAACAAAATATCTTTAGTGGGAATATAAAATTATTTGTTTTAACTTAACTTCCACATCTTAGACATACAATTATTATATAGAAATGAGATACAGTGGTACTTACTTGTGATATGTTGGTACAACATCATGGAACAAATGGAAGATATTCCTCACTGAGTAGAAAAGTTGAACAGCACTAAAAAGAAAACATAGACTTAACAGAAATGCCTAAGAATACACTAAAAACAAGAAAAAAATTTAAACTAAGTGCATCTTCAGTGAGAGTCATAAGCTAAAACTACAGTTGCACAGAACACCTGCCTTGGTTGCTGGAAAACACCATTAATCTAGATGGAAATATAGTCTCAACCAGTATTTACTAACCAGACTACAATTCCAAACACCTGGATGCATTAATGATTGTAAGAAGAGCCGCATTCAACCCAAAGCCTCTTTTCTATTTATCAATTTCTGTTCTGCCAGTACCCAGAGTATCCCTTCAGTAACAAATGGAGCTAAGCCTCAAGCAAATGTCACCTACTCACTGACACACTCTGCAAAGGGCAAGGTATCAATAAAAGCACTCGCTTGGTTCTTTTAGAATCAGTCTGACTTTCAGCTTTCACCTTTTCTCCTTCTTACCTCAATGCAAGGAGGTGAATCAACATTTCTAGGATAGAATCTAGCCCTCAAGATTTTTTGCCCTTTAAATCTAGCCTTAAAACACCTACAGATTATTATTAAAATGCACTTTTAAAAGGCAAACATAAGGTTTGTGTAACTTACCTCTACATAAGAATATCTTAAGCTACGTACCTTAAAAGCTTACAGGGATTTCATAAATATTTAGGAAAATAAGTCATACCCAAAAACCCTGTTACTATTTGATTATTATAATACCTTATTAAATTATTTCATTTTCGCTGCAGGAGCTGCTGTTTGAGTTTGATAATGAAAAAGGGGGTTGTTGCATTGTAGCTGTGGTTTTGTTTGTCCTGTTAAAAACTATTACTTTTAGTGGAAAGAATGTCCATAGATAGTCAGTATACAAATACTGTTTGGTGTTTTGTGTTCCCAAAAAATTTAAGAAATATTGCCCTCATCTCTAACTTCTGGTCTGATATATTTCAGGAGAGTGCCATGTGAAGAAACAGTCCTATATTCATTTTGCCAACAGTCACTCCTATATTCATTTCTTCCTTCTTACAATTAACTCTGAATGGACATGTGAATGTAATGATTCATTAAAGCTAGGAAAGTATCTTGGGAGACATGTTCTTCCTAGAGCAGAATAAAATAAAGAGGTTATCTCACGATAAAAATTGAACTTGGAAAGTCCATCTAAAGATGCAATTTGATTGGGCCAAACCCTAACTGAAACTGTTTTCTCTATGAGGATAGGAAGAATGAAATTGCTAAATGCAGATTCAAACTAAAGAAGCTTTTATAAACCTGCTCTGCAATCAGCTTGGTCCATGCTCTGCCATTTTCTTCTCAATTTAGTCTAGGAGTAGGGAAGAAGCTTATTGAACAAAAACAGATTCCATATAAGATAATGGAGTAGAATTTAAGGTAACGTGAATGCAATATAGATTAGAAGTCATCTTGAAAGAGTGAAGCCAGATCTTTGGCATGTTCCATTCTTTTCCTTCTACCTTTGGCTGCCTAACAAATTGTTATTGCTTCAAATATAAACATTTAAAATATAAATGAATTAGGGACTGGGTTTCAAAAGGTAAAAAGAATGTTAAGCTAAAGAGCCTGAGCAAGCTGGAATAGAAGATATAACTATTACCCACTGCCAACACAATAATAAACATTTGAGTATTAATCATTTTCCAGGTAGGATTCTAAGTTCTTTGCATGTGTTTTCTCATATAATATCATTCAATTCAAATAAAAAGTAAAAATTCAACAACAATTGAAGAACTTTTTGTTAAAAAGTGATTAACAATTTTTAATGTCAAAAAAATCCATTTGTCCATCCATACAAGTGCACCTACTTCCTACACCTTGCTCAAACATCTATGCTATTGCAAATAAAAGTCAGAGATAGACATAAATCTGTGTGATGCACTGGGTTTTTGTTTTGTTTTGTTTTGTTTCCAGAAAAAGCATTAACTTCTAGGATATGAAAACCCAAAGAATTCCAGCTAATTTTCCTGATAAACATCTAGTTAGATATGCATTTAACCAAGTCATTGCCATTTTCACACAACCCAGAATTCGTACCATTGATCACTACTGGTTGTTGCCTCTAGTAAAGTCTGATAGGCGAGTTCCATTAATTTCTTCACAGACTCACTGATACGGCATGTGGGCAAGGAAAAGGAATGTTGGTCCAATGTATTTTCAGGCTCTAAATTCATCACTTCGTGGTACTGAGTATTGGATACTTTCTGTACTTCCAGTTTGTTATCCTCATCAGGAGTGGGTAACTCTGGCACATTTATCTTAGAATCAGGAATAATCTAAGATTCAAACACAAAAATACAGAAAATATATTGTTTTCAGAATAATTCAAATATAAGCACACGGCCGGGCATGGCGGCTCACGCCTGTAATCCCAGCACTTTGGGAGGCCGAGGCGGGCAGATCACGAGGTCAGGAGATCGAGACCATCCTGGCTAACACGGTGAAACCCCGTCTCTACTAAAAATACAAAAAATTGGCCGGGCGTGGCAGCGTGCGCCTGTAGTCCCAGCTACTCGGGAGGCTGAGGCAGGAGAATGGCGCAAACCCGGGAGGCGGAGCTTGCAGTGAGCGGAGCTTGTAGTGAGCTGAGATCATGCCACTGCACTCCAGCCTGGGCGACAGAGCACGACTCCGTCTCAAAAAAAACAAATATAAGCACACGGTGAAGAATAAGATACTGCTTGCTTTCATGATACAGCTACGGCTCTACAGAGTAATTAAAAGATTTCAATAAATATGACAATATTTTAATGACTGCTGAATCCTAGATGAAAGCATGTCATAAGTGATAAACAATTCCCTTAATCCCCTTTACTGTGACATTCTTCTAAGCACTCTTTTTGAGACAGGGTCTTGCTCTGTCACCCAGGCTGGAGTGCAGTGGCACAATCATAGCTCACTGTAGCCTCAACCTCCCATGTAGCTGGGACTACAGGCACCCACCACACCCAGCTAATTTACTTTTATTTTTAGTAGAGAAAAGGTCTTGCTATATGGCCCAGGCGGGTCTCGAACACCTGGGCTCAAGTCATTCTCCCTCCTCGACTTCCCAAAGTGCATGGATTATAGGCATGAGCAAACGCACCCGGCCCCAAGCATTCTTAATCTTGGCTGAAATAGCAAAGCTGTGCAACTGGCCTAAGATTTCAGCTAAATAAAAAGACCTTCAAAAATCATCTGTCTCATACTAGACTATTAGTATTACAGAGCAGCATAATTTGGGGTTCCACTGTCTAGATTCTTGAACAAATTATTTTGTACCAGGCACATGTGTTGGCTTAGTCTAAGAAATAACTCATTCTCATTCAAACTAGCATATCCTCCCCTTATTAAAAAAAAAAAGCTTCAATAGAAAATTTCTTTTGTTGGGACTAAATGAAAGAACAGTAGGCTGTGAATGTGAAAACAGTAATATTTTTCACCCTAACTTTTAACAAAGTCATTTAACCTCTCTGGATCTCAATTTTCTCACTGTAAAATAAATAATATACTAATAATGGCTTTTGAACCTTGTTCCTCAAAGATGCTTCAGGGATTAAAAAAAAAAAAAAAGATAAAGCATGTAGAGGCAGCAGGCTCCCTACTCCCACTGCAAGAATAACAACTTTGCACATACTGGACTTCGACAGAGATTTTCTGGCAGAAAAGGTTCAAAGTCTAATAAAACTATTTAAGTCAGTGGACTTGGCTGTCTAATCTGTAAAATGGTATAATAATATCTACTTTAGAGAGCTGTTATGAAGTTTAAATGAGAACACAAATATCAGGGACTGGGTAGTCAAAAATTATGGCTAAGATTAGAATGATGATGAAAAAATTTACTTACAGAGTTTATTTAAAATGCTAATCTTTGTCTGAAAAATAGTGGGCCTGGATACATAAGATTCGAAAAGGTGACTTCATGAGGAGGGGCAAAGGAAACTAAGACGGAAGAATGTTAGACCTAGTAAGATGTCTCTTAAGACAAAATGTAAAAACCAAACAACAACAAAAAACACAACTATAGATCTTTTGGGAAAACAGTGAGTACACATAGGGGAATAAAGAGAATTGAGAAACAGACCATGAAAAGCAATTAAGTTGAAAACGTTTTTTAGAAAAGGGAAGAGGAGCTTTTTTCAAAGTTGGGAAGTTTAGAAAATCTAATTCCAGGGCCTAAATGCCAAGAGAAAGAACCAGCTGGAATCTAAAGCAGTGGTTCTCAATCAGGGAAAACTCTGTCTTAAAGGGGGCATTTGGCAATGTCTGGAGATATTTTTGCTTGTCACAGCTGGAAGAGGTGCTACTAGAATCTAGGGAACAGAGGTCAGGGATGCTGCTAAATATCCCATAGGACAGTCCCCCACAGCGAAGAATTAGCCGGTCCCAAATGTTAACACTGCCACTGCTGAGACGTCCTGACCTAGAGGAAGCTACATTAGGATTTGAGTACTCAGAAAAAATGCAGTTTTACAAACTCTCAAAATTACTTAAGTAGGAAACTCAGATTATCTAGTTCAATCCTCTCACAGTACAGAAGAGGAAAATGAGGTTCAACAAGGTGAGAAGATTAAGCCCAGAGTCACAGAGCAATTCAGCAGTAATGCTGTTTACATCAAGGAGTTGTGAGATATATATGAATTCATTTACCAAAGGTAATCAGTAAGCACATGAGCACTGAGTACATAGTAGTAGTATGTATGTACCAGGTATTTTCTTAGTGCTGGAGATATAACAGTAAACAAAACAGTCAAAAAAAAAAAAAAAAAAAACAACAACAAAACTCTACCCTCATGGAGCTTACTTTCTAGAGGGAGAAACAACAAACAATTCATATAAAATGTTGGTTGATGATATAATAAAAAGAAAAATACACCAAGGAAGGGGTACAGGAAATAGGGGAGGTTATAATTTTTTTTAAGTGATCAGAAAGTACTTTTTAAAAAGCAAATCATGTGATCTGCGGTAAGAATATTCCATGCAGAGGTAACAAGTGGTTCAGAGATTCTGAAACAAAGTAGGCCTAGCACATTCAAGGAACAGAAATAAGTCCAGGATGCCTGCAGCATAGTGAAGGATGAATGCAATAGATAATAGAGTCAGAGAGGCAATAGGAGGCAGATCAGATAAGGCCTTGCAGTCCACTGTAAGGCTACTGGGTCTTCTCTAAATAAGATGGGAAGACACTGGACTTTCTGCAGAAGAGTGACATAATCAATTGACATTTATGTTAAAAGAAACCACAGCCCAATTCAAGGTATATACATTATTTCATACATGTAAGATATGAAAAAAAAAAGGTCAAAGGTCCACTGCCTTTACAGGTAATTATTTATATCCTATCTTTTTATTTACCTTTTTATTATTTTAACTTTAAAACTAGTCTCTCTATTAGATGAAGTCAACACTTTCATAAGAGGATATAATTTCTGGACATAATGTAGCCCAAGTGTACCTGTCACAAAGTTGTGTCCTAAAACCTTCAGAAATAAAGATGAGAATAATCTACTGTCTCACTTCAACAATAATAATCCATTACATGTATGTAGACTTTTTCAATTTATACAAGGCTTTCATGTGCATTATCGTATCTGCACTTCACAATACCCAATGGAAGAGGTGGAGATTAGGACCACTTTAAAGGAGACAAAACCAATGTAAAAAAGATTGATAACTTGACTCAGCTCAACAACCGTCATCCTCTCTTCCACTTTACTATATGCATCTCAAAATGAGTTGCTTTCTCATATACAATGTTTCATATACAATGCAATATAACACTGGTACCTTCACAGTGTTATGAATTTCTGAGGTCATTAGATTTCTGGCTGCCACAATCACATCCTGGCACTTTTTGTTTGCAAAATGAGAATTGATGTTACGAGCGTATTTCAGCAAATCTGTAGTATCTCCTTTTAAAAATCTCATTTCCTTTAGGGCATTTTCAAATTCTTCAGTGGACTGTATGATCTGAGATACAAAAGAAAAAAAAGAAAAGAATCATTTACATATATTCCATTACAATATTAGAATTTCAAATCCAATGTATAAAAAAATGAGGACCAAGCTGGTCATTTTAGAATGGACCATCAATTACTAGGTATAAAAATATACATATTTCCAGCCTTAAATTCATTAGAAAGAATATCTTCAGTAGAAATGTCTGACTCTACTTAGTAAAAATAGAAAGATCTTTAAAACAAATATACTTATTTTAGCATTCAAGGAAACACTAAAAAGAAGCAAAAAGTAAAATGTCACACAATAGCTATTATAGCTGATATAAGTATAAATGAACATAAAGAAAATATATTTAGTAAGGAAACAAACTTCTGCAGTTAAAGAGGTAGGAAGCCAGGAGAAAAATGAAGTTATATGGAATTTGTCTCTATTCCTTATTAATAATTTACTTAAAGGTATAACTAAAGAACAAACTATCTCCAAGGAAAAACAAAAGACAGCAATAAGAAACAACAGTGTCTTAAAACCTTCTGTGCTGTCTGGGCTCTTTACCTCTTCATATTGCTGTAATTTGCTGCTATTTGTTGGAATCGAATAAACCAAACAGTTTTTGATGAGGCACTCAGACAAGTCCTCCCAGATCATGTCTCCAAGCATCTCAGCCAATGGGACAGTAGATGTTTTTTCATTTTCCAGGTCAGTGTCAAGTGGCAAATCTGAATTTTTTAAAAAAAGAAGTTTTAAACAAGAAACCATTCGCAGTCCTGGAATATTCTTAGGTTTTCTAGAATTCTTTAATTTTAAGATGATGGGGAAGAAAACAGCACAGATAATTCCACAGCCTTCTCAACTGCGTGGGACAAATCATGACACACAATTATTATTATTTTATTTTCACTGCTCAAATGAATTGTCTGTACTATATTACTGTCTGTACTCTGTAACAATGAGGTATTAAGCCATCTACATTATAATCATCTAGTGCTAGCTGCTGATTTGATTGTATGACAAGCACTCAGAAGTTCTGCATTCTAACTTGAAACTAGTTTAGAATAAAATCTCACTTATTTAATAATGAATAAACATACTTTTTTCGTCTCTGCATAGAATCTGAGTGTTTGTACTTTACAGTAAAACATAACTAGTTTATAAAACAGAATACTTCAATACCTCCTCTACAGTATATGTTATGGTGCATTTTTCGAACACATATTGAGGATGTTGTTTAGAATATCTTACTAATCAATTAAATAATAATTAAGAACCAGGCACCAATGTAGAAGGAAGAGGACTCATAAAAGAGACTAGCTGTTATGAACCTAGTTCTGATTCACAAAGGAAGACTTAGGGGATTAAGAGCCTTAGAAGAGCAGGGCACAGTGACAAAGCCATTCAGGAGGCTGAGGTGGGAGGATCACTTGAGCCTAGGAGTTCAAATCCAGCCTGGGCAACATAGCAAGATCAAGTCTCTTTAAACACAAACACACACACACACACACACGCCTTAGAAGAAAGTGAACATATTATCTCAAAGCCTTTAAGATACCTCACAACATCTAAAGTCTAGTCTGCATTGTCCAATATGATAGCCACCAACCACATTTTGCTACTAAACACTTAAAATGTGGCTAGTGTGACTGAGAAATTCAACTTTTTAGTTTTGATTAACTGAGATTTAAGTTTAAAAATAGAAGCAGGGGTGTGTGCTTATAAAGGGACAGCACAAAGGAGCTTTGTGGTTTTGGAACAGTTCTGTGTCTTGATTGTAGTGGTGGTTACATGAGTTTACACATATGAAAAAATTGCACAGAACTACAGAAACACACACACAAGCATGTAAAACTGGTGAAATCTAAATAAACTCTATGAATTGTACCAATGTCAATTTCCTGGTTTTGATATTGTACTATACTGCACTATATATTACTATATAATATTTAAGATGTTAACACTGTAGAAAATTCAGTGGAGGCACGAGACCTCTCTGTAATTTTTGAATGGAAAAAATTTTTTAAAGCAGCAGTATAAAATACTTTTCCATTAAACACAATTTCATTGTTTTGATAGAACTACATTTAACTGCAACTACTGCATCACATATTACTGTTGTATTGTCAAGCACTCAACAGGCACAAATGTCATTTCTGGTATTTCATATAATACATTGCCAAACCAGTCAGTGTCAACAGACTGATCCCAACATGATTTTTTTCTCCAGACTGATCCTATCACAGTTCTTTTCCTCCATGCACTAACATAACATTGTAATGTGTTTATTTGAATATTTTATGCATAGAGCGCAAGTTATGGTGATACCTACATAAATTGTAATAGGTAGTTGAACTGAAATACTCATTTTAATTATGATATTATTCTTTTTCTAGATTAAGAAAATATGTACAAATTTTTAAATTTAAAACAAAGCATACTATTGATACAGTCAAGTGAAGATGGAGAAGCTGGTGGTACCACTGAAAGAGCAAAGGTAAAAAAGACTAGAAGAAAGTATGTCACAAATTTCACAATCAATGGCAGCTGCAATTTGCTACAACAGGGCAAAACAAAAAAAGCTGCTTGCTTGTTGCATACAAAACATTTTTTTTCTTTTTTTTTTTTGAGATGAAGTTTTGCTCTTGTTGCCCAGGCTGGAGAGCAATGGCGCGATCTTGGCTCACTGCAACCTCCGCCTCCTGGGTTCAAGCGATTCTCCTTCCTCGGCCTCCCAAGTAACTGGGATTACAGGCGCCCGCCACCACGCCCAGCTAATTTTTGTATATTTAGTAGAGATGGGGTTTCACCATGTTGACCAGGCTGGTCTTGAACTTCTGACCTCAGGTGATCCACCTGCCTTGGCCTCCCAAAGTGCTGGGATTACAGGCATGAGCCACCGCGCCTGGCTACAAAACATTTTTTAAGACAATAAAGTGAACAATATTAAGGGACATTTTCAGCAAATACATTAGGAATTTGATGCTTCCTGTGAAAAAAGAATTGACAAAATTAGTCACCTGAAATTAGAATTAAATGTCCAATAAAAAGTGTGATTTTAACAGGACCTGAACTTCTAACTTTCACCCGCTATAAAATAACTTGGATTCTTGCACAAAAAAGAAAATCCTTTTTAAATGGGGAGATGGCAAAAGAAGTGATCTTGTTTTTTTTTTTAATTTTCTTAAAAATTACAAGGAAAGGATATATTTTTTAAAATGTAAAAGATTTTCAATGAAGCAACCACAGAATACTGTCCATAAAATACAATATCTTTCTAACAATATCAAAGATCAATTGATTCAATTTCTGGAAAACTGCAAATACTTTTTTTTTTTTTTTTAGTGTTTATTTTATGCACAAAGAGCCATCGTGGTTTTTTATTAGGTAGATGCCTTGGATAATCCTTTCAAGGAAGATCACTTAGTCCAACTTAATGAAACCAATATCCTTCGCATACTGACGGAGACACTGGAGGCACACATTGAGGCCATATTTCCAGATCAGACCATGCTGGCTTGAGCAGACACGACAAAAGCGAGAATCCTGGCTGAATTTTCACCAGTGGCTCCAGTACAGCTGCTGGTGACCTATCTTGCTCTCAGAAGTGCGATGAAATAAAAAGGCCAAATACTTTTCTTTAGCTTTAAATCATACTTTTGATACATTTTTTCCAAAGGGACTTCCAAATTTGCAAAGAAATATTATCAATTCACAGCCTAAAATATCAATCTCACTGCACAGTTGTTGTCTGTTTTCCACAGGTATTTTTAATCTTTCACATTTGTCAAAGAATTTCAGCAAGATATGAAAAAATTAATTTTTATTACAATGAATAGTGTTTTAGTTCTATGTTAGGGGAAAAAAATTCAGATTTATTGGAATTTTAAAACAAAAGGCTGGCTGGGCGCAGTGGCTCACGCCTGTAATCCCCGCACTTTGGGAGCCAAGGAGGGCAGATTACAAGGTCAAAAGTTCGAGACCAGTCTGACCAACATGGTGAAACCCCGACTCTACTAAAAATACAAAAATTAGCCGGACGTGGTGGCATGCACCTGTAATCCCAGCTACTCAGGAGGCTGAGGCAGAATTGCTTGAACCCAGGAAGTGGAGGTTGCAGTGAGCTGAGATTGTGCCACTGCACTCCAGCCTGGGCGACAGAGCGAGACTCCATCTCAAAAAAAAAAAAAGAGAAGACTAATGATTCCCTTATTGCTTCACTCCATCACGTGATAGATACCTGCATTCAGTTTTTTATCTGAAACATGCTCTATAAAAAGTTTAATGAACATTGTTAAAAGCATTCAGTTTGCATACATGCAAATACTATAAATTATTACTGGTTAATGGAACTGTTGAAAGAAACAGAAGACAATAAATATGAACTTATGTTCTTTGCCAATGCTCATTAGTTGAATCTGGAAGGGTTTTAGAAACATTTACTACATTGTTATCTTCAAGGCTTTGTTAAAACAAAAGAAATGCTTGCCAAATATTCAAATAATCAAAGATTAAAAAATGGCAAAAAACTTTTGTTTTCGTACTTACGTCACACTGCACATGAACAAGATGTGTGTGTGTGTGTGTGTGTGTGTATTTGCCAAATATATATACACACACAGCTGTTACGGACTGAATTGTGCCCCTGCCCAAATTTATACGTTGAAGCCCTAGCCCCCAATGTGACTAGATTTGGATATACAGGCATACTTCATTTTATTGTGTTTTGCTTTAATGTGCTTCACAGATACTGGTTTTTGGGGTTTTATTTTCAAATTGAAGATTTGTGGCAACCCTGCATTAAGCAAGTCTATGAGCACCATTTTGTCCAAGAGCATGTGCTCACTTCATATATCTGTGTCACATTTTGGCAATTCTCAGAGTATTTCAAACTTTTTCATGATCTGACATTACCATTGCAATTGTTTTGAGATGCCATGAACCACTCATGTAAGACAGTGAACTTAACAAATGTTGTGTGTGTTCTGACTACTCCACTAACCAGCCACCCCTTTCCCTCATACCCCGACCCTTTCCACTCATGTCTCTATCTCCTAGGGTTTCCCTATTCCCTGAGACACAATACTGAAATTAGACCAACTAATAACCCTACAATGGCTTATACGTGTTCAAGTGAAAGAGTCACACATCTCTCACTTTATATCAAAAGCTAGAAAAGATAAAACTCAGTGATGAAGGAATGTCAAAGGCTCAGAGAAGTCAAAAACTAGGCCTCTTGCACCAGTTAGCCAAGTTTTGAATTCAAAGGAAAAGACTGGGTTTTTTTAGTGTAAACATTACTTTTATTTACTTATGTATTTACCTTTACTTTTTTTTTAACTTTTATATTAAGTTCAGGCGTACATGTGCAGGTTTGTTATATAGGTAAACTTGTGTCACGGGGGTTTGTTGTATAGATTATTGCATCACCCAGGTATTAGGCCTAGTACCCATTAGTTATTTTTCCTGATCCTTGTCCTCCTCCCATCCCCCACCCTCCAATAGGCCCCAGTGTGTGTTGTCCCCAATATGTGTCATGTGTGTTCATCACTTAGCTCCCACTTATAAGTGAGGACATGCGGTATTTGGTTTTCTGTTCCTGAGTTGGTTGGAAAAGCTCTTGAAGGAAATGAAAAGTGTATTAAAAGTGTATTAGTGAACACATGGATTATAAAGTAAAACAACCTTATTTATGGAGAAAGTTTTGTTTTTTGTTTTGTTTTGTTTTTTTGAGATAAAATCTTGCTCTGTCACCCAGGCTGGAGTGCAATGGCATGATCTCAGCTCACTGCACCCTCCACCTCCTGGGTCCAAGCAATTCTCTCACCTCAGCCTCCTGAGCAGCTTGGATTACAGATGGGTGCCACCATGCCCAGCTAATTTTTGTATTTTAAGTAGAGACAGGGTTTCACCATGTTGGCCAGGCTGGTCTTGAACTCCTGACCTCAAGTGATCCATCTGCCCTGGCCTCCCAAAGTGCTGGAACTACAGGAGTGAGCCACTGTGCCTGGCAATTTATGGAGAAAGTTTGAGTGGTCTGTGTAGAAGCTCAAACCCACCATGACATTTTCTTAAAGCCAAAACCTAATCCAGAGCAAGGCCTTAACGCTCTTCAATTCTATGAAGGCTCAGAGAGGTGAGGAAGCTGCAGGAGAAAAGGCTGAAGCTAGCAGAGTTTGGTTCATGAGTTTGAAGAAAAGAAGCTGTCTCCATAATAGAAAAGCTCAAGGTGAAGCAGCAAGTGCCAATGGAAAAGCTACAGCAAGTTATCCAGCAGACCTAGCTAAGATAACCGACAAAGGTCTCTATACTAAACAATAGATTTTTAGTGTAGACAAAATAACCTTCTATTGGAAGAATATGCCATCTTGAACTTTTATTGCTAGACAGAAGTCAATACTTGGCTTCAAAGCTTCAAACGATAGGCTGACCCTCTTGTTAGGGACTAATGCTGCTGGTGACTTTAAGATGAAACCATGTTCATCAACCGTTCCAAAAATCCTAGCACCAGGCCGGGTGCGATGGCTCACACCTGTAATCCTAGCACTTTGGGAGGCCAAGGCAGGTGGACTTCTTGAGGCCAGGAGTTCAAGATCAGCCTGGGCAACATAGTGAAACCCCGTCTCTACTAAAATTACAAAAATTAGCTGGGCATGGTAGTGCAGGCCTGTAATCCCAGCTACTCAGGAGGCTGAGGCACGAGAATCGCTTGAACCCAGGAGGCAGAGGTTGCAGTGAGCCGAGATCATGCCACTATACTCCAGCCTGGGCAACAGAGTGCGACTCCATCTCAAAAAAATTCCCAGGACCCTTAAGGATTATGCTAAATCTACTCTGCTTGTGCTCTAGAGATAGGATAAAGCCTGGATGGCAACACATCTACAACAGCATGGTTTTTCAGGATATTTTTCAAAAACAGCATGTCTTATTTTCTTTTTTGAGACAGACTCTTGCTGTTACCCAGGAGTGCAGTAACGTGAACACAGCTCACTGCAGCCTCCAACTGGGCTCAATTGATCCTCCTGCCTCAGCTTACCAAGTAGCACATGCCACTATGCCTGGCTAATTTTTTATTTTTTTAGTAGAGGCCAGGTATCGCTATGTTACCCAGGCCAGGTATCACTATGTTACCCATAGCAATACCCAGGCAGGTATCGCTATGTTACCCAAATTCCTGGCCTCAAGCAATTCTCTTACCGTGGCCTTCCAAAGCTCTTGGATTACAGGTGTGAGCTACCATGCCCAGCCAATAGCATGGTTTACTGAATATTTTAAGGTCTCTGTTGAGACCTACTGCTCAGAAAAAAAGATTTCTTTCAAAATATTACTGCTTACTGGCAATGCACCTGGACGCCCAAGAACTCTGATGGAGATAAACAAGGAGATTAATATGTTTTGATGCCTGCTAACACCATCCATCTGTAGCCTATGAATCAAGGAGTGATTTTGACTTTCAAGTCTTATTATTCAAGAAATAAAATAGCTGCTACAGTGATTCCTCTGATGGATCTGAGCAAAATAAAATGAAAATCTTCTAGAAAGGATTCACCATTCTACATGTCATTAAAAGCATTCATGATTCATGGGAGGAGGTCAAAATAGCAAAATTAACAGGAGTTTGGAAGAAGTTGATTCCAACCCTCATGACTTTGAGGGGTTTAAGACTTCAGTTAAAGAAGGAACTGCCAATGTACTAGAAATGGCAAGAGAGCTAGAATCAGAAATAGAGCCTGAAGATATAACTAAATTGCTGCAATCTCATGATAAAACCCGAATGTATGATAAGTTGTTTCTAGTGGATGAACAAAGAAAGTGGTTTCTTGAGACAGAATCTACTGCTGGTGAAGATGCTGTGAACATTGTTTATATGACAACAAAGGATTTAGAACAGTCCATAAATTTAGTTGATAAAGCAGTGGCAGGGTGAGAAGACTGACTCCAATTTTGAAAAAAGTTCTACTAGGGGTAAAATGCTATCAAACAGCACTGCATGCTACTGAGAAATCTTTCATGAAGGGAAGTCAATTGATGAGGCAAGCTTCATTGTTGTCTTATTTTAAGAAATTGACGCAGCCATCCAACCTTCAGCAACCACCATCCTGATCAGTCAGCAGCCATCAACATTGAGGCAAGACCCTTCACCAACAAAAAGATTATGACTCACTGAAGGCTCAGATGATCGTTGGCACTTTTTAATAATAATATATTTTTAAATTAAGGTATGTACACTTTTTAGACATAATGCTATAGCACACTTAATAGACAACAGTACAGTGTAACTATAACTTTTATATGCACTGGGAAATAAAAAAATTTGTGGGACTCGCTTTATTGGGATACTTACTTTATTGCAGTGGTCTAAAACCAAACCCGCAATATCTCTGAGGTATGCTAGTAGTCCCTTTAAGGAGGTAATTAAGGTTACATGAGGTCATAAGGGTAGAGTCCTGATCCAATACAACTGGTGTCTTTATAAGAAGAGGAAGAGACAGGAGGATGCAAATGCACAGAGAAAAAGCCATGCAAAGACACATCAAGAAGGCCATCTGCAAGATAAGAGAGGCTTCAGGAAAAACCAAACCTGCCAATACCAGAAGAGCAATGAAGATCAGGAGAACTTAAAACTATGTCACTCAAAAAATAAAAATGTTTATACTGGTGATAAGATATAGGGGAAATAACAGCAACTGTAAAGAATTTGAAAATCCATCATCTGTAATAGGAATTAGACTCATTCTATATGGCTCCACACCATAGAAATAGCATCAATAAAGTAGACATTACAGGGTAGTATATTGTGACAAACTTTTAAAATAACTACCCTAAAGATTTAATTTGCAAAACTGGCATTTTCGTAGTACTATTTAAGAGTACAGGTAAGAAATGTGAGTTTTAAAAAACAAAACAAAACAAAAACCTGCCTGGTACTCAGAACTGCCCAGGGGCAGGATAAAATGCCTCAAGTTCTCTCTCACTAAAAGCATTCAGATTGGCTATCTGACCAATTGATGGAATATTATAGAGGAGATTCAGGCATCTGAGATATTTGGACCAAATCATCTCTCCAATTCCTTCTAATCTTTGGATGCTTTGTTTACAACTTAATTTATATCTAGTGAAAATAAAATTGTATTCCTCCCTAAGGGAAGGCTCTGGGAACAAGAAAAACTACCTTGGATTTCTGAAGTTTATGCAAGCCTTAGGATTTTTTTTTCTCTGCTCTCATCAAAACTATAGAAAAGTCCTTGCTTTACATATAGATTATTTATACATAAATATACAGTATATGACTGCCAGGAAGGCCCACAAACAGTAGGAGCATTTCTTTTTTACTTTAGCCACAGCAAGAATGGTTAGCCAGGCTATTCAATATGACAGCTGAGAAAAGCACATAGAAGGTAAATCAAATAGACTTAAAAAAAAAAAAAAGCAGTATTAAAACACAAGAGACTTCACTTTTAATGGTACAACAACCAAAAACATGATTTATGGAATACAGAAACTGGCTGTGTCTAGTGTGAATACACCAAGATCAACAGGCTGAAATAGAATTTATTTCCTATGTTAAACTAAGTTTGGTTATATCAGATTAATAGAGGTTTTAATGGAAATATGTAAAACAACACTTGGTTCATTTCTTCTTCTCCTATAATTAAAGCACGAGTTCCAATTTGTGACGGTACTGGGAGTCCAGTGAGAGAAGTGCATCCTAGAATTCAACTAAAATAATATCACAAATACAGAATCTGGGGTACCACTGATGGCCCTACTTGTCAATACAATGCAGAGAAGGAATGCAAAATAGGCAAAAAAACAAGAAGGCAACTCTTTTGCCCCTATGGCACAATTTACTTACTTTTCATCCTCCTTTCTCACACATTATAGGCATTTCTACTTTAAAATAATATTTACTTTTATAAACAATATTTAGTTTCCAAAATATAAAAGCACTGCCTTGGAGACACATACCTAGAAGCTGTTTCTGGAGCACTTCTAGTACCAGTCTGATCTTTGTAAAAACTTCAGATGGTGATGGATATTCCAAGTTAGTCATTATAGATTCAAAACGAATAATAACTATGTTAGGCTGGCTTTCTATCACAGCATGAAGGGATGGGCAAGATGCCAGCGGCCTAAGGATATACTTCAGCAGCATCTGACCTGAAAAATCATATGAACATTCATCAAAAAATCACCATAAGACACTTCTAGGCCAGGCACAGTGGCTTACATCTGTAATCCCAGCACTTTGGGAGGCCGAGGCAGGTGGATCATCTGAGGCCAGCCTGGCCAACATGGTGAGATCCCGTCTCTACTGAAAATACAAAAATTAGCTGGGCATGGTGGCAGGCACCTGTAAATCCCAGCTACTCGGGAGGCTGAGGCAGGAGAACTGCCTGAACCCAGGAGGCAGAGGTTGCAGTAAGCTGAGATCATGCCATTGCACTCCAGCCTGGGCGACAAAAGCGAAAACTCCATCTCAAAAAAAAACACTTCTAAAAAGTAAGCATGTCAAAAAAAAAATATGAATCTTTGAACCTAACAACCAAAATACATATACCATGACATTACACACCAACCATTATGCGGTGCAGGTTTTACCACTGAAGTTTCCCAGATTGTCTACAGATTTTTATTTAAATTATTCAAAAACCAAAAAAAAAAATAGGAACAGTTGAAAAAAAAAAAACCCAATCCCTTAATAAAAGGGATAATATTTAGGACAATTCTCTTTGATGAATCAAGAGGCCAGACCCTATACTAATACTCTGCAGAGAATATTTTATCATCTTTTCTGTCTTCCCTTTAATACTGGGCCTCAGGAGATTTTGTGTAAATGAAACAAAGTAGCATGCCTTACCAAATGATTTAAGCTTGCTGTGTAGTTCTCCAAGAACAGAAAATGCCAAGAGGACAGAACTGATGGGTGGCATAGGGGTCTTCTCCTCTTTGTGCGATTGTTCAGTGTATAAATGAAGTTCAGTTTGTAGGTAAGATTCCAAACTGCTGGTATCTAAGAAAAAGGAAGAAAAATATCAGCTGTCTCACCAATATGAGATGTTCCCACTTCTATTCCTCAGAGCTCATTCTCTGATATTTCCAATGCAGTTCTATTACAATATACTCCTAATGCAACCAAATATGAATTATGACATACATGTCCTTGGCATCACTTTAAAAAAGGAAATGACTTTTTGAGGTCAGGTGCAGGGGCTCATGTCTGTAATCCCAGCACTTTGGGAGGTCGAGGCGGGAGGATCACTTGAGCCCAGGAGTTCAAGACCAGCCTGGGCAACGTAGTGAGACGCTGTCTCTAACAAAAAATTTAAAAATTGGTCAGGCGTGGTAGCACGCACCTGTGGTCACAGCTACTGGGGGCAGGGTGGGAGAAGTAGTTGGGGCTGAGGCAGAAGGATCGCTTCAGCCTGGGAGTTTGAGACTGCAGTGAACTATGATTGAGCTACTGCACTCCAGCCTGGGCGACAGAGCGAGACCCTGTTTCAAAAAAAAAGAAAAATGAGGTCCTAGTTTCACAGACCTTCCTTTCTATGTTCTTTCTGCCAAACAAGTTTAACAAGTAGGGTGTGTTATAACAAATAATTCAACACACCTGCCCTCTTCTCTTAACTAATATTCTACTTGAGAACAGAATCTAAAATTTTCAGGATAACTCCCTTCAAATACCTGACACACATACACATATGCACATATGTGTCTATGTACACACATATGTATATAATGAATTTGTAGGCCAAAGTGGATATAGGAAAGGGAACAGGGGGAGAAAGTTTCTCTTGAAATACACTAAATTTCAAAATCCAGTGTTGGAAAATACACCAGGTACAATAGCATGTCCTTTAAATACAGCCTCTGAAGTTTTACTCTCAGGGCAAACAACACACCAAAGAGGGCTCATACCCAGAGGTAGGCAGAAAGGCTGACAGCCAAGTAGCATAAATCAAAGCCAGGGCAGAAGTAATCCTATTTCTTCACCTTGCAAAGCACTCCCTAGCTCATTATTTTCCCCAAGGACTGGAAAGAAATTGAGCAAGACCCCTCCTCTACCCACAAGCCTACTGATCCATCTTCTTTCCTAAGCAAGAGAGAGAATGGCTAGAGAGCTCCTTTACACTTTCTAGCCAAGATAAACTGCTAGGATTAGGGCTGTCAGGAACGGGCACGTCCTACAAGGCAATGGAAACTTAATGTGGTCGCAAATTGCTATCATCTCCTCTAGCACACTCTCACCACATGATCCCAACTACCCTAGCATCTTTTCTCACATTTCTAGGGAACAGGACAGCTAAGAGGGATGTAAGGGAAGCAAGGTGAGGGCACTTTAGGGACCCAGATGAGTTGGTCCTAAGAAAGCATCTTGCTAACATGAGTGCTCAATACAGACATGGAAGATTATGAATGAACCCTCATCTACTAATACAAAAATGTAGAATATATTCAGACACTACACTGGTTCAGGCAGATGAAGCAAAGCAGTCCACCTGAGGTCAGCAGCACCTTTTGATGGTGGGAACTTCCATACAATCAGCTTCTGCCACTCTTCTCCAAGGTGATAAAGTATGTTCTGTTTCTGTATTGTGAGCTCCATGCTGAGAGATTTCAATATTTTTAAATCAAAGCATTTTCTGGATTTTAATAACTTCAAGCATTTCTGTGCCTGGTAACGAAATGGAATCACTGTTAAACATTCCATCTGGACTCAGGGCAATTAGAATATATTTGCATAATGATAAAAAATACAAAATTTACTGAAAACAAGAAGAGCACTTATTGCGCATGCTTTGGGGAGAGCATTTAGTACCTCTTCCAGACGCTGAGCACCAGTGACATACTTCTTCTCTGTTAATGCACAATTATATTCTTCAATAGCAGTGGAAAACTGAAAAGTTAAGTATAATATTTTATACATCCTATTATTTCAAGTCTGTTTGCTTTTAAACATTAAGAAATGCTCCCACTTTCCCTCCCCCTCCCCCCTCTAAAAAAAAAAAAAGAAAGAAAAAAAAATATGAAGACAAAAAAACCCATTATAGTCAGGAGATAGCCATTGACTAATGAGACCTTCCCACCACCAAAACACTAAGGTTCAAGTTGAGTTTACTGACCTCCTGCAACTGTTTAAGCAAACTTAGGACAACTGAGTCTCTTTCCAACTGCTGCTTTAAGTCTGTAAATTCACCGGTTGATACGTGAAGATCCCGGCGGACCTAATTCACACATCAAAAACAAGTACTTTTAAGCTATACCATACCTAAGAAATAAAAAATTTAAAGCAAATCAATAAGCTTTACTAGGTCAACATAATTTATGTTGAAATTTAAATGCTAGTTAAGACTGGAATAAAAATCACAGAATGTAGTAGGAAGATACCTTAGAGGTCCAACTAGTCCAAACCCTTATCCTATTGCAAGAATACCCATTCCTCTCAACATAATATCCTCATGTCACCATCTATTCTTAATTTAAGCAGGTATCTTTCATCAGAGAGCTCACCCACCTGGATTACTAGAAAGGTATCCCCACTGCCAAGTGATAACTCATTCTAGAGTCAGACACCTCTATTAGGAATTTCTTTTTTTTAATTGAAACAGGGTCTCACTCTGTTGCCCAGGCTGAAGCGCAGTGGTGCAATCTCAGCTCACTGCAGCCTCAACTTCCCTAGAATCAAGCAATCCTCCCACCTTAGCCCTGCTGAGTAGCCAGAACTACAGGCACGCACCACCACACCTGTCTAATTTTTGTATTTTTTGATAGAGATGGAGTTCTGCCATGTTGTCCAGGCTGGTCTTGAACTCCTGGACTCAAGCGATCTGCCCACCTTGGCCTCCCAAAGTGCTGAGATTGTAGGCATGAGCCATGGCACCCTGTCAGAAAGATTTAATATTGAGGCAGAATCTACCTCTCATTCTGTCCCACCTTATCAATGACTTTACATGATCAATTATTCCCTCTCTCCTAAAATCTCCAATTAACCTCTCCCTAATTTATCTTCATTCATTTGTGAAATATATATTGACTGAATGCCTATAAGTGCATGGCTTATCCCATCAAATTTAAGTATGTTAAAATTTCTCCCATCTTTCAGAAAAAAATCCCTCCCCCTTACCAACCACCCTATTGCTCAGTAACTGTTTTATTTTTCTCCTCCCTCTCACAAACAGCTTCCTGAAATAGTGATCTATATCCATTGTCTTTACATTCTCAACTCTCATTCACTCTATACCTCACTGTGATCTGGTTCCTAACTGTTCTTGCCAAAAAACAAACAAACAAACAAACAAAAACACTAAACTCCTTGTTGCTAAATCCAAAGCAAATATTACTAGTACAGTCGTGTGTCACTAACAATGGGGACGCATTCTAAGAAATGCAGTTAGGTGATTTTGATGTCATGCAAACATCACAGAGTGTACTTACAGGAACCCAAATGGTATGTCCTACTATGTACCTAGGCTATATAAAACTATTGCTCTTAGGCTATAAACCCATACAGCATGTTACTGTACCATTTACACAATGGTAAATATTTGTGTATCTAAACACAGAAAACATACAGTAAAAATACAGCATAAAAATGGTACACCTGTATAGGGCACTTACCATGAATGTAAGTTGCAGGACTAGAAGTTGCTCTGGGTGAGTCAGTGGGTGAGTGGTGAGTGAATGTGAAGGCCTAGGACATTAGTGTACTCTACAGCAGACTTTATAAACACTATACATTTAGGTAACACTAAATTTATTTTTAAAAATTTTCTTTCTTCATAATAAATTAACATTAGCTTACTGTAACATTTTTACCTTATAAACTTATTAACTTTTTTTTTTTTTGAGGAGTCTCACTCTGTCACCCAGCTGGAGTGCAGTGGCACAATCTCGGCTCACTGCAACCTCCACCTCCCAGGTTCAAGCAATTCTCCTGCCTCAGCCACCCAGGTAGCTGGGATTACAGGCACCCACTACCATGCCCAGCTAATTTTTGTATTTTCAGTAGAGATGGGGTTTTATCATGTTGGCCAGGCTGGTCTCGAACTCCTGACCTCAAGTGATCTGCCTGCCTCAGCCTCCCAAAGTGCTGGGATTACAGGTGTAAGCCACTGCACCCAGCTAAACTTTTTAACTCTTGCAATAACACAGCTTAAAACGCAAACACACTATACGCTGTAGAAAAGTATTTTGTGTGTGTTTTTATTTCTTCTAAAAAAAATGGGATACATGTGCAGAACACGCAGGTTTGTTACACAGGTATACATGTGCCATGGTGGTTTGCTGCACCTATTAACCCATCCTCTTAAGTTCCCTCCCCTCACCCCTCGTCCCCCACCAGGCCCTGGTGTGTGTTGTTCCCCTCTTTGTGTCCATGCGTTCTCATTGTTCAACTCCCACTTATGACTGAGAACATGTGGTGTTTAGTTTTCTACTCCTGTGTTAGTTTGCTGAGGATGGTGGCTTCCAGCTTCATCCATATCCCTACAAAGGACATGCTCTCATTCCTTTTTATGGCTGCATAGTATTCCATGGTGTATATGTACCACATTTTCTTTATCCAGTCTGTCATTGATGGGCATTTCGGTTGGTTCCATGTCTTTGCTATTGTAAACAGTGCTGCAATAAACATATGTGTGCATGTGTCTTTATAGCAGAATCATTTATATTCCCTTGGGTATATACCCAGTAATGGGACTGCTGGGTCAAATGGTATTTTTGGTTCTAGATCCTTGAGGAATCACCATACTGTCTTCCACAACAGTTGAACTAATTTACATTCCCACCAACAGTGTAAAAACGTTCCTATTTCTCCACATCCTCTCCAGCATCTATTGTTTCCTGACTTTTTAATAATCGCCATTCTGACTTGCGTGAGATGGTATCTCATTGTGGTTTTGATTTGCATTTCTCTGATTCAGTGATGTTGAGCCTTTTTTCATGTTTGTAGGCCGCATAAATGTCTTCTTTTGAGAAGTGTCTGTTAATATCCTTTGCCCACTTTTTGATGGGGTTGCTTTTTTCTTATAAATATGTTTAAGTTCCTTGTAAATTCTGGATATTAGACCTTTGTCACATGGGTAGATTGCAAAAATTTTCTCCCATTCTGTAGATTGCCTGTTCACTCTGATGATGGTTTCTTTTACTATGCAGAAGCTTTTTAGTTTAATTAGATCCCATTTGTCAATTTTGGCTTTTATTGCAGTTGCTTTTGGCATGTTTGTCAGGAAGTCCTTGCCCATGCCTATGTCCTGAATGGAATTGCCCAGGTTTTCTTCTAGGGTTTTTATGGTTTTGGATTTTACATTTAAGTCCTTAAGCCATCTTGAGTTAATTTTTGTGTAAGGTGTAAGGAAGGGGTCCAGTTTCAGTTTTCTGCATATGGCTAACCAGTTTTCTCAGCACCATTTTACTGAATAGCAGATCCTTTCCCCATTGCTTGTTTTTGTCAGGTTTGTCAAAGATCAGATGGTTGTAGACGTGTGGTGTTATTTCTGAGGCCTCTGTTCTGCTCCATTGGTCTATATGTCTGTTTTGGTACCAGTACCATGCTGTTTTGGTTACTGTAGGCTTGCAGTGTAGTTTGAAGTCAGGTAGTGTGATGACCCCAGCTTTGTTCTTTTTGTTTAGGATTGTCTTGGCTATATGGGTCTTCTTTGATTCCATATGAAATTAAAACAGTTTTTTCTAATTCTGTGAGGAATGTCAATGGTAGTTTGATGTGACAGCATTGAATCTATAAATTGCTTATGGCCATTTTCATGATACTGATTCTTCCTATCCATGAGAATGGAATGTTTTTCCATTTGTTTGTGTCCTCTATTATTTCCTTGAGTAGTGGTTTGTAGTAAAAATATTTTATTTAAATTCATCTTCTATAAGCTTTTTTCTATTTTTAAATTTTTTGTTTTAACTTTGTAAACTTTCCTGTTAAAAACTAAGACACAAACACACACATTAGCCTAGCCCTACAAAGTCAAGATTACCAATAGGTGATAGGAACTTTTCAGCTCTACTATAATCTCACAGGACCACACTTGTATATGTGGTCTGTGGTCGACTGAAATGTATTTAACAGTACTGTGTTAACTTTCCTTCCTTCTGAAACATTCTTTTCCCTTAGTTCCATGAAACTATTCTCTACTGATTTTCCTCTTAGTTCTCTAGCCCTTCCTTTTTCACTCTTTTGGGAGCTTCATTTTCTGACCACTCCGTATATATTGATACTCCTTTCTTCCTGATTGTCTTACTCCAAACCAGTGGTTTTTAACAGGAAGTGATTTTGCCCCAACCTCAACCAGGGACATCTGGCAATGTCTGAAGACATTGGCTGTCACTGGTTTGCACCATGAGAGAGTTCTATTCACATCTAGTGAACAGAGGCCAGGGATACTGCTAACACAATACAATGTACAGGACAGACCTCTACAACAAAGAATTATCCAGCCCAAAACATCAATAGTGACAAGGGTGAGAAACCCTGCTTTATATACTCTTTCTGGGCAATCTTGTCCATTCCCATGGCTTCAATTACTAAGTGCTGCTATCTCGAGTCCACATTATTTTCCTCACGTCCAAACATGTATATGGGTAAGATGATGTGGAAACTGTCCACTAAAATCCATTCTCCTTCTTTCCATATTAATAGCACCCAACTAGATTATATATTTTAGCCTCCTTCACAGTTGGGTGAGACCATGTCTAAGATCCTACCAATGGAATGTAAACAGAAGTAATGTGTACCACTTCCAACTCTGAGTCTTAAGAAAATAGACGTGCCCCCTACATGCCCTCTCTTTTCCCTTTATCTCCAGCTATAACCTGGATACCAAAAGAGACCAGATTGAATCACATAAATAATGACAAAACCCTAAGAGCAATACTTCTCAAACTGTAATGCATATACATATCACTCAGTGACTCTCAGTAAAATGCAGATTCTGATTCACTGGGTCTGGATTGAGGCCTGAGATCCTGCATTTCTAATAAGCTATCAGGTACTGCCAAAGCTGCTGCTCTACAGACTTTTGGAAGACAATTCTCTAGAGGTCTCTCACATTTCTGCACTATCTTACAAGTAAGGCAATTACTGTCTTTAGTTCTGGGCTATCTTTTCAAGAATGTCTATATAGTAAACAGCCTTGGAAGACAGAGATGGTGTCTCCCTCCAAAGCAAAAGGGAGGTATGCTTGCTACCCATTAAAAAGAGTCGGGTTCCTTAAAGTCAGGAGTCCTTTTCTATTAATATAAAGCAATCTACTGCACAATGTCCTACAGGGAGCAGGACTGGGCAACTGATGCAAAAATGCTGATACTCTGGCTACTGCTGTAAGTAATAAACTGTCCTTCATCTCTCACCAAGGAGACTCACGTCTTCTACAAATCCATGAAACTTTCCAGGCACGGTGACTCAAGCCTGTAATCCCAGCACTTTGGGAGGCTGAGGAAGAAGAATCACTTAAACCCAGAAGTTCGAGACCAGCCTGGGCAACATTGTGAGACCCTGTCCCTACCAAAAAATTTAGCTGGGCATGATGGCTTATACCTGTAGTCTCAGCTACCCAGGAGGGTGAGGTGAGAGAATCAAATGAGCTCAGGAGGTTGAGGCTGCAGTGAGCCTTGACTGTGCCACCCCACTCCAGCCTAGGCAACAGAGTGAAACCGTCTCAAAAAAATAAAAAATAAGAATTTTTAGGCTGGGCGCGGTGGCTCACGCCTGTAATCCCAGCACTTTGGGAGGCCGAGGCGGGTGGATCACGAGGTCAGGAGATCGAGACCATCCTGGCTAACATGGTAAAACCCCGTCTCTACTAAAAAATATTTTTAAAAATTAGCCAGGTGTGGTGGCGGGTGCCTATAGTCCCAGCTACTCGGGAGGCTGAGGCAGGAGAATGGCCTGAACCCGGGAGGCAGAGCTTGCAGTGAGCCGAGATCGTGCCATTGTACTTCAGCCTGGGTGACAGAGCGAGACTCCATCTCAAAAAAAAAAAAAAAAAAAAAAAAATTAATTTTTAAAAATTAAAAAAAAAAAAATCCATGAGGCTGGGTATAGTGGCTCACGCCCGTAATCCCAGCACTTTGGGAGGCAGAGGTGGGTGGATCACTTGAGGCCAGGAGTTTGAGACTAGTCTGGCCAACATGGTGAAACCCTGTCTCTACTAAAAATACAAAAATTAGCCAGGCATGGTGGCACACGCCTGTAATCCCAGCTACTTGCGAGGCTGAGGCAGGAGAATTGCTTGAACCCAGGAGGCAGAGGTTGTGGTGAGCCTAGATCGCACCACACACTTCAGCCTGGGCAACAGAGTAAGAATCTGTCTCAAAAAAAATTTTTTTAAAGAATCCATGAAACTTTAGCAGGCTAACTTACCGACTTTCAAGCAAGTTAAAATCCTAGATCCCCTTCAATTCTTGACACAGACTATACTAGAATAGCTGGGCCTTAGATTGTGGAATCAGCCTGCTTACCAAACTACGATGATTAAAAAAAAAAAAAAAAGGATCTTGTTTGAGCCACTGCATTTCAAGGTATCTCTTTTTATTTATTTTTTTTTACAACAGTCTAGCCTTCACCTTAATATAATCCAATTGCCTGTGAAACTCCATTTGATACCCCATAGGCACCTTAAATTTAAATTCCTCAAATCTCTCACAAAAACCTGCTTTCTCTAGATTCTCTGTCAGTGAATGGAATGAAACCATGAGCTAGTTCCCCAGTTATCCCTGACTCCTACATTCTTCACTCCCCACATCAACAAGTTCCAAATATCCTCTCTGAAATGTCACTAGGATCCATCAATTTTTCTCCATTCCCACTGCCACTGACTTTAGAGAAAGTCACTACCCTTTTTTTTCCTCGATTATTTTAACTGCCTCTGAACATTTTAACTGCCTTCTCATATCCTGGACTCATTTCCCTCAAGTTCTTTCTTCAAACTGCAAGCAGAATAGGATTCCGGAAATTCAAATCTGATGTCACTCTCTTGCTTAAAAACCTCTATGGGTTCCACAGGGCCATCAAGATAACGTCCACACTCTTTATCATGTTACTACTAACCTGATATGCAAGGCCCTTGCTTACCTTTCTAATTTCATCTTATGTCCCTTCCCACCAAAATCCCACATTTGTCTTATGGAATACTTGTAGCTCCCCAACAGTGACATCTCTCTATTACCTCCATGCCTCTGCCTACCTAAAACTTATGGCTACTTACAACACTCTTCCTTCCCCTGTTGCCTATCACTTCCCGTCTTGGTTTGGATGCCATTTCCTATAGGAAGCCATCCTTAGCTATATCTCCTCTCTCTAACTGTATTACTCCTATTTATTGCTGTGGCACACTATTACCAGGCACGAGATTCACACCTTGAAATAAAAAACATTCTTATTCAGCAACTATTACACTGCCTGGCACCTTTTAAGTGCAGAATAAATATACCAAATGCCTGAATAAACTTCTAACATACACCTATTGAAAAAATTCTCTATTATGAACCATAAATTTGAATATTTCTCCCATATGACAGAGCTTCAAATATTGAAAATGTTTCTTCCCAAGGCTAAACATCCTCAGTTTATTTCACAGTTCTTCAAATGGTACAGTGTTCAGGGCTAAACCTTCTCATCCAGACCAGCCATCTTTCAAAATAACAACAACCAAAACTAAATAAATTTCAACAGCCAGGGTGTGGCCAGTAAAAGGTACAGAGAGCCAATTACTGTCTTGTTCCAGACACTTCATTTCTAATAGCACAGTCTAATGTTACACTATTGATATTGACTCCCTAATCAATCAACTAATTACAAATGCACTCTGGGGATATTTTTTGAACTGTGCCAGAGGTGCAAAGTAACAGATTGATCCACTCACTTTGGCCACCACAAAGTGCTGGGATTACAGGCATGATGCACCGGGCCTGGTCAAATTTTCTTCCATAAAAAATAAGTTATTTAAATTGCACTTTTGGAAATACTTCTATTTCAGAATTGAAGTCACCCTACAATCATTTAGTTCAATCTCCATTTACCAATCAGAAAAGTGAGGGTTTAAAAAGTTGTACACAATTAAGCTGTCTTAGCAATCAGGAAGCTGAACCACCTCCCTACAAACCTACCCAATATAACAAATTATCCTTACCTCACTCTCTATCCTGGATTTCAGCAGGTCAATGTCTTCAGATAGCTTATCCACCTGGGTAATCAGGCCCTGCGCGCTCTGCATGCTAGGCAGGAATTCACTGTACTTCTTGCTAATCATATTGCACACCTCACCCTAAAATATAAAACAGAATTATATTAAAAGACAGTGAAATGAGTAGAGAACTCTAATAAGAATATATTCATCTTCCACAAGGCATTTTCCATGTTAGAACCTTCTTGCCAATTGCCTATACCCATTCACTTTCCCTCCAAGCCAATGAGTTTATTTCAAAAACACATTTCTCCCACCATGAGGGGTCTCATAACATTATTAGGGTGAAAGAAGACAACAATATCAAACATCACTATGTACTCCAAGAGTATATACAACTATTACTGGTCGATTAAAAAATTAAAAAAAAAAAAGGAAGACAATGATCACCAAACCCCAACGGCGCCCAAGACTTGTACAAATGCTGGAAAAGAGAAAAGGTGGAGCCAGAAGTTCTCATATTGAACTATATCAGACTGTGGTCACCAATTTTAATCATAAATCTAATAGAAAATAAATGGATAAATTAAATCCATAATCTGTATATCTCAATCAATTTCTATTTTCTTGCCTATAATATTTTATGGCCTGATCTTAAAACCCTACATTGATTTGACTTTCATCATCTCCTTTAATACAAAGTAACTTAAACAAAGTACTGAATACTGTGTATTGAATTATTTAATACCTTGAAAGATACAAGGATAAATTATGGGTCCTTCTCTGGGGTGGTCGTGCAGGCAGTAGATGCGGGAAGCCGGACTCCAGGCATCATGTACTACAAATTTAGTGGCTTCACGTTTGAGTTGGTGGGAGCATGGACTTCAGAGGCCTATAGCCCATAAGGATTAATGCCTGTGGTTTCCACAGAAGCACCACCTATCATATTTGCCATACCAACTAAGCTGACTTCTGATTCCACTGCATATAATTTTGCTAGGAAAAACAAAGTTCCAGAGCTGCAGAAGTTTCTCCAGAAAGCTGATGATGTGCCCATCCACCTGAAATGAGGCTTCCCTGACCAAATGCTATACTGGACCACCATGGTGCTGACTGTGGGTGGGATACTGCCTGATCACCCTCTACATGGCTTCACAGCCCCAAAACAAATGAGTTAGCACCAAAACAAATGAGGACTGGTTTGCTTTTTGGCATAAACCTTTTGAATTTTCTTTTTCATTGTTTCTGTTAAATTTCTTTTTTTTTTTTTTTTTTTTTTTGAGATGGAGTCTCGCTCTGTCATCCAGGCTGGAATGCGGTGGTGGAATCTTGGCTCACTGCAACCTCCACCTCCCGGGTACAAGCGATTCTCCTGCCTCAGCCTCCCAAGTAGCTGGGACTACAGGCATGCGCCACCACGCCCAGCTAATTTTTGTATTTTTAGTAGAGACAGGGTTTCACCATGTTGGCCAGGCTGGTCTCGAACTCCTGACCTCAGGTGATCCGCCCACCTCGGCCTCCAAAACTGCTGGGATTATAGGTGTGAGCCATAGTGCCCAGCCTAATTTTTTTTTTTTTTTTTTTACTTGGATGATACATGTTTGCAAGAAAAACAGATATGAAGACAGTATTTTGGCTTGCTTATGAGATGCATATGGCTTGTCAGAGCTCATTCAACAGTTAAAGCCATTGTTTAAAGAAATGATGCATCCCGGCATTGTGGCTCACACCTGTAATCCCAGCACTTTGGGAAGCCAAGGCAGGTGGATCACTTGAGGTCAGGAGTTCAAGAATAGCCTGGCCAACATGGTGAAAACCCATCTCTACTAAAATACAAATAAATTAGCCGGTCGCGGTGGTGGGCGCCTGTAGTCCCAGCTACTTGGGAGGCTGAGGCAGGAGAATCACTTGAACCTAGAAGGCAGAGATTGCAGTGAGCCAATAACTCGCCACTGCATTCCAGCCTGGGCGACAGGGCGAGAGAGACTCTACCTCAAAAAAGAAAAAAAAAAAAAAAGAAATGATGCTGCACTCTGTGTTTGTGCTCCTGATTTCCCTGCAGGTTCTAGATGAAGGTTGCACGTTGCACACAGGCTCATTAACGTCAGTCTGTACTTCCTCAAGTCGGGGACTTGAGGATGCTATTTTTTTTTTTTTTTTTTTTGAGACAGAGTCTCACTCCGTCGCCCAGGCTGGACTGCAGTGGTGGAGCAATCTCACCTCACTGCAATTTCCACTTCCCGGGTTCAAGCGATTCTTCTGCCTCAGCCTCCAGAGTAGCTGGGATTACAGGCGCCCACCACCACACCCGGCTAATTTGTGTATTTTTAGTAGAGAAGAAGTTTCACCATGTTGGCCAGGCTGATCTGGAGCTCCTGACCTCAGGTTATCTACCCACCTTGGCCTCCCAAAGTGCTGGGATTACAGGCGTGAGCCACCGCACCTGGCTGAGGTTGCGTTTTGAGCATAGGGTACAGAAGCCTTTCTGGATTTGGATGTGGCTGAGGAAAGAAGACAGAAGCCAAGGCCATGCACATAAAATGAGGGGTTTGAGTTAGTACTTACCTGGGCTGGAGTGGGGGCAGGGGGTCCATCTTACAGTAAAATCTTAAAAGAAATTATTTTTAGCCTGTCTCTATTCCTTGGGTGGTTCATTTCAAAGGGTTATTTGCCTCATTCCATATCTTCAGTGAAATCTTACGTGTAATTGTGTGTATGTATTCCACCATGGGAAGAGAGAACACCTGTTTAGTGTTGCACTTTAGACTGGTGTCTTGTTTTGTTAATGCAGCTGTGCCACAAATTCTCCTTTATCTTTTAAAAATGTGATGGCTTTAAATTGATTTTGTTTTTCTTTTTGAGATGGAGTCTCACTCCGTCCCTCGGGCTGGAACGCAGTGGCACAATCTCGGCTCACTGCAACCTCAACCTCCCAGGTTCAAACGATCCTCCTGCCTCAGCCTCCAGAGTAGCTGGGGATTACAGGCGCACACCACCACGCCTGGCTAATTTTGTTAAATTATTATTTTGACAGAGGAATAAATACATGAATTAAAAAAAAGAACAAATTATGCTTGCCCTCAAATTCCTACGTAGTAAAGATACTATATACTTGAGCAACAAGAATACAGGACTGAAATGTAATACAGCAACAAAGTTACAAAGCCTTCCAGGAGCACAAATGAGAAAGAGATCCCCTCTCCCTGAGGGAAGATAAAGATTTTTTTTTATGCAGGAGACATTTGAAATGGAACTTGAAAAATGGGTTTGAAAAATACTACAGGTAAAGATGGAAAAATGGCAACATAAGCAAAATATGGGATTAAAAAAGGGAGGGAGAGCAGAGAAAGTAATTCTCAATTGGCTGAAGATTCAAGTTGGTAAAGGAAACTAGTGAAAGCAAAGAAAGGCATGTTGGGTCCAGAACACGCAGGAGCTAGGGTCGCTTGCCATGCTAGAGTAACTTAAAAACCTGTCCTCTTTCCATCACATTAAACAGTGGTGAAAAATCCGAAAGCCATATTAAAGAAGAGATGTCAGGGATATGACTACTTAAAATTCAGGAAACTACTTTTGTAAAATCAAGAGCTGTTAGGAAGGGTTATACCTGTGCCCTTATGGTGTGTGGCAAACTTGCTCCCTCGAAACCCTACTTGACTCAGATACACAAAATTTTAAATGAAAGCAACTGAAGATGTGGACAAATACTGGCAAGGTAACAATATCAGTACAAAGCAAAACTGTGTGTGGCTACGTGCTTCCAGTTTTTGTATCAATCTCAAGGCAGCAACGTTTACGTAGGTACCAATGACACTCAGCACAGCTTCATGTGCTTGTAGATGAAGTTTTAAAACCACATTAAGAGGCCGGAGACGGTGGCTTACACCTGTAATCCCAGCACTTTGGGAGGCCGAGGCGGGTGGATCACCTGAGGTCAAGAGTTCGAGACCAGTCTGGCCAACATGGTGAAACTCCGTCTGTACTAAAAATACAAAAAAAAAAAAAAAAAAATTAGCCAGGCGTGGTGGCACGCGCCTGTAATCTCAGCTACTCGGGAGGCTGAGGCAGGAGAATCGCTTGAACCCGGGAGGCAGAGGTCGCGGTGAGCCGAGATCACTCCAGCCTGGGCGACAGAGCAAGACTCCATCTCAAAAGATAGATAGATACATAAAAATAAAAACATACTGAGGGTTTGGGTTTGTTTTTTTTTTAATGTCGGGGAGGAGAAAGGTGCAATCCTCCAGGCTATTTTATTCATCAACAAATCAAGGAGTGGGTGGAGGAAATAAACACTCATCGATGGAAGAAGGGGAAGGGGGATCCTGTCTTTTCTATTCCTCTCCTGCGCTCGCTCCCTAGCTTCCTCGGAGCTTCCAGTTGCTCCTCCCGCTCTGCTGGTCTCTTCAGTCTCCCTCTTCCCGCGGCACACCCCTCCCCAACATAACTCCACTCTCCAGTGCTCTCCAGCCACCGCCTGTTCGTCCCCACAGTCCCAGGTCTCCTCGCCTCCTCAGTTCCCAACCCCTGTGTGGGCTCCCCTCCAAGATCCCTCCTCAATCCACACATTCTGGGCCCCTCCACTCCTCATTCAGCCCCCACAACTAGATCTCCCCAACAGGCCCCACTCTGCTGGTCCCCACTCTGTCTGCCCTTAGCCCCTGACTCCTCTCTCCAGTCCCTTCACACAAGGACCCGGAGTCCCCTTCCAGTCAGCAGACAGCTGCCCCGCTCTCACCTTGATCTCCTCCACCCGCCGGGTCAGGCGGCTGATCCGGGTCCCCAGATCCTCCTTTTCCAGCCTCCCGGAGTGTGCCAAAACTTCTGTCACGAACGAGGCCATGGCCAAGACGGGAACCAACGCTGACTGGGTCACTCTCGTAGCCAGCGCCGCAGCTCCCGTCCCGCCGGCCGTCTTGACGCGAGGCCTGCCGGGAAACGGAGTCTCGCGGGCCTCAGACCGCCGCCCGGAAGGCGAGGGGCGCACTACAACTCCCAGCAGGCACCGCGCCAATCCCGAGATGGGATTTCCACGGTGTCCCGTAGTTGGCAAACTGTAAGCAGACGCGTTTTCTTCCTTAGTTGTTTTCAAAGTTCGTTGCTTCCCGCCCGTTTTTCACTGGAGGAAATTAAACGTTTTTAATAACCAGGTCTAACTGAACCTTTCTAAACTTCAAAAGGCTTACTTGTAAAATTATCTAACTGAAAGAGCCAACGAGCCCATCTCGATCTTTTTTCCTCAACTTTTATTGGGCCGCTGTGGCACCAGAATCTACGAATGGCGCCCTCTAGAGTTGTGTAAAGAAGTGGCGTCACCTCATTATAAATAAAAGGTTGCTTATAATTGCATCTATGTACATATATTACATCTACGTGATACATTACACATTTACATTACCTACATTACATATTTATATTACTTAGATATACATAATATTAGTCCTGTGTGAACAAGATACTTAGTACTTTCTGTCATATTATAAATATATAAATGTGTCAAAAGCTTTTAAAAATGGTTTCATTATTTTAATGCATTGCATACAGAAAGATGTTCACAATATTCTATGTATACTATGATTCCTTTTTAAAAACTTAAGTGTATAACCATTGGTCAGAAAACAAAAAGTATGTAAGTATGTATGTAAAGGACAGACATCAAATTATCCTATGGGTGGTGGATTTATGGTATTTATTCTCTTCTCTGCCCTTGCTTTCTCTATTTTTCTGCAGTAAACATACACAGTCCTCCCTTGGTATGGGGGGATTGGTTCCAGAAACCTCCCCTGCCCCAGTAGCAAAATCCGTGGATGCTCAAGTCTCTTACATAAAATGATGTAATGTTTACAAGTAACCAGCACACATCCTCCCCATACACTTTAAATCATCTCTTGATTACTTATAAGACCTAATACAAATCAATCTAAATGCTATAGAGTCGTTATATTGTATTTTGATTTGCATTATTTTTTGTTGTTGTATTGTTATTTTTTATTAGTTTTTTCCAGAATATTTTTGATCTGTGGTTGGTTGGATCCGTGGATACCAAGAGCCAGATGTACTGTTTTGATTAAAAGGTTTTTGGTTTTTTAAAAAGATATATTGTGAGGGTTGACCCCAAGTAGGCACTGACTCTAAGATCCCTGACAATTGTTAAGTGTCTTTGAGACAATCTGCTTATCCCAGTGAAGCAAGGGCCAATTCACATGCCATGAGCAAAGGAAACAAAACTGGGATTGAGAGAGGAAGCACTGAAAACAGCCAAAACATCCTGAGAAACTCCCTTCCTTGGAAAACCAAATCAATTTCTTTTTGGTAGACCTGTCAACTTTGAATTCTAACTGCAACTAATAATAAATGCCCAATGACAAAGAATGACTGATAGATGAAAATTCTGAAACTTTGTACTGCATATTTATTAAGCAATTATCACATAGCAGACATTGTGCTAGGTCTGGGGACCCACAACATGTGAATATATAATCACAGAAAAATATGATAATTACTAATTTGTAGGTAGATGAGGGATGGATCTAGATTTAGTGGAACTTAAATCTTATACAGTTGCAGGGAGGGGAAGGACTCTTTAAAGAAAAGAATATAAAATAATGAATACAAAATTAGATGTCAGCCTTAGAAGGGGCTTGTGCAAGTAATGAGCTGTGAAGTTTAATCTGCCCCTGAGGAAGATGCAAATGGCAGAGGAAATATTGGAGGAAGAGCACCCAGTCTCTGACTGAATTAGAAAGGTTTCACAATGTTAACATTTACAGGAGGCCATCACTTTGGACTGAGTTCCTGCACTAAGCCCAACAGACCAAACCAAAATGGAGTCACTCATGCTAAAGCTCTACTTCGCCAAACCAAAACTAAGCTGTCTGTCTGACCTTCTGAGAAATCAGGAGAATGAGAGATAATCACCAAATTCCCAAACCTGCCAGTTTCAGTCTTCATGATAACGAAGTTCCCTCTGTTTTAATTCTTACAAAAAAGTACCTGAACTAAACTGATGCCAATCAATCAGTTATTTTTCTATTGTTCTGTTTCTCAGTTCCCACCTTACCAGGAAATTAAATTTGAAACAGCCAATCTGCTTTTTGTTCTTTGTGTCTCCTTTCTTCAGCCTTTTTCTTTCTATAAAACCAACCTCATCTGTTCAGCTCATCGGGACACTGATTCTACTTTATGGAATGAAGTGTTGCCTGATTCTAGAATCACAAATAAAGTGAATTAAGATCTTTAAACTAAACTCGTTGTAATTTTGTCTTTTGACAACGGTAATGAGAAATCTGAAGTGAGAATGAAAGGAAGTGCTACTTTGAGGTTGAGGTTCTGGGACCTCCCTCCAGAAAACCTGTGTGTACAGACCCACAAAACACAACTGCCTAAGTTCTTGCTTCTTCCTGAGCAGAGAGACTACTGGGTAAGGTGAAGACTGTTCCTCAAGGTCCAAGGAAAAGTCAGGGAAGAGCCAGAGTTAGGCTGAGAAAGGAGAAGAAAGAGCGTGCAGCATGGAATGTGATGGCTACACACAGTCAATGCATGCAGCAATGAATGAATACTTGAATTTAAAAAAAGAAATTAATAAATGCATGTGTTCTGTATTCCCTCATTAACCTCACCTTCTTCATAGTTCACATTTATCATGGCTTATATGTCTCCCAATTCACAGATGTTCATAAATCATCAGGAAAAGGCAAGGAAGTCAGGAGCAAAGTCTGAAAGGATTCCTCCTGGCCTATCATGGCTCACATACACATGACATACCTGTATTCAAGAAGCAAAGTAGCGAATGCATATTTCTGGTAGAGGACAGTACAATCAGACAGCGTTTCCACGTTTGCACAGTATTTGCCATCATGTTGCTATAAAAGCAGCATAAGGCGCTTAAAATTTGAAAAAGCAACCCATTTGCTTCAAAATAGTATGAAAGGGAAGGGCTGGGTGCAGGTAGAAATGAAGCAAGATTGGGATGAGTGGATAATTTTTGAAGTGAAATGATGCAATATGGGATTTCTTTATACAATTCATTCTACTTTTGTATATGTTTGAAGTTTTCTGTAATAAAACATAAAAGAGAAAAGAGCACTTCAGATGATTCTGTGTGCCTTCCTCCAAACCCTCACACCACGGATAAACACTGGTATACCAGATGTCTTAGGTGTTGAGCCATCAGTTAGATAAACTCAAGATCCTCCTTTCTCAGGAGATGTCTCTTCTGTAGGCAAAAGAAAGGGAGATCAGACTGTTACTGTGTCTATGTAGAAAGGAAAGACATAAGAGACTCCATTTTGAAAAAGACCTCTACTTTAAATAATTGCTTTGCTGAGATGTTAATTTGTAGCTTTGCCCCAGCCACTTTGACCCAACCACTTTGATCCAATCTGGAGCTCACAAAAACATGTGTTGTATGAAATCAAGGTTTAAGGGATCTAGGGCTGTGCAGGACATACCTTGTTAACAAAATGTTTACAAGCAGTATACTTGGTAAAAGTCATCGCCATTCTCTAGTCTCAATAAACCAGGGACACAATGCACTGTGGAAAGCCGCAGGGACCCCTGCCCTTGAAAGCGGGGTATTGTCCAAGGTTTCTCCCCATGTGATAGTCTGAAATATGGCCTCATGGGATGAGAAAGATCTGACCGTCACCCTGCCCGACACCCGTAAAGGGTCTGTGCTGAGGTGGATTAGTAAAAGAGGAAAGCCTCTTGCAGTTGAGATAGGGGAAGGCCACTGTCTCCTGCCTGCCCCTGGGAACTGAATGTCTCGGTATAAAACCCAATTGTACATTTGTTCAATTCTGAGATAGGAGAAAAACCACCCTATGGTGGGAAGCCAGACATGTTTGCAGCAATGCTGCCTTGTTATTCTTTACTCCACTGAGATGTTTGGGTGGAGAGAAACATAAATCTGGCTTACCTGCACGTCCAGTCATAGTACCTTCCCTTGAACTTAATTATGACGTAGATTCTATTGTTCACGTGTTTTTCTCCTTACTATCACCCTGCCCTCCTACTACATTCCTTTTTACTGAAATAATGAAGATAATAATCAATAAAAACTGAGGGAACTCAGAGACCGGTGCCGGTGCAGGTCCTTGGTATGTTGAACGCCGGTCCCCTGGGCCCACTGTTGTTTCTATACACTTTGTCTCTGTGTCTTATTTCTTTTCTCAGTCTCTTGTCCCACCCGACTAGAAATACCCACAGGTGTGGAGGGGCAGGCCACCCCTTCATCTTCCTTTCAGGAACACCTTTGCTTTCACTTCATATCTACCACAGTGTGGAGCAGGTTAATTTGTGAATAGGGAAACACATGAGTCAGACATTCATGACTCCAACAGAATAAGTCCGTTTTCTTCTCTGTCTCGCTATAAAGACTAAGCCTCACCCACATGATGTGTCACCAGTGTGCAGGGGCAGCTGCTGCAGCCTGGGGACAAGAACATCAAATGTCCGAGTCTGAGCTGCCTGGTTCGTGTTGGATCTGTTGTTTACCAGCTGGGGGACCTTGGCAAGTTACGTAACATGTATCACACAGTGGCAGTGTGAAAATTAAATACGGATAAAGTGTCTAGCCAAAAGTCTGGCATTTAGCCGTACTCAGTAAATGCAAATTATTTCCTTTCCTGTCAGAACCTGCTACTTGGCAGCAGCAACAAACAGGAATGGAAGCTGGTATGATTACCATCTATTTATAGCTGCTGTCCCAGCAGCAAGGGGAGCCTGGGGAGGGAGCACCTCCCTCTGGGGATATTCTGTGTCTGGGTAGGTTCCTTGGATTGAGGAATTTAAAATTATTTTGTAAAATTAATATTTGTGGGCTTTTTGTAATAAAAATATTAAGTGATAAATTTATAAAATGTGTAAAATGCGTAAAATGCATAGGTAAGCACAAATAAGGAAATAAAAACTATGCATAATTTTATCACCAAAATAATCATGTTAACATTTTGTGGTCTACACATATACACACACACACGCACACACACACGCACACACACACGCACATATTTCTATATATTCTTTGGCTTTTTCTTTTTTCTGAGATGGGGTCTCACTCTGTCACCCAGGCTGGAGTGTAGTGGCATGATCTCGGCTAACTGCAACCTCCGCCTCCCAGGTTCAAGAGATTCTCCTGCCTCAGCCTCCTAAGCAGCTTGGACTACAGGCGTGTGTCACCATGCCCGGCTAATTTTTTTCACTTTCTTAGTAGAGGTGAGGTTTCGCCATGTTGCCCAGGCTGGCCTCGAACTCCTGGCCTCAAGTAATCCACCCACCTCAGCCTCCCAAAGTGCTGGGATTACAGGCATGAGCCACCGTGCCCGGCTGCATTCTATATATTCCATGTACTGTTTGGTCACTTGCTTTTCTCACTTAACAATATATCAAAAATATTTTTCAAATCATTAAAATTCTTTCTACAAAATCACTTTAAAATGGCTGCCAAGTATTAACAAAAACTGACAATTCTTAACAATATTTCAATGGACATTTTCATAAATCTTTGTACGTATTCATGATACATTAGGTAGATTCCTGGAGATAAGGTGCTGGGTCAAAGTATGCATATGTTTAAAAGCATGAAACATAAAGTCATGTTGCCCTTCAAAAAGATTATATCAACGTATATTTCCAGAACATCAATCATTCTTGTGATCTCAGAGCTGAGGAGTGATTTTAGTTTATGAATTTATTCATCAAATATGTATTGATGGCTCCCTGTATGGCTTTTTTGCTGGTCATGGGACCCTCCCCCAGATTTCACACCCACATCCGATATTGGACACACCCTCTAAACCCAAACATTGCCAATTCCTGGCACCTGCCTCAGCTGCTGCTCAGAATACTGAAACAAGAGCCCTCTCCCAATGTGAAAGATCTTCCACTCAAGCCTCCTGAAAAGTAGTCCCTGCTAACCAGTCACTGACCCACTCGTGCTCCTTTTCTTTCTGCATCTGTGGTGGGAGTGACTATGGCCTGGAGTTTCCGTGCAAAAGTCCAGCTCGGGGGGCTACTTCTCTCCCTCCTTGGCTGGGTCTGCTCCTGTGTTACCACCATCCTGCCCCAGTGGAAGACTCTTAATCTGGAACTGAACGAGATGGAGACCTGGATCATGGGGATTTGGGAGGTCTGCGTGGATCGAGAGGAAGTCGCCACTGTGTGCAAGGCCTTTGAATCCTTCTTGTCTCTGCCCCAGGAGCTCCAGGTAGCCCGCATCCTCATGGTAGCCTCCCATGGGCTGGGCCTATTGGGGCTTTTGCTCTGCAGCTTTGGGTCTGAATGCTTCCAGTTTCACAGGATCAGATGGGTATTCAAGAGGCGGCTTGGTCTCCTGGGAAGGACTTTGGAGGCATCCGCTTCAGCCACTACCCTCCTTCCAGTCTCCTGGGTGGCCCATGCCACAATCCAAGACTTCTGGGATGACAGCATCCCTGACATCATACCTCGGTGGGAGTTTGGAGGTGCCCTCTACTTGGGCTGGGCTGCTGGTATTTTCCTGGCTCTTGGTGGGCTACTCCTCATCTTCTCGGCCTGCCTGGGAAAAGAAGATGTGCCTTTTCCTTTGATGGCTGGTCCCACAGTCCCCCTATCCTGTGCTCCAGTGGAGGAGTCAGATGGCTCCTTCCACCTCATGCTAAGACCTAGGAACCTGGTCATCTAGGACTGGCTTCTGCCAAGGATCTCTGGAATAAAGGAATGTCTGTAGACTCCTTTCTCACTCTAGGTTTGTTTGCTTCATTTTGGGGCTGGTGGTCACTGTCCCACTTATCAAGGATGTGATTGTCTTGATGATATGGTAGTCCTCATTTCAGAATAAAAAATCAGGGCACAGTGTCTAACAAATGTATTTTTCTGATTTGAGATTTTATTTAGATAAAAATGCTTTAAAAAACTCATAACCTTAATTACATATTTGATTCTTTTATTACTAAGGAAAAATATATTACAAAATTGCAACCATCAGAGAAAATCTAGTGTGAAGAGGCACTTACTGTTCTGAATAGGTTACAAAAATAAAACTTGAAGAAGGTACCTTGGCAAAGGAAAATGAATTATTGTTCCAGAACAGCATCTTAGGACAGAAATTCTCTTTGTGTCCATTTTCAGCCTCAGGTGTACCATTTGAAAGACAACTTCACAATATACCTTTGCTGTTTTATAGATCCTTAATATCCCAAAGGAGAGACATAGGCTTGTTTCTGCTACATTGTGAGGCGATGAGCAGTCTACTCTGTCTTCCCCACCTGAAGGTTAACAGTCAGTCTGAGTGAGTGGTAGGGTGACCAACCCTCCTGGTTTGCCCAGAACAAGGTACTTTTGGTGCTAAAACTAGGAAAGTCCCAAGCAAACTGGGACCCAGTGATTACCTTAGAATGACTGTGTCCAAATACTGCCCAATGTGGTCATGTATATGAAAGAAGTAGCTTCTCAGAAATGTCTTTTACCAAGTGCAAAATCACAGTATAAACTCCTTGAATTTTGTTTTGCTGTGTTTTTTTGTTTGTTTGTTTTTGTTTTTGAGACAGGGTCTCACTCTGTTGCCCAGCCTGGAGTGCAGTTGCATGATCATAGCTCACTGCAGCCTCAAACTCTTATTAGGCTCAAGGGATCCTCCTGCCTCAGCCTCCTGAGTAGCTGGGACTACAGGCATGAGCCACCAAGCTCAGCTAATTTTTAAAATATTTTGTAGAAATGGGGTCTCGCTATATTGCCCAGGCTGTTATCAAACTTCTGGCCTCCTCTTAAATTTTAACCTGAGTGTCAGCAGACCTACCCAGGTTGTGGCTACAAATCAAGTCCCTTCCATAACGATAACCTAAGTTCCTTTGCTTGCTCTGCCTGCAATGGCAGGCTCTCTCCTGACTACCCCACCTCAGGTCTTCCTCTGGCATTTCTGCAGGTCCTCAAGGAGGAGCCTCCTGTTGCTCATAAACCTGTTTGTCAGCTGCAATTATCCTGCAGCATCCACCTTGTTCCTCTCCCTGCCACCTGTCCTCCACTCCTGTAATCAGTTCAAGAATCACCATTGGCCCTGCCAACAATTCCCTCAGGAGAGCAGCTAAAGGGGATGGCTCCTAATGCCCTAAGTAGGTCACTTCTCCAGGTTCAGAGGCGTGCTGCATTCCTCACAGTACCAGGGACATTCCGCCCTCCCCAAGCTGGTGCTGTGCTTTGTCATCTCAGCTCTGAGGTCTCACAACGCCTCTCGCCTCCTGATAAAATAGCCCCAATATCACGAGATAGCCATTGCTCAAGCAAGAATACACAGACTATGACACAAGAGTAAAAAAATTTGCCAAAGTAGCCCAGGACAGTTCCCTCCTTAGAAAAATGCCATTTTTTTTTTCCTGCTGAAATGGAGTCTGCACAGGTGCAACTTCATCTTCTGCAACTCTTACCTTCTTACCCAGAGCAGATTTCTCTTGAAGTCACAGTTTCTCCAGAAAGCTCCTTCTCCTTTTATGCCTGTCCTTTTGTGTATGTCTACTTGGCACGCACAAATCAAAATGATCCCTAGGCAAATACAGCTCTGAGTACAAAGGGCCAGTTTGCATCAAAGGTGTATTCTGGCTTTCTGTGTCTGGTAAGTCAGAAAATGGTTTCCAATGTCTGTTTTATTAGCTACTCCTTCTCAATAAAGTTTCAAAGCTCTTTGGACAAAGTTTCAATCAGGGGTGAGGCTCAATTATCTAAGCATTTTCTTGACCTTCCAGGGTCTACATGAAAGAATAATTTCATTATTATTCATCCATCTGATCATTTATTCACTCACTTAACAAATATTTATTGAGCACTGACCATGTGCTAGGAACCAGTATAAAATGGTAAGACAAAATATATTCTTGTCCCTCATTCAGGCAAATTAGGGAGATAATTTTTTTTTTTTTTTGAGACAGAGTTTTGCTCTTGCCCAGGCTGGAGTGCAATGGTGCGATCTTGGCTCACTACAAACTCCGCATCCCAGGCTCAAGCAATTCTCCTGCCTCAGCCTCCCAAGTAGCTGGGATTACAGGTGTGTGCCACCACACCCCACTAATTTTGTATTTTTAGTAGAGACAGGGTTTCACCATGGTCAGGCTGGTCTCCAACTCCTGACCTCAAGTGATCCACCCGCCTCGGCCTCCCAAAGTGCTGGGATTATAGGTGTGAGCCACCGCACCCAGCCAGGAGACAAATATTAATGTAAAATCACTCAAATAAACGTAAATAGTAACTTTGACAACCTTTACAAATTTGGAAAGGGACATGGTTCTATAAGATCATCCAATAGTTTAATCAACCTTTATGAATGTAAAAAAGAGAAAAATATATATACATAAAAAAATCATGCAATAGGAGGGATTTAACCTAGTCAGTGATTCACGGATCAGTACTCAAAGGAAGCGATTACTGGCTGAACAATAAAGGGTGGGTAGCAGTTCCAGATGAGGAGGGGAGATGAAGACGCATAAGGTGAAGCTGGCAAAGTAGGAAGAAGCCAGACCTTGTAGGGCCTTGTAGGCCTCAGTAAGGAACATAGTCTCTATTCTCAGGACCATGGGAAGCCAAGCACGTGGTCCGGGAACAGGAGCTTGGCTTCCAATTGACTGCAACAGTAACCTGCTCTCCTTTGTCTAATGACTTGTCTCTGTGAAATTTCCTTATCACATGGTTGTGTTGGGCTTGCAGGTGTACAAAGCACTTCTACAAATTTTGGTAGTTTTACTGAACATATCTTGAAATGTTTTTGAGTTTTGGAAGAGCAGATATTATTAGTTTTGCTACTGAGGAGAATGAGATGCCGAGAATTTAGGTGACATGCCCATGGTGAGTAATTAACTGAGTCAAGACTTGAAGCCAGGGTTTGGCACCATGGCAGTCTTTCTTCACCTTATCCTATGGCCTCATGGGATGGGTTGCCTAGACAATCTACCAGACCAAAGGAAAAACTCTCGCCAAAGGCCAGGCGTGGTGGCTCATGCCTGTAATCCCAGCACGAGGCAGGCAGATCACCTGAGGTCAGGAGTTCAAGACCAGCCTGGCCAACGCGGTAAAACCCTGTCTCTATAAAAATACAAAAATTACCTGGGCATGATGGCAGGTGCCTGTAATCCCAGCTACTCAGGAGGCTGAGGCAGAGGTTGCAGCAAGCCGAGATCGCGCCATTGCACTCCAGCCTGGGCGACGGAGCAAGACTCTGTCTCAAAAAAAAAAAACAAAAAAAAAAGCTTCTCACTGAAGTCGATGGAAAAACCAAAGACCGTCAAATAAAACCCTCCTTTGTGCTTATGTTGAGGTTTAAACAGGGTCTTTGTTGCCAGGTGGCTCACCTGCTCCTGCTGGTGGCTTGCAGCCCTCACCTGAATCCCGCATTTGCAGGTGCTAATATTTTTTCATCAGCAAGTGATTATGGCTTCCTCTGCAGAGAAATGGACACTAAAGATTTGTTAAGAAAATATTCTGTCTTCCCAACTCTCTTTATAAAGGACAAAAGGAATTTTTTAAATGGGTGTGGGTAGAAACTCTTGATGACATACTGGCCATGTGGCCAACAGCATGTCCTTCCCTGAGAGGGAATGTGATCTGCAGTCTAGTGGGAATCCACATTTAGAGAAAGAGTTTGAGGAAGGAGATGCTGTTCACCTAAAACTGCCACTGTTGTTAGCCACCTGCTTTGAAGGGGAAAATAATGAGAAATAAAAATAGAACTAATTAAATCATAACTTCAACACAGCTTTTTGTCATATAGATCTGTGGCAGATTATTCTCACATCAAAAACATTTCTTTATTGTGGTTACACATGGAGAGGTGTGTAGTCATATGTATCAGAAAGAGAAAGAAACATTAATCAATCACTATTTCAAGCCAGAAGTATTGTGCAAGGTAGTGGAGGAAAATATAACTTAGGGATTCACCAAATTTGATGCAGTTAGAGTTTAGGAACTTGGTGCTATCTTCTCCATCAAACTATCTTTGGGTTTGAAAGTTTCACCATTGGGAGTGAAGGCATTCCAGAAGGTCTCTATTAAAATACTCATCTGTAACCCTTCTGAGCTTCTGAATTAGCTCTAGGGAAAAGTCTTAAGGGAACCTGATTTGGGAATGGGAAAGAAGTCAAAATGGTTTCACGGGCTTCTGGCCAGGAGACGTGTCCTCGCAGCCAGGATTAGGACAATAAGAAACTCTGTTAGGAAAATGTTTGTTTGCAGTCACTGGTCTCACAGGGAACTAAAAGAAGATGTAGTTTCCTTTCTACTCCATCAATTGATGGATTATTTTTTAACCCAGTTGTTTTTGTCATGATCCCATCTACATTTATAGGATGTGGAACGAACTTTTCTGTTGCCCAGAGTTTTGAGTAAAGCCTCAAAGCCCTGTCCCATAGGTGACAGTGCCTTATATTCTAAAGAGAGGGGCTGCTAAGAGGTGTCCAAACTGGTCCACCTTCACTCCCAACATCCTATAGGAGACAAGAGTCCAGACACACTAAGGGAGGATTCCTGGAAGGGAATTCATAACAGTCTAGAGTATTATTATGTTCTCTGTCCTTCCTAGTGAGGAATGGGATGGAGGTGGACCTTGAGAAAGCCACTTGCAGATCCAAGTTGTTCCCAGGAGGGAAGACTGGCATCTGAGACACCCCCCATCCCAAACCTGCTGAGCCACAGAAACTCCGTGGGCCCGCTCCTGCTGCAACCAGAATGGAGCCCAAGAAAGCTCTTGGGAAAACCTAGGCAGAAGCCTAGAGGCAGGTGTGTGACCTCCACTGAAGCAGCCTGAAAGCAGGAGGCTTGTTGGAGTGGGCCAGCAGCAGCACCTGCACTTCTGCCTTTTACTAGGACAAGGTGGTGAACGTCCTATACCCAAATGGGTGGTGAAGAAGGCAATCGGGGTGATGTTCCAAAGTGCCATTGGAAAGTGTGGATGACTAGGGCAGGACCCAAGAGGAATGATAAGAGGTCAGCCAGAAAACCCAAAGACATCAGGGAATGAATGGCCTGTGAAGGTTTTCTACAGGGCTCTCTGAAAAGCCCATAAAATGCCCCCTACAAGACCTAGTAACAAGACCTAGTAATTGGGTTCCTGTCATAATAAAGGACATTGAATCAAGAGACTATTATAAATGACAGGTTTTTTTAAATTTAATTTTTATTTTTTAACAGAGGCAGGGTCTCACTATGTTGCCCAGGCTGGCCCTGAACTCCTGGGCTCGAGTGATCCTCCCACTTCAGCATCCCAAAGTGCTGGGATTATAGGCATGAGCCACTGCATCTAGACAATGACAGTTTTGGGGTTTTTTTGTTGTTTTTTTTTTTTGAGACGGACTGAAATGAATGAGAGTGAATTTAGATTGAGATTAGTCTGGGCTCTTTCATACATGAAAATAATTCTGTTTTCCTACTCACACATGACAATAAACCTTTGAGATCTTTTTTAGATGCTATCAAGGAGCAAGGAAGGGAAAGATCATTTTGAAAGTAATAGTGGGCTGGGCGCAGTGGCTTCCACCTGTAATCCCAGCACTTTGGGAGGCCGAGGCGGGCAGATCACGAGGTCAAGAGATCAAGACCATCCTGGCTAACATGGTGAAACCCCATCTTTACTAAAAATACAAAAATTAGCTGGACGTGGTGGCAGACACCTATAGTCCCAGCTACTCAGGAGGCTGAGGCAGGAGAATCGCTTGAACCCAGGAGGCAGAGGTTGCAGTGAGCTGAGATCATACCACTGCACTCACTCCAGCCTGGGCAACAGAGCGAGACTCGTCTCAAAAAAAAGAAGAAAAAGGCCGGGCGCGGTGGCTCACGCCTGTAATCCCAGCACTCTGGGAGGCCAAGGCAGGCGGATCACGAGGTCAGGAGATCAAGACCATCCTTGCTAACACGGTGAAACCCCATCTCTACTAAAAATAAAAAAATTAGCCGGGCGTGGTGGTGGGCGCCTACAGTCCCAGGTACTTGGGAGGCTGAGGCAGGAGAATGGCGTGAACCCAGGAGGCGGAGCTTGCACTGAGCTGAGATCGTGCCACTGCACTCCAGCCTGGGCGATAGAGCAAGACTGTGTCTCAAAAAAAAAAAAGAAAAGAAAAAAAAAGTAGTAGTAAAAACAAAAATAAAGCTGTCAACTCATCATGCCCTATCAATCAAGTTTAGGCCATTCAATAAGATGACTAAAGAAAAATATATCTAAAACAGGATAAGAGTCAGAGATCTGGATTTTTTTTTTTTGTTTTTTTAAGAGACAGGGTCTCACTCTGTTGCCTAGGCTGGAATGCAGTCGTGCGATCACAGCTCACTGCAATCTTGAGCTCCTGGGCTCAAGCGATCCTCCTGCCTCATCCTCTGGAGTATCTCAAGCTACAAGCATGCACCATCACACTCAGCTCAATCAGATCTGAAATACTGCAATTTTTATATCAAGCATAAGCCCCAATCCCTTCAATAACACTGTCTTCCAGTCACACTGGCTAATATGAACACATCCACTTGCCAGAGGCCCATAGCTCCCTGGATACCTTGATAAAAAACTCCAATTATTTAAAACCCACCTGTGGGCCCTATGCAGTTCAGGATAACCCTTAAAATTCTTGCCCAGATGATGAATTTCCCTGTGAGAACTGCATTTGCATCTCTGCATCTGTACACTGAGTCATTGCTGTCTATTCTTTTCTTTAACCCTTAAAACACAGCCCCCAGGTAAATATTTTCATTTTGTAGACCAGTAAAAAAGGTTCAGCCAGTATTTGAACTCAGATCTGTCAGATTCCAATGTCACTATTCTTTTCATGGAACCACATCTTATAAGACATACTGATTCAGTAATGACTTATCAGGAAAGCTGTAGAACTGCTTAACCTATGAATGAGCTCTGGCTATTCCATAAGTAGAGATAGTCGAGATGACTTTGTGAACGACAATGCTACTTTCAAGTCATCACTAGAGATTCTGCCCTGGCTGTTAAAATCTAAGTGCTAATTTGGGAAGATCATCTTCACCATGCAGTGAAACATCCAGCCCATCACCAGGACTCTGGATAGAAAACCAACCATCCCTCCATGAATTCTACTCATATCAGGACCAGCAAATATTTAATTTTGAGAGCTCACTATTGGCATTCCTGGGTACCACTTTTGTGCCAGCTTATCAATTCCAAGTCATCTAAATTCTTCAGATGGTTTCTAACCTCTACTTGTACTCGAAGTTAATATTCCTACTCATTGATTATGATAATTTCTTGTCCTGCTAGGATAGCAGGGACAACCCAGGCTTATCTTCTTTTGAAAAGAAAGAGGCCAGATTTGTGCCTTGTTGGATCCATTCCTGGAATAGATTCTATTCTCTTGTCTATAAATGGCAATCAGATAACACAACAAGGAGACTGTGGGGTCATCATAACTAGCCAACAACTTAATGGGCAACGCAGCAATCAAAGGTGCTGTTTTGTTTTGAGACAGAGTCTCACTCTGTCCCAGCTGGAGTGCAGTGGTGCGATCTCTGCTCACTGCAACCTCCGCCTCCCAGGTTCAAGCGATTCTCCTGCCTCAGCCTCCCAAGTACTGGGATTACAGGCGCCCACCACCACACCTGGCTAATTTTTGTATTTTTAGTAGAGATGGGGTTTCACTGTGATGGCCAGACTGGTCTTGAACTCCTGACCTCAAGTGATCCACCCACCTCAGCCTCCCAAAGTGATGGGATTACAGGCGTGAGCCACTGCGCCCAGCCAAGGGTGCTAAAAGGAAGACATGGTAACATCCTTAAAATCTCTTAATTCTCACCTATGCTTGTGTCCCTTTACTATACACACACACACACATATCTCTCTTAAGCCAGTTCTACTCAGACTTATAGTAAGTCAATGTGTCAGTTTATTGTTCGACAACTTAAAAAGAAGGTAGAGAATTTTTTTAAAGGCTCAGGAAAAAGTAATGTAATGATTGATTAGCTCAGAACTTCAACTTATGAGAAAACCTTAAGGAACTGATGGGTTTTTGGTAATTAAAGGAAAGGCTAACTATACAGAAAATTATATATATATATATATTTCTATATCTCCACTAGAGTCAAGTTTAACATGAAGAATGTGCAGGAGATAAAAAGTATTAATTTAAAAGGTATGTAACCTTTAATCTATCATTGAAGGAGGTTCTACAGACTTTTTTTTTTTCTTGGCTCATGTGTAATGATCTTTAATGCGTATTGAAAAATTACTATTCTCAAGTAAGGATAATGTATATCTCAGGTCACTTACAGTCTCAAAGTTTTGTCAGTATACTTTAAAACAATCCTGCGAACAGATCTAGATTGAAGGAGACTAAAGAATCATGAACTCGAGGAGGCGCCGGGGCAGGCGCAGAGCTGGCAAGCACGTGGTGGGGCCCCTGAGGCGTGCATAGGGTCGCGCGCCTGGGAGCTTGTCGCTGGCGCGGTCCGGGAGGGAGGTTCGGCGGCGGGAGGCAGCATGTAGGTTGCAGGGCTGAAGAAGCAGTTCTACAAGGCCAGCCAGCTGGTCAGTGAGAAGGTCGGAGGGGCTGAGGGGACCAAGCTGGACGATGACTTCAAAGAGATGGCGATGTCATCAGCAAGGCGGTGACGGAAATGCTGGCAAGGACCATCAAGTACCTGCAGCCCAACCCAGCCTCGCAGGCTAAGCTGACCATGCTGAACGCGGTGTGCAAGATCCGGGGCCAGGTGAAGAACCCCGGCTACCCGCAGTCGGAGGGGCTCCTGAGCGAGTGCCTGATCCGCCACCAGAAGGAGCTAGGCAACGAGTCCAACTTCAGTGACGCACTGCTGGATGCCGGCGAGTCCATGAAGCACCTGGCAGAGGTGAAGGACTCCCTGGACATAGAGGTCAAGCAGAACTTCATTGACCTCCTCCAGAACCTGTGTGAGAAAGACCTGAAGGGGATCCAGCACCACCTGTAGAAGCTGGAGGGCCGCCGCCTGGACTTAGACTAAAAGAAGCGGCAGGACAAGATCCCCGATGAGGAGCTGCGCCAGGCGCTGGAGAAGTCTGAGGACTCCAAGGAGGTAGCAGAAACCAGCATGCGGTCCTGGACACCGACATTGAGCAGGTGAGTCAACTCCCGGTCCTGGTGGAGGCGCAGCTGTACTACCACTGGCAGGCCTTGCAGATCCTAGACGAGCTGGCAGCGAAGCTCAAGCGCAGGATGCGGAAATCTTCCTCACATCAAATATTTGAAAACAAACTAGAAACTGTCCAACCGCATTTCTACTGCGCCCGCCCGCAGATGCAGTTTTCTCCGCACGTGCGCGCCTTCTCTCCTTCCCGCCCTCAGGGTCCACGGCCACCATGGCGTATCAGGGGCAGCAGTACCTGTGGCAGCATTGGCCTTTGCAGCGGCGGCAGCAGCACCAGGCTCTGCAGCGGCACCCCCCAGCGGCTTAAGCCATGGCGCTTCTCAGGGCATTCAGCAGCAGCGTTGCTGTAACCGACAAAGACACCTTCGAATTAAGCACATTCCTCGATTCCAGCAAAGCACCGCAACATGACCGAAATGAGCTTCCTGAGCAGCGAGGTATTGGTGGGGGACTTGATGTCCCCCTTCGACCAGTCGGGTTTGGGGGCTGAAGAAAGCCTAGGTCTCTTAGATAACTACCTGGAGGTGGCCAAGCACTTCAAACCTCATGGGTTCTCCAGGGACAAGGCTAAGGCGGGCTTCTCCGAATGGCTGGCTGTGGATGGGTTAGGCAGTCCCTCCAATAACAGCAAGGAGGATGCCTTCTCCGGGACAGATTGGATGTTGGAGAAAATGGATTTGAAGGAGTTCGTCTTTGATGCCCTGTTGGGTATAGATAACCTGGAAACCATGCCAGATGAACTTTTGACCACTTTGGATGACACTTGTGATCTCTTTGCCCCCCTAGTCCAGGAGACTAATAAGGAGACCCCCAGACGGTGAACCCAATTGGCCATCTCCCAGGAAGTTTAACAAAACCCGACCAGGTTGCCCCCTTCACCTTCTTGCAACCTCTTCCCCTTTCCCCAGGGGTCCTGTCCTCCACTCCAGGTCATTCCTTTAGTTTAGAGCTGGGCAGTGAAGTGGATATCCTGAAGGAGATAGGAAGCCAGACTCCACTGCTTACGTTGCCATGATCCCTCAGTGCATAAAGGAGGAAGACACCCCTTCAGATAATGATAGTGGCATCTGTATGAGCCCAGAGTCCTATCTAGGGTCTCCTCAGCATAGCCCCTCTACCAGGGGCTCTCCAAATAGGAGCCTCCCATCTCCAGGTGTTCTCTGTGGGTCTGCCCGCCCCAAACCTTACAATCCTCCTGGAGAGACGATGGTAGCAGCAAAAGTAAAGGGTGAGAAACTGGATAAGAAGTTGAAAAAAATGGAGTAAAACAAGACAGCAGCCACTGGGTACCGCCAGAAGAAGAGGGTGGAGCAGGAGGCTCTCACTGGTGAGTGCAAAGAGCTGGAAAAGAAGAACGAGGCTCTAAAAGAGAGGGCGGATTCCCTGGCCAAGGAGATCCAGTACCTGAAAGATTTGATAGAAGAGGTCCGCAAGACAAGGGGGAAGAAAAGGGTCCCCTAGTTGACGGTAGTCAGGAGCGTCAATGTGCTTGTACATGGAGCCTCTGCTGTAGCTGTGTGTTCCAATAAATTATTTTGTAGGGGGAAAAAAAAAGAAACTGTCCAACCACAGGAAAACAGCCTGGCAGATTCAAAGTTAGGCAAAAACCTTCAGACAGTAAACAGAGTCCTCATGGGCCCAAGGAGCATCCAGAAAAGGCACTTCAAAGAGGTGGGAAAGCACAGCACTAGGAAAGAACAGGATGCCCAGGCATTTGTGGACAACGCTGCCAAAGAAAAAAGGCTTGAGGGTCCAGCCCCGAGGGAGCTGGAATAGCCTCACATAGTGCAGGGGCCTGAGAAGGTAGCGGGAAACACCGTCTCCACCAAGCCTCTCTACAGACTTTTTATAAAACCATAAAGTATTGATGATAATGTAAAATCTTTTTTTTTTTTTTAGTAGGTATAAAAGTTCTATAGGCCAGGCATGGTGGCTCATGCCTGTAGTCCCAGCTATTCAGGAGGCTGAAGCAGGAGGATCGCTCGAGCCCAGGAAGTTGAGGCTGTAGTGAGCCATGACCATGCCACTGCATTCCAGCCTGGGTGACAGAGTGAGACAGTTTCAGAAAAGAAAAATAAAAGAAAGTTATATGAATAAGTAGGTCTCAATTGTGACTGTATATCAGAATCACCTGTGATGCTTTTTAAACCATAAAAGCATCAATGGCCCAGCCCAAGTCTAACAACTCAGTATCTGTAGGGTTGAGGCCTCAGCAGCTCTATTTTTTAAAGTGACACAGCTGATTCTGAATTGGAAGCCAAGGTTAACGACCACCACCGAAGAGTTTTTTATTAAAAATGCAGGAAAAAGGGCTGGGTGCGGTGGGTCACGCCTGTAATCCCAGCACTTTGGGAAGCTGAGGCGAGTGGATCACGAGGTAAAGAGATCGAGACCATCCTGGCCAACATGGTGAAACCCCATCTCTACTAAAAATACAAAAATTAGCTGGGCATGGTGGCACACGCCTGTAGTCCCAGCTACTCAGGAGGCTGAGGCAGGAGAATTGCTTGAACCCGGGAGGCGGAGGTTGCAGTGAGCCGAGATCGCACCACTGCACTCCAGCCTGGCATCAGAGCGAGACTCTGTCTCAAAAAAAAAAAAAATAATAATTTAAAAAAGCAGGAAAAAAACTTATAAAAGAGAAAAATAAACAAAGCAAATAATTACTTGAAAAGACTAATTAATAAACCCCTGAAAAGACTGACTGCAAAATACTGAAAACAAAAAAGATACAAATCACCCAATATCAGTAACAAAAGACAGATATTACTATACAGACCTTAATTAGAAATAAAAAGTCGTCCGGGCGCGGTGGCTCACGTCTGTAATCCCAGCACTTTGGGAGGCTGAGGCGCGCAGATCACGAGGTCAAGAGATCGAGACCATCCTGGCTAACATGGTGAAACCCCATTTCTACTAAAAATACAAAAATTAGCTGAGCGTGGTGGTGCGCGCCTGTAGTCCCAGCTACTCAGGAGGCTGAGGCAGAAGAATCGCTGGAACCTGGGAGGCGGAGGTTGCAATGAGCCGAGATTGCACCACTGCACTCCAGCCTGGGTGACAGAGCAAGACTCTGTCTCTAAATAAATAAACAAATAGTCACAAGATAAAATTATGAACTTCCTGTAAATAAAATTTTAATTTTAGATATAATGGATACACTTCTAATAATTTTCCAAAACTGATACAAAGAAGCAACCAGAAAGATCTGAAAACCCCACATATCTGAAAGAAACTACATCTGTAATTAAAAGCATTCCCACAAACCAAAATGACAATTCCAGGCTCAGATGGCTTCAACAATGAATTCTTCCAATCATCAAGGAAGAAATAACCCTATTTTACCCACACTCTTCCAGAGCATAGAAAACAAGACAACTTGCCAATGCATTCAATAAGGCCAGAATAATCTTGACACCAACACCTTAACAAGCACATTATGAGAAATGAAAATACAAGGCCAATCTGTCTTATGAATATTCATGCAAAAATCCACCTACATATAAAAAATATCATGGTCAAATTTACTTTATTCTTACAACACATGGCTGGTTTAACATTGGAAATCAAGAAATGTAATTCACACATTAACAGAATAAAGAGACCTATGTAACCATCTTGACATAAATAAAAGCATTTGATAAAATTCAAGCTTAAAAAAAACTCAGCAAACTAGTAACAGAAGGAATCTTTTTCTACCTAATAAGTGGAATTTACAACAAACCTACAGCATACTTAATGGTGAAATATTGAACCCCCCCCACCAGATACTAGGAGACAAAGATGCCCACTTTTCACCATCTGTATATTCAGCTTTGTACCAAAGGTCCTAGTAAGTGTAATCAGGCAAGAAAAATAAAAATTGTAAGAATTTGAAATAAAAGTCATCATTCACAGATGACATAATTATGTATATTAAAAAATCTTCTGAACTATTAAACATCAATTCACTTCTAGATATGAGAAGAAACAAAAATGCAATCTGAAAAATGACATTTACCAGGAATGTCAAAACTTAAAAAAACCCAGGAATAAATCTTTTGGAAGAGGTGGAAGACCTTTATATAAAAATTAAGAAAAACCTTTAAAAAATAAGATATACCACGCAGATATCAGTTTTTCTCAAATTATCTCTGGTCATTGTAAACTTAATCAAAAATACTTGCAGATTTGTGTGTGCATGTGTGAAACTAACGAACTGATCCTAAAATTTATGCCAAAATGCAAAGGATCAAGAATAGCCAAGAGGCCAGCCTCAGTGGCTCATGCCTGTAATCCTAGCACTTTGGGAGGCCTAGCTGGGAGGATCACTTGAGCCCAGGACTTCAACACCAGCCTGGACAACATAGTAAGACCTCCATCTCTACAGAAAATACAAAAATTAGCCAGGTGTTGTGGCAAGCTACTGTTGTCCCAGCTACTCAAGAGGCCTAGGTGGGAGGATCACTTGAACCTGGGAGGTTGAGGCTGCAGTGAACCATGATCATACCACTGCACTCCAGCCTGGGTGACAACGAGACCCTGTTCAAACAAACAAAAAATGAATAGCCAAGACAATCTTGAAGTACCAAACTGGAGGGAAGTTTTTTTTTTTTTACCAGAAATCAAGAAATAAAGACTTGTTACAAAGCTAAACTAATTAAGAAAGTGTGAAGGCTGGGTGCGGTGGCTCACGCCTCTAATCCTAGCACTTTAAGAGGCCAAGGTGGGAAGATCACCTGAGGTCAGGAGTTCAAGACCAGCCTGGCCAGAATGGCAAAACCCCATCTCTACTAAAAATACAAAAATTAGCTGGGTGTGGTGGCATGTGCCTGTAGTCCCAACTACTTGAGGAGGCTGAGGTAGGAGAATCACTTGAACCCTAAGGCAGAGGTCGCAGTGAGCCGAGATCGCGCCACTACACTCCACCTGGGCAACAGAGCAAGACTCCATCTCAAAAAAAAAAAGAAAAAAAAAAAAAAGTGCAATATTGGTACAAGCAGACAAACAGGATAATGGGACAGGCAAAAGAGCCCAGAAACAGACCCCTGTGAACACATCTGATTTATGACAAAAGTAGCAGTGCAAGGCACTGGAAAATGGATGATGTTCTCAATAAACAGGGCTTGGTCAATCAACTATCAAAGGTGAAACCTGGCTGGGCGCGGTGGCTCACGCCTGTAATCCTAGCACTTTGGGAGGCCGAGGCGGGCAGATCACCTGAGATCAGGAATTCGAGACCAGCCTGGCCAACATGGTGAAACCCCGTCTCTACTAAAAATACAAAAAGTTGCCCTGCCTAGTGGCACATGCCTATAATCCCAGCTACCTGGGAGGCTGAGGCAGGAGAATCGCTGGAACCCGGGAGGCAGAGACTGCAGTGAGCCGAGATCCTGTCACTGCACTCCAGCCTGGGTGACTGAGTGAGACTCTGTCTCAAAAAAAAAAGGTGAAACTTCCGGAAGGTAACAGAGTATCTTTATGACCTTGGGTAATAATTTCAAGAGGACATGATAAGCACTAACCATGAAAGGAAAGATGAATAGATTCAAATATATTAATATCAAAAACTTATTTTCATCAAGACACCAAGAGTGAAAAGCCAGAGTGGAAGAAGATACATGCAATGCATACAACCAATAAGGGCTCCATAGCTAGCAGATATAAAGAACTCCTATAAATCAATAGGTTAGAGACAATAAATCCAACAACAAAAATGAACAAAAGACCTAAATAGGTATTTTACAAAAAACAATGACCAAAGGCCAGTAAGTATATAGAGATGCTTGATGTTGTCAGTATTCACGGAAGTGTACATTGAAATCACAAGATTATCACTGCGCACTTTCCTGAATGGCTACAATTAAAAATACTGATAAAACCAAATGTTGACAAGCATATGGAGCAACTGGAACTCATAAACCGATGGTGGGATCAAACTGGTATAACCACTTTGGTTATATGACCTGGTAATTTTACTTCTAGTTATACACCAACAGAAATGCATTCATGTGTGCATCAAGACATGTACAATGAATGTTCTTGGTAGGATTGTGCATTAACAGCCAAACATGGGAAGCTCAAAGGACAATAAATGGTGAATATGGTCATACAATGAAACCCAATAAACTGAGCAAGGAAAATGAATAAACTAACAGCTACATGACTTCTGGCACAATTAATTCCCCCTTCTATCCTACCCTTGCTACATTCCCAGCACTCCACTTGATCTCTCTTATTCATTTAATTGTTTTATTGTATGTTATCTATCTCGTATGTTCTTGAAGTGGATAGGGTAAAAATGAGTTAGTATGCCTGCTAGTTCTTAAAGGAGCTAACAAATCCAAACAGAAGATGATTGCAATTCCAGTTAACCCAGTCTAAATCCAGTCTCAAGAGAATTTATGCTGAGGTGAAGTATCCTGCTCAAACTCTTGAATCATTTTGGGTAAGGGTCACATAGGTTTCTTCTTCCCCATATCCTTATTCTTCTCAACCCTTTAAAAAGGTAAAAACCAGGCCAGGCACAGTGGCTCATGCCTGTAATCCCAGCACTTTGGGAAGCCAAGGCGAGGGGATTGCTTGAGCCCAGGAGTTTGTGACCTGCCTGGGCAACACAGCAAAACCCTGTCTCTACTAAAAATACAAAAATTAGTGGGGCATGATGGTGCACACCTGTAGTCTCAGTTACTTGGGAGGCTGAGGTGGAAGGATCTTTTGAGCCCAGGAGGCAGAGGTTGCAGTGAGCTGAGATCGTGCCACTGCACTCCAGCTTGGGGGACAGAGTGAGACCCTGTCTCAAAAAAAAAAAAAAAAAATGCTTAGCCTGACAGCTGGGTAACAAACAAACAAACCAGTCTGAGACCTTAGTTTGTGGAGGCCTTTGGTTGTACCTAAAGGCAGCCAGCTACTGTTAGGAATAAGAAACTATTAATAGTTCTCAGCACTCCCCCTGGTGGATCCAAATGATACAGACTACTCAGCACCATACACTCCAGATGTCCATCCATTCCTTTCTTTGCCAACTGTAGATTCCCAATAGCTGATCAGGAAATAACTACTGTTAAGGAGACACAAAACAAAATATTTCACACGATTACCAAGGACAGTTGAACATCTATTAAAAGCACAGGCTATGAAGTCAGACACACCAAGGATTAGTGTCCTAGTTCTACCACTTACAAGATCTACGACCTTGGATAAATCATGGTCCCTATCGTCATCCCAGGGTTAAAATAATATAACTGAAGCACTGCACACAAGACTCAATATTGACAGGGATTAAAAAGTGAAAGGCAAATGGTGGCACACAGGATGTTAAACTGTAAAGGGTAATCAGTAAGAAAATTGATCAACTTCCCATGAAACAATCTTTGCGATGAGTTTTAAAACACTAAAGCACCTCTGAATATCTGTAAAGCATGGCCTACCATTAATCAAAATACATTTTGACCCTTGAAAAACACAGGTTTGAACTGCATGAGTCCCATGAGGATTTTTTTCAACCAAATGCAGATTGAAAATAGAGTATTCACAGCATGTGAAAACCCAAGTGTATGGAGGGTCAACTTTTCCTATATGTGGGTTCTGCAAAGCCAACTACAGAATTTGAGTATGCATGGATTTTGGTATATGCAGGGGTCCCAGCAATTGCCGGTGTCTGCTGAGGAATGACTACATAAGAAACTCCATTCTAAGAAAATTGCTGTTTTTGCATTCAAAAATTTGACAAAGTAGATAAGCTTACATGCAATGCAAATAGCCAATGAGATTAAAAAGCTTCAGTTACCACTAGGTGCTGCTCAATAATTGACTGTTGCCTTTTATTTCAAACACTGGCGCGTCAGTCCCCATCCAGTTTATCAACCCTCTAATCTGCTTTTTGGTTTTAAAGAAGAAAAATTGGAACAAGACAAATACCAAGTATGTCCATTTCCCAAATGGAAAATATATATTTAAATAAAGACCATACTGCACACCAAAGGTAAAACAAATACTTTTATTGCACATTTATAAAATCTGCATAGTTGTATCAATTTTTTTCCCTTTCATGATTCCATTAATCTTTAAAATTTGGTTAAAACACAATATCCAATCAGAAGCCTTTTAAAAATGATCAATGGGAAGTATTTTTCTCTACATATACATATATATATAGTTTTGCATATGTATGCTGGTTTTTTTTTTTTTTTTTTTTTTTTTGTACAAACCCACATCCCTTACTTTTAAGGGCAAAAAAGAAGGCCGGGTACGATGACTTGTCTGCAATCCCAGACTTTGGGAGGCTGAGGGAGGCAGATAGATCACTTGAGGCCAGGAGTTAGAGATCAGCCTGGCCAATATGGTGAAACCCCATCTCTATTAAAAATACAAAAATTAGCCAGGTGTGGTGGTGCATGCCCGTAATTCCAGCTATTCGGGAGGCTGAGGCACGAGAATCACTTGAGCCCAGGAGACAGAGTTTGCAGTGAGCTGAGATTGCACCACTGAACGCCAGCCTGGGCGACACAGTGAAACTGTCACAGAAAAAAAAAAAGAGCAAAAAAGAGGAGGTGGACCTAAATGGTCTTTGGGCCAGCAGTAGCCCTATTGACTGTTTTTGACAATTTTTAGGTATTAGAAAATTTTACCTAAATGCCTAATAACTATTAATGGATGATCTTCAGTCAAGTTACACAATGCTCTTCTGTCTAAAGTCCTTAATACTTTACTTTCTTTCACTGAGGACTGAGTATGAGGTTTTCTGGTTTAAAGATAGAAAAGAAAGGAGAGAGACAGGTCTCTTTTGACTTTTCAACATCTCACTGCCATGTGAGCTTATATTCTACCCACATGTAAAAGGGTGCAGTTCATCAGCAACCCATTTTGTTATCTCCTGGCAAGAGCCAGGCAAGGTTTATATTTCTAATCTCTTGTAGTTAAGAATTTTTAAATGTCATCTGTATTTGATAAAATAACTAGTAGCTGTTCATCTGGTTCAGGTTCTCATGAATCATTCTTCTATTCTGCTGTCAAAAATATTTATGCCTGAAGGATAATTTTAAAAGTGGCAAGAGGCTTAGAAAAGCCTAAGCATTGTTGTAGGTACAAGGCATTTCAGGTCTTCTGGCGTAATTCAACACCTTAATACACTGCTTTCTGCCTTTTCTAGTGAAACAGCTTTTATGATTTTGTACCTAAAAAGTGCAATTTTATTTTCAATCCTTCTTTACACATGCAGCATGGTTGGGGTCTGATCGGAATCTTATGTGCCCACCTAATCCTTTTCCCAAGGTGAGCACTATGACAACGAACTTCTGTGCAAGAGGCAGGCAGCCAGGAACCAGAATGGGCCTTGAACATGTGGGAGCTTATTTCACTGTCACAGTTGAAACTCCCTGAATTGACTCCATGACAGCTGCAAATCGGCTACATAGGTCATAGGGAGAATTGGGTCGAATAGTTGGAGGCTCTTTCAAGACGATGATTTCTGCAGAAGGATCTAGAAGTCTGGGTAGAAACTCCCCTAGGCACAGCTGCAGATTTTCTGTGGAGGGAAAACAGATGGTTACATATACAGCTAAACAGATTTCTGAGTAAAAGTGAACAAGCCTTCTATTAGCCCCTTACCTAACCTCAAAGGTCAAAGCATTATGCTGGCCAGTTACTAATAAATGATTATTCCTTCAGGCCAAACCAGGAGCAAAGGCAAATAAACCAAACTTTAGCTCACTGCTATATAACAACTATATAATTACTTTATTACGAAAGGGTCTTCTAACCAATTGTCTTCTTAAAATACAAGGAAGTAGATATGATACTCTAGCATAGATATGATGGTAATTATTTTCTTTCAAATGTTTACAATATATCAGTGTATACACATGGTTTTAAATCAGGGGTGTACAGTCTTTTGGCTTCCCTGGGCCACACATGAACCTCACTAACAATAGCTGATGAGGTTAAAAAAAAATTCATAATGTTTTAAGAAAGTTTAGAAATTTGTGTTGGGCTTCAGGTTGGACAAGCTTGGTCTAAATAAAAACTGAAGACAGTAAAGGGAAACACATGGCAACTAGCTATTACAGGATTTTTAAATAAATACTATCAACTTAAACACTTGAACAAGTCAATGGAATATCTTTTTTTTTTTTTGAGACGGAGTCTCACTCTGTCGCCCAGGCTGGAGTGCAGTGGCGCCATCTTTGCTCACTGCAAGCTCCGCCTCCCGGGTTCACGCCATTCTCCTGCCTCAGCCTCCCAAGTAGCTGGGACTACAGGTGCCCGCCACCACACCCGGCTAATTTTTTGTATTTTTAGTAGAGACGGGGTTTCACCATGTGAGCCAGGATGGTCTCCATCTCCTGACCTCGTGATCCGCCCACCTCAGCCTCCCAAAGCGCTGGGACTACAGGCGTGAGCCACTGCGCCCGGCCTTTTTTGTTTTGTTTGTTTTTTAAAGATAGGGTCTCACTCCAAGCTGGAGTGCAGTGGTATGATCTTGGGTCACTGTAGCCTCGGCCTCCCAGACTCAAGCAATCCTCTCACCTCAGGCTCCTGAGTAGCTAGAACTACACTATACCCAGCTAAGTTTTCATTTTTTGTAGAGGCAGGGTCTCACTATGTTGCCCAGGCTGGTCTCAAACTCCTGGGCTCAAGTGAGCCACCCACCTTGGCCTCCCAAAGTGCTGGGACTACAAGTGTCAGCCACTGTGCCTAGCCCCATCAATAGAGTATCTCTATGTCAGTGAGAACCTAACAAAGAGGATTCATATCAGAATATATAACAATTTTCCAAGTCTACTGAACTCACCTAAAAACAACCAGCTTTACATTCCCTCCTTAAGATGCTTTAAACAAGCAAGGACAGTCCACTAATTAATCTTGAAGTCATCATAGTTAATATGCTATATAACTTCAAGCCACAGAAAAAATTCATCAAGGCACCCCTCCCATAACCATACTCTGCATGATTTTTTTTTTTTTTTTTTGGATATGGAGTCTCATTCCGTGGCCCAGGCTGGATTGCACTGGTGCTATCTCGGCTCATTGCAAACTCCGCTGCCCAGGTTCAAGTGATTCTCCTGCCTCAGCCTCCCGAGTAGCTGGGATTACAGGCGCCCATGACCACACCTAGCTAATTTTTGTATTTTTAGTAGAGATGGGGTTTCGCCTTGTTGGCCAGACTTGGTCTTGAACTCCTGGCCTCAGGTGATCTGCCCACCTCGGCCTCTGAAAGTGCTGGGATTACAGGTGTGAGCCACTGCACCCAGTCAGATTTTGATTTTTAAACTATAAAAGAGTTCATCTTTTGGCACATGAGAGAGTAATGGAAGTCTGACATTCCTGGAGAGCAGTGACTTTTTTCAAACCAGGCTTGTTGGTTGCCCATGGAGGTGATTTGGCAGTCATGGGGAAGCTAAAGGGAGGTTAAGAGGGGCAGAGGCCCAGGCTCCCTCCTCTTGTTTCAATAGAGCAGATCCATTTTTAATTTACTTATATGCTAGAAGGTTCCAATTCCTTAAAAAGGTTTGGCAACCAGTGCTATCAAGTGAGAACACTGAAATTTCTACAATTCTCAAAACCTCAGAATATTATTACCAAGAGCATATACCTGCAATATCTTGCCCAAGGTAAGAGCACCAATGGTTTCTCATGACCTCAATGGCATCCAGATCATCCTTGGAAATGTCATTATTAATGATAAGGTGAATGCAGGGGATGATCAGTTCATTCATCACATTAATGCCCTCAGTTACGGAGTGATCATCATTTGTTTCAAAAAGAGAAGCTGCTTTGGCATTCAGCTCCTACAGATAAAAGGTAGAATTAGGTGGGGAAGAGTCTGAAAAAGATAAATATCTCTTTAATAACAGTCTAAACAAGTGGTTCCCAAACTTTACTGCACATTGGATGTACTTAGGGATCTTTAAAAACTACTGATGCCTGGTTCCCACTTCTGATAAGCTGATTTAATTAGTGTTTAGATGACCGGGACACTGGGATTTTATGAAAGCTCCCAAAGTGATTCTAATGCTGTAAAGTTTATGACCCATTGGCCTAAACTTGTAAGTCAAGGTCATGCTTAACACCTGTTTCAACCAAAGACCTGTTCACTGGTTGTCTATCTCCTCTGAGCATCAGAATCACCTGCAGAAGACACACTGATGCCCAGGGCCCTTCCCAGGGATTCTGGTTTAATTGCTAGGGAGAGGCCTGAGCTTCACGACTGTCTGAAAGCTCCCTATATGATTCTGATGCACACTAGGGGTTGGGACTCAATAATGGAAAGAGTCTAAATCCCTATAATTGCATTACTTCAGAAGCTGAGTAGGATATTCAAAATGTCAATCTATTTGGTGATTTAAAATATAAAAACATGGCTCTAATAAAATTCAGATCCATCAAACCAACAAGATCCCTTTTCAGCTTCAAAGTGGCCCTGCCACACCTATAACTAATACAGATGTCAAAGTATAAATCAGAAAATAAAGCTATTGAGTATATGTCATGACTTAATCTCACCCATTCGGTATGAACAAGGTAAAGGCAGTGGTAGAAATATTGGCCTGACTTCTGTGAAGGGCAAATTTGCTGGGTATTGGTGAAAACACACACAAGCCCACACTCTGAAGGCAGGCCACCCCTTTACAGTTCTCCAAAGGACACACATCACATAAACCCCTGGGGAGGCAAGGGGATGTAGGTCTGCCTTTCCATGTAGTTATACAGTGCAAATCAGGCCAGGAGAGAGTTAGTCTTCACTAGTATGTGACAATGATGTTATCAGAACAGCAGGACCAATTCTTACAGTTCCTACCTTTATTTTAAAAAAATGGAGTGTCAGAAGTCACTAAAACTTTAAGTCTACCAGCTTAAATGTGAACATGGAAAAAATGCTGCATTCCTTCCACACACATTTATTACATGGTTCCTACATGACAGGCACAGAGGAAATGGCTGAGTGAGAAAAGGATCTGAGCTCAAGGAATTTACAACCTAGTAGGAAAGCAATGTGATAAAATCTATAATGCAGGCATACATGAAGGGCACACAGAGGGATGACTGATTCTCATCTTAACTTCTATCAGTTATCATTGAAGAAGAATGACATTCACTAAAAGTAACTGAAAAAAAACCTGTTCCAATGTAAAACTGTTCATGAGAATTTTGGGGGGAAATCTACAACCTGTTGGAGATAGTCTGTTTTGAAAGCCATATATTTTCCTGGCTTCAAGGAGCAGAGGTAAACAACAAAAAAACCTTAAGGCTTTACAAACAGTACAAACCAGAAGGCATTTTCTTCGGTATAAAGCAATCACGGATTCTTTGACCCCCCGGCGGGGCCCCTTCATCAGCAGGGCAGCATTGCTCTGGTAGGCATATACCAGGTAGGAAAGTGCCTCTTGGTACCTTAGAAAAATGGGAGATAAACAACAGCTGAGTGCTCTTTTACTAAAATCTAGGGCTTAGACCTCACTTTTCCCCATTTCAAGAACCTACTTGGCTGCAATTCTGAAAAAGTGAAGGACCAAAGACCGTAGCCAGTCTCATCTCTTCTACAAATTGGCCTAGCCATCCAAAGCAAATATGAAACTTCCCTAGGCCTCAGGTTTTCCCATCTCTAAAACAAGAAATGCTCACTAGGGTCTATGTCAACTCAAAAATTCATTTTCTGAGTTCATCTTCATTGATCACAAAGACAGCCTGGCACAATATTATCTCGCAGCTAATACATCTAATCATTTGAAGGATGAAAAACCATGTGTGATGTTTAGAGCAAAACCAAAGCACTGCAAGAGAAGAGGCACACTAGTGTATGTGACAAGGGAGGTTATGCATGGCTGTGACTCTTAGTATTCCCAGGTAGGCATCTACAGAGAACAGCATCCTGACTAATAATCTTGGTAAAATAAAAGGCCAACATACTTTCCTTTTTGATAGAGTTCTAGGCCTGTTAGGAGATACACAGACACTTTTCGGAACAAACTATAATCTTCATGCCACTTCTGAAAAAGAATGACGATTATTAATAATCATGATCATAATAGATTGTTAGTGTCCTTCCCATCTAAGTTTTAAATTCATTACAAATATTTACTGAGCACATCTGGCTAGCCACAAAAATAACAAACAAAAGCTTTCAGATAAAAACCTACTCAACATTTAAAATAAAAGTCTACCACTGACCTTAATTTTCAATGTTCTGTTCCTTTCACTTGAGTAACAGAAGTACTTATTTCCTACGAGCTTCGGATTTTATCCTAATTTCTAACAGCTATGTAAAAGATATTCAGCTCTAGCTTAAGTGAATGACCTCTTTAGGACTGGTAAAACCATCCAGATATTGAAAATATGGAAGGACACGGACATTTCTAGTCATACAGAGCAAGTTCAAGTTCAGTAAGTGTGGTGAATACACCTTGGGTGGTACATAACATTGTTTTACATGGGATGCAATTGAAAACATGTGTAGCTATGTATTTTAATGCGTATTTTTAAAACTTTATCATTTAAAACAAACCAAAAGCATGATTTCAAGAATTTTACTGCCTAGGACAAGGCTAAAATAGGTATTTAAGGGAAGTGAAATGTTGACTCACTCTAAATGAAGAATGAAAATAAAGAGACCTGCTATTCTGAGGGCAAGAAAATATCATTTATCCATTCTTTACCAGGATTTTGAGGGGAAAGTGGAAGAACAAGTCAGTTTGTAATAGCACAAAATTGTTTATTTTGCCTCAGGTACCATTTACCTCAGGAATTAATGTTTTTGCTCTATAGACTTAAAGAAAACACTTTACCTTGTACTCTTCCATATTCATGTCATCTGGACCAATTTCCTTCAGTTTCGCTTGAGCCACCTTCATAATGCTGATTGATCTGTGTGGGACAAAGTTCAGAAAGCAATGAAAAGGCACAGGGCAAAACTTCCCCAACAGAGGAGTCCATCTAGCCCAACCCAGACCAAGGGATTCACCTGAATATTCTCTTCTCACCTTTCATCATAGCTAAGATTTTTATCTGCAAACTGTTCCAGAAGGGTTCGTTCTACTACCCTTTTGGGTGCTTCATTTTGGAAAAAGTAGACAAGGACATGCTGAAGTCGAGGATCACTGTGAGAGGTGGGGGTCTCTTTGGCAAGCTGATAGAGCCTGGAGTATTCTTCATGGAATGCCTATTAAGGGCAGAATCAATGGTTAGAAAATAGTGTGCTGTGGGCTTCTGCACACAGAAATTGATGCCTAGGAGCTAGGCAGTCTCTTGACTCTAAAAAGACTTCTAAAAAATTCATATCGAATTACAAAAACAACTATGGAATTTTTAAGTTTCTTGCATTTCATAAGGGATGAAACTCTTTTAGCATTCTGGCACCAAAAACATACTGTACTTTTTTTTTTTTTTGAGACAGAGTATCACTTTGTCACCCAGGCTGGAGTTCAGTGACATGATCACAGCTCACTGCAGCCCTGAACTCCTGGGCTCAGGTGATCCTCCCACCTCAGCCTCCCAAGTAGCTGGGACTACAGGCATATACCACCATGCCCAGTTAATTTTTGTATTTTTGATAGAGATTGGGTTTCGCCATGTTGCCCAGGCTGGTCTCAAACTCCTGAGCTCAAGCAATCCACCCACTTTGGCCTCCCAAAGTGCTGGGATTACAGGCATGAGCCACTGCGCCCAGCCTACTGTACTCTTAAGAAATTCAGTTTTCTCATAAAGTTCTCAGAAAAACAAATATTTAGTTTTAATTGTTATAAAAGGCAGATCCTTGTGTGTCAATGACTTAAACTTAAAGAATCTATACAAATGCAATTTTACTCAAGTATTTTTAAAAACACAGCCTACTTTGTTATGGCCTCAAAATTACAAAGGCACAATCTAACTCAGTGTTACTAACAGACAACTCCTAACAACAACAATGAAAAGCCCTCTAGGCTAGGTGTCACAGAGAATGTTACTGCTAGCCAAGGCTGGGTTAGGGTCAAGAGAAGAGAAGTGAACAGCTTGTTCATCAGTTGGACAGGAAAGGAAGTCTCATATTTCACTTCACAGAAGACTTTTTTTTTATTTTTTGGAGACAGGGTCTCACTCTGTCACCCAGACTGGAATGCAGTGGCACAATCATGGTTCACTGCAACCTTGAACACCTGGGCTCAAGTGATCCTCCTGCCTCAGCCTCCAAATTAGCTGGGACTACAGGTATGTGCTACCATGCCCAGCTAATTAAAAAAAAAAAAAATTCCTTAGTAGAGATGGGGGTCTCACTATGTTGACCCGGCTGGTTTTGAACTCCTGGCTTCAAGCAAGCCTCCCTCCTGGGCCTCCCAAAGTGCTAAATTACAGGTGTGAGCCACTGTGCCCAGTCCTTTTTATTTTTAAAGAGATGGGATCTCATTATGTTGCCCAGGCTGGAGTGCAGTGGTGCAATCACAGTACATTTCAGCCTCCAACTCCTGAGCTCAAGTGAGCCTCTACTTCAGCTTCCTGAGTAGCTGGGACTACATGCACACACCACCACACCCAGCCTTAACCCCATTTTTTCCCTTCTTATAGAATTATTTCCCCAATATTATGATGCCTATATTGTAAGAATTAGAATTTTAAAAACAGAGATACCTTAATCAGCCCTGCTTCAGACCCATCTCGGTCAAAGGTCTGACGGGCTTTAGCTATGGCCAGGATGACCCCTTGCATGGCAGGGCTCAGCATCACCTACCACAAGGGGGCACAAAACACAGAGAGAAAGGAGAGAAGAAAGGTTCAGCAGAAGACTGTATGAAAGCAGGCTGAACAGAGTGCTAAAGGGCAGCAGAGCAGTGTGCTCTTTGGCCAGCATGTATTGCAAGCTGAGTTTCACACACCCATTCCTATGTGCACCCACTGCCTCTGTCCTTCTATATAATGTCAACACCCTGCCCAAGACAAGCTATTCCTACGCTCTATGTTCTAATTCAGTAGGATAAAGAAAGATGTATGCCTAAAAATATCTCCCAATATGGCACTGCTGAAGAATTAAGTTAAATTATAGTTCTCAGAGGGGAAGTGTCTAAGGTCAGAATTCCAATTTAGTTCTGTACTTTGGGTGTATATCTTAAACACACAAATACTTTAGAGTTTTACTAGGATAAACAGTACATTTAAAATAGTCTGGAAACTAGCGACTATACAAATATGACTCCATAAAGTAAAAACTTTTCAAGGACTTTTTTTTTTTTTGGGAGACAGAGTCTCGCTCTGTCGCCCAGGCTGGAGTGCAATGGCGTGATCTCAGCTCACTGCAACCTCCGCCTCCCGGGTTCAAGCGGTTCTCCTGCCTCAGCCTCCCAAGTAGCTGGGATTATAGGTGTATGCCACCATGCCCAGCTAATTTTTGTATTTTTAGTAGAGACAGGGGTTTCACCATGTTGGCCAGGCTGGTCTTGAACTCCCGACCCGAGGTGATCCACCCGCCTTGGCCTCCCAAAGGGCTGGGATTATAGGCGTAAACCTCCGTGCCCAGCCTTGTCAATGATTTTTTTTTTTAAATACCCCACAGAAAAAAAACAGAAATCTGAGAGAGACAGAATTCATTATTGTTTATGTGCAGTGCAACTGAAGAGGAGACAGACAACAAACAACTTGGGGTTCTATAGCTTCTTCCTATAGAATTCCTTTACAATTAAAAATAACTTCAATCCACATTTGTTTAGCTCACTGGACAACTGAAAAATTTATATCTGGAGGTAAAACAATGGACTAATATCCAAAAAAAAGATTCCCTATTTTAAATTAGAAGGCAATCTTTTGTCCATAATACCAAAAAGGGAACTTAATTTTACTTTTCTGAGCCATCTAGACTCTGCAGTGGCCCCATTAAGTATAAGCCTGGGTAGATATACATATGCTGGGAGCGCTATACAATAGAAACATGGCTATCTTTTAAATAATGGTAACTAAGGTCAAAACCAAATAGGCTTTCTTGACAATCATTTTTTGCAACGAGAAAATATCAGCTATTGGCAGATACCTTAATATAGTCACAAGAGAAGGAAATATAAGACTGACAACAAACAACTATATCCTGCACTCATCTCTGTACCTCCTCATCATATCCATCTGCATCAGATCTAACCAGAATCCTTCCCACACTGGGAATCTCGACTTCAGAGACCTCAGAATTAGGCTGGGCAGTAGACTCTGCATCATTAGCCTTTGGGGGCTGTTCTGACTGCTCTGCAAGGTTTGTTTCCTGGGGCATGGGCTTCTTGGGTTCAGCTTCTTTAAGCTGTGGCAGCAGAGTGGGGAGAAAGAGTAAGAAAAAACAGGAGAAATAAATAGGGGTTGGTTAAAGGCAGCAGAGACACAGAATAATAGAAATGTGAGAAAACTGGCCATCGCTGCTGAAAGCCCGGCTCTCCTGAACTTGGGCTTCCCAGTCATTCTCACCTCACTCAGTGCCGCTTCTACACCGCTCTTCTCATAGGCACGGGCTGTGTTTGCAATAGCCTGGGCAGTTTGCTCCTTTACAATCACAGCATGCTCAGACGACAAGCAGCGAACCCCATGAGAAGAGGCTACTGAAGGCTCTGATAAAGAATTGAACAAAGGTCTTAGCATCTAATGATAAATAGTCTAGAACACTCAGATAAAAAGCAAGCAGAATGTATACAGTTTAATATACAACCCTGTTAACACAGCTTTTTACAAAAGCCTATGCAGATTTTCCCTAGAAATTAATAACTATAAGAAATGGCTACTTCAGCAAGAACTCTATTGATAAAGTCTGTAAACTTTGAACCCACAGATGATTCTGTAAAATTTAATGCACTCCCAACTTTGTCATATTTCTATCCATTAAGAAAACTTTCTACAAACAAGCATCTTTTAGGAAGATCACCTTTGGAGAATGGTTTTCATAAAGTCTACCTATTAACCCTATCATAGTTTCTCCCATAACCTGGGAAATAAGCAAAACTATATACACAGTGAAGGTCACAGGTAGTTAGTCTTTCTGATACTGCTTCTGTTCATCAGAAATCACATTCTAATGCCACAATTCATTCCATCAGGTTGTACCTGGCATACCAACTGTATATGAAATATACTGTGAAGACTGTGGCATCACCTAGCCAGCTGAAGGGTATAGGGCTGGCTAGGGGAGTACAGCATGAGATGTTACTGGATCACTGGCATAAATGCCTTCTCAGATACCTTGTGATGTAGAGTAGTCCTGTGATGAGGAGTTGGTGGAGGACTCCATTTGAGGGATTTTGCAAGACTGCTCTTCTTCCCACTCCTCTACTTCCTGCTCAAACCGCCAGTTATCCTCCTGAATGTAATGCTTGAGTTCCACAGATAGGGCTTCCACTTCTGACATTTGATCTGATTCAGTTGGGGCTGCCTCTGAGGAAAAGCAAAGATAGAGTTAAAAGGTCACAAGGAACGAAAACATCCTTTTTAGAAAAGAAGAAAGCAGGGTATTTCATCTTTATCTTACTCCTAACTAAAAATACATGCACATAGAATCCATCAGAAATGCAGGCTGAGTATCTCTTATCCAAAATGATTGGGACTAGAACTGTTTTGGACTTCAAATTTTTTTCATATTTTAGAAAATCTGCACAATTAGTTATAGTTGAGCATCCCAAATCCTAAAATCCAACATCTGAAATTCAAAATGCTCCAATGAGCATTCCCTTCCAGCATCATGTAATGAAAAAGGCTCATAAAGTTTTGTGGATTTTGGAGCATTTGGGATTTTGGATATTCACATGTGGGATGCTCAACCTGTATGGACAATGTAAGGGCAACAATTGATAACAGTGCCTGACATTTAGTAGGCACTCATTAAACATCTGCTAAGTGAATGAATAACACAGAGTTAAAGATATGGAAAGTGGGCCGGGTGCAGTGGCTCACGCCTGTAATCCCAGCACTTTGGGAGGCCAAGGCAGGCCAATCACTTGAGGTAGGAGTTCAAGACCAGCCTGGCCAACATGGTGAAACCCTGTCTCTACTAAAAAAAATACAAAAATTAGTCAAGCGTGGTGGCGCATGCCTGTAATCCCAGCTACTTAGAAGGCTGAAGTGGGAGAATCGCTTGAACCTGGGAGGAGGAGGTTGCAGTAAGCTGAGGTTGCGCCACTGCGCTCCAGCCTGGGAGACAGAGTGAGACTCCATCTCAAAAAAAAAAAAAAAAAAAAAAAGATTTGGAAACTGGTCACTGTCAATCACTGGATATACCAATCATTTCAGGGAAATTCAGAAAATCATTAGAGCCAATAAAAATTTCAAGATAAACAGTTTTATCCATTTAACCACTGCATTTGGCGGATAAGAATGTCCATTTCAAAAAGGTTAGAGATGAATTTCAAGACATTTATACCACCAACTTTCATACAATTCAGTACTATGAGAAAGCAATTTGATACAATGGTGAAATGGTCAATAATACCTGGCTTTAATGGCAAGGATATCAATGACATATAAAATTTCATTTTCTAACCCTGTGACCAAAACAAACAAAAAAAGTCTATAGCAGATTAACACATTCACTTACTGGTTGCCATTAATCAGCCTTTTCACTAAGCAAATGACAGTTTCCACTTGTTTGTTTCTATAATAGAAAAATAAACCATGCATGCAATAACAAGGCTCCTATATATTAACAACAGCTAGTACATTCAAGCAGCTATTCATTCCTTCGCAGCATAAATATACAATTGTGAAGATTACTTACTGTTCATTTATCATTCTCTCCATTCCCTAATCCCCAACCACACTAGCAAATCAGAAAGATAACGTGCTGCCTGGACAGAACACCTTACATGTTTGTTTTTTTTGAGACAAAGTCTCACTCTGTTGCCCAGGCTGGGTGCAGTGGCACGATCTCAGCTCACTGCAACCTTTGCCTCCCAGGTTCAAGCAATTCTCCTGCCTCAGCCTCCCAAGTAGGTGGGATTACAGGTGTGTGCCACCATGCCCAGCTAATTTATGTATTTTTAGTAGACACAGGGTTTTACCATGTTGGCCAGGTTGGTCTTCAACTCCTGGCCTCAAGTGATCCGCCCGCCTTGGCCTCCCAAAGTGCTGGGATTACAGGCGTGAACCACCATGCCGGGGCGATGTTTCCTTACTTACGCCACACAGTAAAGTTTGAATACTACAGGCAAAAGCTTTCTACTATCTTACTTATAAAATGTTCATCATAAGACCTCTCATAGAGGATGTGAAAGAAAGAGAGAATAATGTAAATTGAAAACACCACAGAATTTGGAGAATTGTATTTGAATCTTGGGACTGCCATTTATTGACTATGTGATTACTCAACTTTAGAACCCTTTGGAATCTGTTATCCAGCTGGAAAATGAAGATGACAACATTTTCAAACTCTTTCCCTCCTTTTCACAGCTGTAAGTTCTTAGAGAAATAAAAGTTTGAAAGCATGCTTTAAGAAGTAAAGTACCAATATAAATGATAATTATTATTGCTCTCTGTATGAGTAGTAGTATTACAACAACTGTGAAACTATTCAGGCAAATACACCTGTAAAATTTAGTTATTCTGGGCCCCACAACTGTAATCCCAGCACTTTGAGAGGCCGAAGCAGGCAGATCACCTGAGGTGAGGAGTTCAAAAACACCCTGGCCAAGATGGTGAAACACCGTTTCTACTAAAAATACAAAAATCAGCTGGGCATGGTGGTGGGCACCTGTAATTCCAGCTGCTTGCGAGAGTGAGGCAGGAGAATCACTTCAACCTGGCAGGCGGAGGTTGCAGTGAGCTGAGATTGCGCCACTGCACTCCAGCCTGGGCGACAAAGCAAGACTATGTCTCAAAAAAAAAAGAAAGAAAAAATTTAGTTATTCTCCAAAGGGTGCAAAAATATATGTACTATCAGCACCATAAGATGGGGCAAGAAAAAAAAAAGATGTCACTAAAAACAACAACAACTAGAGAATTAGTCTATCTACGAGTAAATTTTAAAAATACGTATATTCCACACAATGAATTACTATATAGTTGTTAAACAGTTAAGATTCTTTTACTAAAAATATAGAGATTGCTAAATACTCGATTAATGAAAAAGGTTCAGAGTTGAATGGAAAAATAATCTACTTGGGGAAAAGGGGGAGGGGAAGATACAGATAAATAGAATCTAGCATATGTATACAATGTGTCTTGAAGACTACATAAGAAACCTAACATTGTGTACTTGTTGGGAGTGGGACCCATGGTCAAGGAAGAAAGTAGTAAAGCAAACTTGTTTTTCCTTTTCATTTCCTTTTATACTGTCTATATTTTTTAAATCTATTATTATATAATAGTAAGTTGTAAATTTTTTAAAAAGCAGTACAAGACTGTTCTTCTCCCTGAGCAGTACAGATTTTCCCCAATCTATAGATTCTGCCAAGATACTTTTACCTGCATTGAAGTAGGGTAGTTTGTCATTAATGTACATCAGACAGTAAGCACTAACATTTCTCAGGCCTCCATAGGAATCTCTTTCAACTTCTTCCCAGGAAGATTCAGTAACAGAGATGTCATTGTACTTGAGCCAGCTCTGTCGGGGTTGATTATAGATATAGGCCCAATAGTGTCCAGCATTTGCTTGTCCTTCATGAACAAGAACTGCATGCAAGCGATAAGGCACCTGTAAGTCAGAATGTACATTCCCCAGTCAGGTGAAGCAAAGTAATCTGATAAAGTTTAGGTTATTAAGAAATTACTGTTTATGATGTGATTAATGTGGGGTTCATATTAAAACATCTTGTTGATTCAAGATGAAGTCCACAAAAACACAGCCTTGGAATTGATCAATTATGTCTCAGTTCCAAAACCTTGAAAACCAGATCGCTGAACTACATGACCTCTCTGAAGACTCTTTCAACTCTAAACTCCTCAGATCTAAAACCAAACATAACCTAAACATATGCATCCTTCTAATTCAAAACTCTGTTTATCTAAAAATAGAATCACCTTGACCACTCATGCTGAAAATGCTTAGCATATTTGGGACCTACAAAGGTTAGCAGCTATTTTGTTCCATGCCTATTTTATTTGGCAACAAAATTTAAGTTAACATATTTAATTCAGCCACATGCTTCTTAGAGTTAAGTGACCACTTATCTATCTGGAGTGAAGACCCTTTTAATGACATACTTGTTTGTTACAACATTTGAAAAGCACATTTGTGTATTTTCAATATAGAGAAAATAGAGCAATGCTTAAATGCTAACTAAATACTAGTAAAAGAGATGAAAGTCAGTCACAGAATCAAATTAAATTTACACTTACTTTGACCTATTTTAATTACTGGTGAAGATTTTTGAATTAACACAAAAGAAAAAATGGGGAAGCCTGCGTTTTACATGGTGCATTCCTGTTAAGCAATGGGACTGTGCCTCAATGCCATTCTAGAAACAGGGCTCCCCTCCTCCAAGCCATTCTGCCCATTCCAGTCATTCATACAGAAGCCACTGAAAGTCCATGCCCCTAACCAGAATAGGTTCAGAGACACTCCTGGAGGCTCTTTACCCCTCCATTCCCAGAATTTATTCTAACAAACACTTCTGTGGATAGTTAAGAATTTCTGTCCTAACTCTCTTTTGGAATTTATTATTACAGAAATAAAGCTTGAACGCATGTTGTTAAATTAAAGATCTTGAAGAATCATGGAACTTTGGGAAAGAAAGGATAACTGTTCTCTAGTTCAGTTTTTCCCACTGCACTACTTAAAGTACCATTTTGTAAGTAATTTTTATTAGTATCTGACAGCAAACCTTTCTACAATATGAAAAAATTCCATGTGGCAGAATTCAAACAAGTATGTGTTAGGTCCTGTTTTTGGTAAAAGGTATATTGCTTTCTTTAGCCTAAAATAAAGAAACAGAACAACATCAATTTATATCTTAAGTTTATTCTTTTATCTTAGGGGGATTCCCATTGGGTTTAAAAGAAAACTATCAAATTTGATTTTTGTATCTACCATTAGCACATGCCTTGACTACTTTCCCATCAATTTTCATTCTACCTGACGAAGGAGAGGATCGCAGTACATCTGTTCAATAGTCTGAGTAGTACTTGCAATACAAGTCTTTAAATCTGTTTGGAAAAAGAAAAACAAAAGCTTCACTAAAATGATCTCATTCTATGTCACACAGGCTACTTTAACTAAGCAAAGAATATTGCTAGGGTCCTAATGATTTCAGCTTCCCTCTATGAACCACGAAGCAATATACAGTTTTAAAGCAGCTAGTACTTTAGGTTATGAAAGCTTTTAGTTCAATATAATTACATTAAGGTTTTAAAACATTATTTTTTATAATTGCCAAAATTTCTTAAAGAGTAAGCTGTTTAGGAAAAGATCTTAATGGGTCACTTGGCTGTAAAATGTATGCCTCAGACAGGATCTGAAATGAGAAAGCAGAACAAAGGGTAAGGCTAAATTTCTCTGAATAGGAATCTGGGAAGAATCTGTATTTTCCATCATCTTTTTGTTCCCTAGACAAAAGGAGACAGGAAGGGGGGTAAGGTTAGTCTGAGCAATATGGGCAATGAGGTCAAAGGGCTTTTTAAGAATACAATGCTGAATAATCCAATTTTACATTGTGCATACTGCTCAAATACCTCATTAACCTTCAGTAAAGCATGCTTCCTATAGAAAAGACTGAAGAGTAGAAGTCCAGAAAAGCTAAATGCTAAATCTGGGTCAACTTAAGCTGGAGTTCAGATAATCTACCACAGAAACAGAAATCAGTTGATGCAGAAAAATCTCAGCAAAGGTGATCATTTCCCAGAAATTTTGAGGGGGAGATCTTTCCATATCTGTATAATGGGGGTGTGTGAGCCAAGTTTACAGGGCACTAAAAGTGCAAAAGAAGTCACAATTACCATGTCAAAATTCAAAAGCATGGGCCAGACGTAGTGGCTCACACCTATAATCCCAGCACTTTGGGAGGCCAAGGCAGGCAGATCAGTTTTGGTCAGGAGTTTAAGACCAGCCTGACCAACATGGTGAAACCCCATCTCTACTAAAAAAAAAAAAAAAATCAGCCAGGTGTGGTGGTACATGCCTATAATCCCAGCTACTTGGGAGGCTGAGCCATGAAAATCGCCTGAACCCGGAAGGCGGAGGTTTCAGTGAGCTGAGATTGCACCACTGCACTCCAGCCTGGGTGATAGAGTGAGACTCCATCTCGGCGGGGGGGAAATTCTGTAGCATGTACAGTAATGTCAGGAAGTGTACCGAGGTGCTTAACCTCCAAATAGTCAAAAAACAGAAAAAGCAAAGAGTAACTGACAAATTTTAAAAGAGCCAACCTTGTATATCTTGTTCAATCTCACTCCTCCATCTCTGAAGACAGGTCTTAACAAAATTTATCTCCTCATCTGTGACTGTTCGTGGAGCTGGCTGTGAAGGCATTTCCATGGAAGACCGAGAAGATGTCAGTGGTTTAGACTTGGGTAAAGAATCTTCAGGAGAAGAAAAGGTACTTTCAACATCCTGAGAAGAGCTTTCTGTACTTGTACTGAGGAAGACAAAAATCATGCTCATATGATAATTTCCAAAAGATACCTTGGCCTAAATTATGTACTTTGGAAAGCAAGATGCTATATGAAAAAGTACAGGTATTCAGTGAGCATTAACTCTATAAAGGTACAGAGCCAACCTTTTTCTCTATCATCTCACGTACCACAACTGGCCTGTGAGGTAGATACTTTTCTATCCCTATTTTACCAACTGTGAGCCTAAGGTTTAAATAAATTAAGCAACATGCCCAAGTTCACCAAGCTGGAAGGTAATGAAAATGAATCCAAAGCCAGATCGGCCAGTCTTTAGCTCATGTTCTCTGATCACTGATTATTCCTTCCCATGAGGATGGGAAGAGAAGGAAAATGGAAAAGAGAAGACTAGGCCTGGAAGAATCAAGGAATCAACTACAGAGTTTACAAGATGAAGCCAACTAAAGTGACACTATCCTTCCTGGAACAAAATACACAGAAGGAAGAAAAAGGAAGCATCAGCTGAACATACAACTCACAGGAATACACACTAGGTGACACCTTGGAGAGTTCTGAGAGAAGGGCTTCAAGTCAAACAATCCTAGCTCTACTACTTTAGCTAAATACCCAAGGAAAAAAGTATTAATATCTCATCTACAAAATATAAATCTTAAGTTCTTTACGTCTTTTCTGTAAACTAACAGAGAATAAAGCATATCAAGTAAATGTTAATTTCTCTATTGTCAGAGTAAAACTGCAGGTCAACAAACCAGCAGGAATATAAAATAAGCTTCTAATTGTAGTTAGGTTTCTCTTTTACACCAAAGCTGAAGAATATAAACTTCCTTTACTTTGACTTAAAAAAAAACTCTCACTCCTGCCGGGTACGGTGGCTCACGCCTGTAATCCCAGCACTTTGGGAGGCTAAGGAGGGCAAATTACCAGGTCAAGAGATCGAGACCACCCTGGCCAACATGGTGAAACCCCATCTCTACTAAAAATACAAAACTCAGCTGGGCATGGTGGCACGCCTGTAGTCCCAGCTACTTGGGAGGCTGAGGCAGGAGAATCGCTTGAACCCAGAAGGCGGAGGTTGCAGTGAGCTGAGATCATGCCACTGTACTCCAGCCTGGCGACAGAGTGAGACTCCATCTCAAAAAAACAAACAAACAAACAAACAAAAAAACCTCACTCCCTCCTCCTCACTCTCTCACATGCACAAAATAATGGAGGAAATCTCTTTTCCCTAAGGTCCATACTTATGGAAAAATAAGCCCAACAAGGGAACAGATATCTCAATTTCAGAGGAGATTACACACATACACCTCCCTGTAATTTTTAAATCTAATACCAAGCACTATTATTTTATTTGATTAAATAGCCTGCCGAACCACTTTTTAAAAATTAAAACTTTACATTTCATAATATACATAAAAAGATTCTATTTTTACAAAAATTAAAAAATTTAAGTAGAATATAAAAAGTGAAAGAGCAGCCCCACTCCTATCCCCAGACTCATGTCACTCCTTAGAGATAATCATTCTTGACATTTGGTATGTTCTATCCAAATAAGCATTTCTATGCATACATGGATGAATAAATATTAATACGTGGGGCGGTGGCGGGGGATGTGTTGGGGAGAATAGTTAAGATTTTTTGACAAAAAAGTCTAACTTTTTATTGAGTATTAGTGTTTTTATTAGCCAGGTAACACATATCAAATGTCCTAGCTACCTTTCATGGCTCCTCTAGGCAATAAAGATTGTTGCACATGACTGGATGGAATAAAATCAGAGGGCTCCTGTGACTTTGCCTCCCTCTGCCTTTACTAGAGAAGCCCCTCTAAGCTGTCCTCTTATTTCTAGCCAGTTCTTTTTCAAGTACTAATTTTCTATTCAAGAATAAGTCTCTCTTTCCTTGATGTTTCTTAGTCATGCATACTTCAAGTGTGTGAGCATGAGATGTTTTGGAAGAGCAGGGCTTGAGGTTTCCTCTGAGAAAGGCCTTTAATGGCAGCTGGCTTGTAGTTCAAAACAAGGCATCACTGGGTGGAGCCTGAACACTATCCTGAACAGTTTGAGAAGCCTCTGAAATAACCCAACCATTCTACGGATAAGACAAATGCACTGGTGGGCCCACTCCCACCCAAGTGACAGTCAGCAAAACCCTTCCCTTTAAGACAAAGAGCTCACAGCTCCTGTGCTCTTATAGGTGACTGTCAATCAAGTACAAAGATGGTGCATAGTTTAAATTATACCAGAAAAACAATACATACCATTAAAAAAAAAATGTTTTCATTACCTTTCCTTGGATGTCTGGTCAGAAACCGAGCAGTGCACTGAAGAAAGTGGTAATGTCATATGTGTGTCACTTTCAGGTGGACAGCTTTCTGAGGCAGGTTTTGTACTAGCAAATTCAATAACATATTTCAGCATGTCCGGGAGCGGGAACCGAGCTGGGCCTGAGCCATATTTCACATACCTAAGCGACAAAGACAGTGGTACTCTACTGCCCAAGGCTGTTTTGTATTTTAAGAGTCGCTGACAAAAGATCTGTTTATCACAGCAAGTCAATGGAAAGGCTTATTCCTAGAGGCTATACAATATTTAATAGGGTCCTCAAACAATCTATAGGGTAAAAATTCTCTAACTACAAAACTAAAAATTGCCAACAATCTGAAGTTTTATATCTGGCAGGAAACATTTCAAATAGGCTCCTAATCAAAGTCATGCCAGTTACACTTTCTCATGATGTCATATTACATTTAGGCTTTGGTCATTTATTTATTTTTTATTTTTTGGTTTTTTTTTTTTGAGACAGAGTCTCCCTCTGTTGCCCAGGCTGGAGTGCAGTGGCGCTATCTTGGCTCACTGCAAGCTCCGCCTCCTGGGTTCACGCCATTCTCCTGCCTCAGCCTCCCCAGTAGCTGGGACTACAGGAACCCGCCACCACGCCTGGCTAATTTTTTGTATTTTTAGTAGAGACAGGGTTTCACTGTATTAGCCAGGATGGTCTCGATCTCCTGACTTCGTGATCCACCCGCCTTGGCCTCCCAAAGTGCTGGGATTAAGGGCCACCGCGCCTGGCAATTTTTAAGTCATCATTTTACAACTTTAATTCTTCCCAGGTTTGCTGCATTTTAATACAATACTTACACTAAATCCCAAGAGATTTTTTTCTTTAAGAAACTTATCTTCAATTTTATGACATAACAATTTTCAGCTGGGCATGGTGACTCATGCTTGTAATCCCAGTACTTGGGGAGGCCAAGGCAGGTAGATGGCTTGAAGCCAAGGAGTTCAAGACCAGCCTAGGCAACATGACAAAACCCTGTCTCCACAAAAAATGAAAAAAATTAGCCAGGCATGATGGCACACTCCTGTAGTCCCAGCTCCTTGGGAGGCTGAGGCAGGAGGATCGCTTGAGCCTGGGAGGTTGAGACTACAGTGAGCCAAGATCATGCCACTGTGCTCCAGCCTGAGTGACAGAGTGAGACTCTGTCTCAAAAAAAGCAAAACAAAACACCAAAAAAAAAAAAACAAAGAAGACAAGACATAATCATTTTCATGTTCATCTACTGAATTCCTTTATACAACTTTTAGGACCAACTACTTCATACAATGTACACCTCTATCAGTTTAGTAGAATCAGAGCAAAAGTGGTTAAAAAAAAGATGTCTATACTATACACAAGAAATTCAATTTTCAAAAATATATCAAGGTTATCTTACAGAAGAAGAAATAGTGAGCATTTTTATTCTTTTTTTTTTTTTTTGAGACAGAGTCTCATTTTGTCACCCAGGCTGGAGTGCAGCGGCACGATCTCGGCTTACTGCAACCTCTGCCTCCTGGGTTCAAGCAATTGTCCTGCCTCAGCCTCCCGAGTAGCTGGGACTACAGGTGTGCGATGCCACGCCCAGCTAATTTTTATATTTTTAGTAGAGATGGGGTTTTGCTGTGTCAGCCAAGCTGGTCTCGAACTCCTGATCTCAACTGATCCACCCACCTCAGCCTCCCAAAGTGCTGGGATTACAGGTGTGAGCCACTGTGCCTGGCCAACATTTTTATTCTTAAACTGTAAAAGTAATGCATGTACCTGGTACGAAAATTCAAATACAAAAAAGTATAAAACAGACCATAAAAGTCATCTACCTCCATCTCAGTTCTACTACCTAATGGTATCCATTAACAGTTTCTTTTATATTTTCCCAGGACTGTGTCACACATATACAAGCAGATATGTGTAACCTTAAAAAATAAAATCTGAAATTTATAATCATTTTATTTTTTCCATTATAAAAATGTATCAAGGGAATAATTAGAATTTTTAGGGGCTTGGTTTACCAAGATAAAGACTAAAAACAATTATTTATTTATTTATGAGACAGAGTTTTGCTCTTGTTGCCCAGGCTGGGGTGCAATGGCGTGATCTTGGCTCACTGCAACCTCCACCTCCCCGGTTCAAGTGATTCTCCTGCCTCAGCCTCCCGAGTAGCTAGGACTACAGGCATGCGCCACCACGCTCGGCTAATTCTGTATTTTTAGTAGAGACGGGGTTTCACCATGTTGGTCAGGCGGGTCTGGAACTCCTGACCTCAAGTGATCCACCGCGCCCGGCCAGACTAAAAACCATTAACCCATTTATGCGTAGTGTTCCATTATTGGAATGCTAAGCTTGTGGGAGTTAAAATTTAATATCCTACTGCTCAAGGTCATTGCCAAGGTCTTATTTTTCACCAAAAAAATTTGCAACCTCCAGCATAAATGAGTTAGAAACACTTTACAAATTCTTTTTTAACCTACCAACTGGGACCTACATGAAATAAATCCTCTATAGCCTTAGGAAAGAGACTGCTTTCCTAAATCAGAAAAGTTGACTTCCAAGCTACTGTCTTACCTCCACTGCCTTAGAACCCAAAGGAGAACTAAACCTCACCTGCAATGGCACCTCTGGCAGTCAAGTAGGAAGAATGAGCAATGTCCTGAAACAGGCTAGATGCAGACTGTGAGCCAAAAGCAGAGGTTGTGTTAGGAATGGGACCATATAATTTATTATCAAACCAGGATACTTCTGAGAGTGAAAGAAGGTGCTGTTAATTACTCAAGAAGAAGAGGCACAAAATGAGCCATATAGCCACTCTAGTGATCAGGCACTTTGGGAAACTACATTTCTCAGTATGCCCTGTCCCTTGAAATTCAAAACGCTTCACTGGCACAGCGCACCCTGGGACCTAGGGATAGCACCATGAAAGAGGTAAAAGACACAGGGCTGGTTCTGACATGGAGGCGCCCTCCTTCCATGGGACACTTAACCAGACACAGGACATAACACCAGAGATGGAATTTCAATGGATATTAAATCTAGAGTAGAACCTTTCTCTTGCCAACAATTTTAGCTTCCAAAGATGTGGAACTAGTTGAGATGTCCATTGGTCCACTGCCCTATTTCTCCTGGTGCTGCTTCTGCCTCCCCACGTCACCAACATCCCCATTGTCACCAGTCTTTCGGGGAATTCTGGGCAAGGTGTTCTTCCCACTTGAGTTCAACCAATTTGTATAGCTCCATGGTAGCCTGGGTGTCTTCCACAGAGGAATGCCTATTTTCCCAACCCAGATGTCCCAATTCAGCAGATTCTTGATGAGATGCTTCAAAGACATGGTGACGTTCACTGGGCAATCAGCCTTCCAGTTGGGGAGGAGAAGGGGGATATGGGAGTTGTCACTGGTGAGGGACTTGGGATGAAAGTACTGGGGCTTTGAAGTCATTGTGGATGGCATGTCCACCACCATCTTCCCTGTATCTTCAATATATGCCATGAGCAATCTTGAAGAGCATGGCATTCACCATGTGCTGCTTCTGGACACCACTCCACCTGGTCTGGCAGTCCACAGTGTGGCCAGGGGGAAGGATGTACTCGTTATGAAGCACATCTCCGCTGTAGCTGACAGTGCTACATGGAACCAAGAAAGTAACATGCCCCTTGGGTCCTGTGTCCAGCATCTCACAGCCAATTGCCACTATTCTTCCTTGGCAACTTCTGGGATGCTCCAAAGCATTTATTCTGAGTGAGCTTGGGTAGAGTTCTGTGGGGCGCTGAGCTGAGAGGATTTGTTCTGGAGGCCTTTCTTCTGGGAGTGGGTCGGGTGGCTGTTAATCTTTAGAAGGGCACCTCCAGCAAATCTACTTAGCTGCAACAGAATCAGCATTCTTTGAAGGGGCAGGGGACAGCCATGACACCGCAGCTTTCCTGTCCAGGGACTCTTCTGACACACTGCTGGAGGCAGCTGCCTTCTTTTCTGGGAAGGGAGGGGTCTTCCAAGTGCCATGCACCCTAGGAGTTTCCTCTTTCTTTGGAGGTTCTGAGTGCAACTTGGGTGTCTTGCTAGGGGGCTGGTTCTTTTTATTCAGAAAGCCTCTCTGTTCCAAAAGTTGCCATTTCTTAACAAAATTTTGTGCTTGGCAGTTCTTTCTAATGCCTTTTTGGGAGGAGGTTCCACCAAATCCCGATTGAGGAGTCAGGTAGACATGGGGACAGTGGGTGGTGGAGGGTGTGAGGGTGGGGTGGGGGAGTGGGGGAATACGTTCCCTGGCCCCTCTAGCTTCATGAAGGTACAACTCGAAGGTCTCATTTTATTTTAAAACAAAAGTATTATCATGCTAAGGAAAATGCTCCTATACTCTATTTTAAAATAAAGAATACCCTGTTGTCTCCTGGTAAATTGGTATTTTTGAACTATAAAACATCAGGTATTCTCATTTCTTTTATGTTGTTGTGAAAAGATGGGGTCTCTTATGTTGTTGTGAAGAGATGGGGGCCAGGAACAGCGGCTCACGCCTATAATCCCAGGACTTTGGGAGGCTGAGGCAGGTGGATCACGAGGTCAGGAGTTCAAGACCAGCCTGGCCAACATGGTGAAACCTTGTCTCTACCAAAAATACAAAATTAGCCGGGCATGGTGGCACATGCCTGTAATCCCAGCTACTCTGGAGGCTGAGGCAGAAGAATCGCTTGAACCCAGGAGGCGGAGGTTGCAGCGAGCTGAGATCGTGCCACTGCACTCCAGCCTGGAAAACAAAGCGACACTCCATCTTCAAAAAAAACAGAGAGAGAGAGAGAGAGAGAGAGAGAGAGAGAGAGAGAGAGATGGGGTCTCACTAAGTTGCACAGGCTGGTCTCAAACTCCTGAGCACAGGCAATCCTCTTGCCTCAGCCTCCCATATAGCTGGGATTATAGGCACATGATACTGCATCCAGTTGGTATGGTTGGTTCTATAAAAATAATTTAAAATTTCCAGCCTTACAAAGTATCACTAAAACTTAAAGGTTTAGTAAAATACTAACAGACTTAAAAGTCCTGAAAATCACTTCCAGGACAGTATTTGAGGAACTGGTTTTCAGCTTAAGTCTCTATAAAGACAAATGACTAGTCACAATACATCTTGTATAAGCTCTTCTGGAGTGAGAGTGGAAGCTGCAGTGGTAGCGGTGGGGGTACAGTGCAGGGTCCATCTTAGGCCTGGTATGGAAAGTGTTGCCCTTCAGGGAAATTAATGGCCTAATAAGGGAGTAGGTGGAGGTGTGGTGGTCTTAGAAAGAAAACTGTTAAGTGGATAAAGGGAGGAGAAGCTATTGACTGTGTATGGGATCTCTTTCTTAAGCGCAAAATCAACGGGATCTATCTAGACGAGAAAGAAATTAAACTGACTCCTAAGGAAATTACAGAAAACCATTCTACAGAAATAGTGTAAAACCAACAATCAAAAAAGTGAAAATTCCTCCAAAAGAGAAAGAACTTTGTATGCATCAGAAATATTAGCCCTTTTAATCAGTTAGCACTGCTCTAGGTAGAAAAGCACTGTTTTTTATCTTTCTTAGACACTTCAGAAACTGCTTTTCCAAAAGTGGACGGGACCATCGTGACACTTGCTTCTCTCATGTTTGTGAAAAAGATGGCAAGGGGAGTAGAAAAAAAGTCTATAAAATCAGAACTCAGTTTCTCCTTGGTACACTGCAGTAACTAACTGTGTGACTCTGAGTCACTTCAGTAGTCTGGGACTATTATTTACCCCCATGAATAATACTAGCTGATCCTGAAGACTGCTTCACACTTAGACAAAAAATTTTCTTAGCTGTTTTATAAAATATTCTAGTTAATATTTAAACGTTGAGTTAATTTTTAAAGAAAAACAAATTATCTGTTTTTAATATTCTTTTACATTTCTAAGCATGAAGGTGTCCAAAACTCACCTTTCCAATTTTTGCTGCAGAATTTTTATTTCCTCCTTCAACTTTCGAATACACTCTCTCTTATTTCGAATAAGCTCCTTGCTCCTGTACATGTACCTAAGTAAATAATCCCACAAACACAATTTATATTATAAAACATTAATGACATAAAGTCTCAGTAAACTAAAGATTCAAGGAAACTTCTTCAATCAGATATAGGGCATCTATAAAAAACATACGGCTGACAGCATACTCAAGGTTAAAACTGATGCATTCCCCCTAAAATCAGGAACAAGGATACCCACTCTTGCTACTTCTATTAAATACTTAACTGAAGATATAACCAATGCAATAAAGTAAGAAAAACAAATGAAAGGCATGCAGATAGTAAAGAATGAAGTAAAGCTGCCTTTTAGTTCCACATGATGTAAGCATGCAGAAAATCTTAAGGAACCTAAAAAAATACATCAGAACTAATAAGTGAGTTTAGTAAAGTCAAAGGATACAAAATCAATTTAAAAAAAGAAAAAAAATCAACTGCAATTCTATACACTTGTAAAGAACAAATGAAAAATGAAATTAAAAGCAGGAATTAGAGATAAATTTAATCAAACATGTGCAAGACCTGTACACTAAAAATTACAAAACACTGTTGAGAGATATTAATAAGGACTTAAATCTCTATTAACTTATTTAATAAATGGAGCTATACACTGTTCATGGATTGAAGGACTCAATATTATTATTATTTTTGAGATGGAGTCTCACTCGTCACCCAGGCTGGAGTGCAACGGCGCAATCTCGGCTCACTGTGACCTCCGCCTCCCGGGTTCAAGCAATCCTCCTGCCTCAGCCTCCCAGGTAGCTGGAATTACAGGTGCCCATCACCAAGTCTGATTAATTTTTGTATTTTTTAGTAGAGATGGGGTTTCACCAGGTTGGTCAGGCTGGTCTCAAACTCCCTACCTCAGGTGATCCACCCACCTCAGCCTCCCAAAGTGCTGGGATTACAGGTGTGAGCCACCATGTCTGGCCGAAAAACTCAATATTATTATTAAGATGTTGGACCAGGGGCGGTGGCTCACGCCTGTAATCCCAACACTTTGGGAGGCCGAGGCAGGCGGATTACCTGAGGACGGGAGTTCAAGACCAGCCTGACCAACGTGGGAGAAACCCCATCTCTACTAAAAATACAAAATTAGCTGGGCGTTGTGGCACATGCCTGTAATCCCAGATACTTGGGAGGCTGAGGCAGGAGAATCATTTGAACCCGGGAGGCAGAGGTTGCGGTGAGCCAAGATCGCACCATTGCACTCCAGCCTGGGCAACAAGAGCGAAACTCCGTCTTAAAAAAAAAAAAAAAAAAAGATGTCAATTTTCCCCAAACTGATCTGTAAGTTCAAAACACAACCAATCAAAATCCCAATAGCCACTGGGTAGAAACTGACAAGCTGATAAAAATTTACATAGAAATGCAAAGGACCAGCACACCTAAAACAATTTTGAAAAAGAACAAAGTTGAAGGATTCATACTATCTAATGTCAAGATTTACAATAAAGCCATAGTAATCAAAACAATATGGCACTGACATAAGACCAGACAACAGACAGAACAGACTCCAGATATAGACCCCCATGTATATGTTCAATTAATTTTTGACACAGTGCCAAGATAATTCAATGGGGGAAAAGGAAATATAAATCAAAGGAAAAATAAGATATTCCCACACACCCACTAGATGGCTAAAATTAGAAACACTTATAATTCCAAGCACTGGCAAGGATGTAGAGCAAATGGAGCCCTCACACACTGCTAGAGGGAATGCAAAATTGTATAGTCACTTTAGAAAATAGTTTGGAAATTTCTTATAATGTTAAATATACACTTTTCATAGAACCAAGCAATCCTACTCCTACATATTTTACCCAAGAAAACTAAAAATTATGCCAAGGATTATATGTGAATGTTCATGGCAGCTTCATTCATAATAGCCTAAAACTAGATACGTCACCAAATGGTGAATGGCAAAAAATCACTGCAGTACATATTACAATAGAATATTACTCAGCAATACAAAGGAGCAAATTACTTATATATGAACAACATGGGTGAATCCCAAAAACATTATCCTAAAGAAAGGACACAACCAGAACAGGGTACCTACTAAATATTAATGTTACTAATGCCACATTCTAGAAATGGTAACATTATAGGGTCCAAAAACATTAAGTGGTTGCCAGGACCTGGAGATGGAGAGAAAGGGAATGATCACAATGGGACAAGGAAAACCTTTTGGGTGCTGGAATGCCCTACATATTGACTGTGATGGTAGTTTATTTGACTGTACATTTGTCAGAACTCACTGGTTATATGCCTAAAAATAAACCATGGGATAAGAATGACTACATAAAAAATAAGTAAAAGAAGCCATGGCTCACGCCTATAATCCCAGCACTTTGGGAGGCAGAGACGGGCAGATCACAAGGTCAGGGGATTGAGACCATCCTGGCCAACATGGTGAAACCCCGTCTCTACTAAAAATACTAAAATTAGCTGGGTGTGGTGGTGCGTGCCTGTAATCCCAGCTATTTGGGAGGCTGACACAGGAGAATCGCTTGAACCCGGGAAGCAGAGGTTGCAGTGAGCCGAGATCGTGCCACTGCATTCCAGCCTGGGCAACAGAGCAAGACTCCTTCTCAAAAAAAAAAAAAAAGAAAGAAAGAAAAGAAAAGAAAATCAAGCCACCACACCCATTTTTTTTTTTTTTTTTTTTTTTTTTTTTGAGACAGGGTCTCACTCTGTTACCCAGGCTGGAGTGCAGTGACATGAACAGGGCTCACTGGCCCCACCAAGTACCTGGGACTACAGGTGCACACCACTACACCCAGCTAATTTTTTTTTTTTAAGAGACAGGGTTTTGCCATGTTGCCCAGGCTAGTCTTAAACTCCTGCGCTCAAGATATCTGCCCTCCTCGTCCTCCCAAAGTGCTAGGATTACAGATGTGAGCCACCATGCCTGGTCTCAACCAGACTTTTATAAAATTAAAATTCTAGGCCGGGCGCGGTGGCTCACACCTGTAATACCAGCACTTTGGGAGGCCAAGGCAGGCGGATCACCTGAGGTCGGGAGTTCGCGACCAGCCTGACCAACATGGAGAAACCCCGTCTCTACTAAAAATATAAAATTAGCCGGGTGTGGTGGTGCATGCCTGTAATTCCAGCTACTTGGGAGGCTGAGGCAGGAGAATCACTTGAACCCGGGAAGCAGATGTTTCGGTGAGCCGAGATTGCGCCATTGCACTCCAGCCTGGGCAACAAGAGCAAAACTCTGTCTCAAAAAAAAAAAAAAACAAAAATTCTATAATGTAAGTCTGCTAGGAGCACCCCCACCCCCAGAATTCAGGTAGTTCCTACCCCCAAAAGGAGGAGGGCTTTCACCTAAAGTCTTGCTTCCGGAGATCAGAAGCAACATGAGCACAACCCTGGGAGGTCTCAGAAAAAGGCAAAGACCCTCAACCTAGACTCATAGAATCCAAATTTGCATATTATCATGTCTCCCAGGTGATTCCTACGCACACTATACTTAGTACGTGCTCATCTCTACTGCTGTAATACCTCAGGAAAAAAAAAAATCAGCCAAGAACTCACCTGTCCATATAAATAATCTGAGGAAATTCCAGCTTATTGTGAATTTTCTCTGGCTGCCCAAGGGACTGATTAAACTCAAATCTTGAGAGTTCAAAGGTCAACACTGGAGGTAGCTTTGTAAACCAACGCTAGTGTCAAGAGTAGAAATGTGAGAGAAAGAAAAATTAATTTTAGGAAATTACAATAACCAGATTTAAAATATCTCTCATTAAAGTTTCTTCCTTTGGTATAGAACTTATACTCAAGGCAAACTCATACTAGAACTTTTTTTTATCCCAAACACTAAAGGGAATCAACACTTAGAATCTCATTCTCTTACAGAATATGGTTCAACATTCCTCAAGACTCCAAATTTACTAGCCAGTCAACAGAATTTTACTCAACCATCATCCTCAGAATAAACCACCCTTGAATATGTGAACCGCACTAAGCATCTACATAACTCATTCGTTACATCATCAGTATTCAGAAGAGGTTTAAAAACTTAACAGCTAGCCTAACTACAGAATATGAAATTATGATCGAAGCAGCATGTAGCTAAAGAGACAACTCCATGTGCCAGCTAAAAAGACTCATATGTGTACATATATTACATGCTGTTTTAGTCTATTAACCATAATTTGAATCTCCTTTATATATACAAAGGAAATTTGAAATAGCCTCATGGTTTTACAATTTCTCAATTTCTAAGAAAAATCTCTGAATTTCAAAAACTTACAGAGGTCTCATAAAGAAGCCAGTCAAATCAACCTACGATGTTACTTGAGTTTCAAAGAAGGAAGGCACTGACATAAAAAAGACTCAACAGTCAGGGATCACAGGTGAGGAAAAGCTAAATCAGATTTGGCTTTTCTATTCAATTCACCTGTATGTCTGAGGTTCCTGTCAACAGCTTTAAAATATTTCCTTTACCACAAGTGCAAGCAACATTCCCTTCAGATACCCTGTCAGCATAATGAGGTGAATTCACACAGCCTGTGAGACCACCTCAGGGTGAAATCTAAATGAGCATGACAATTTTGTTGTTTTGTTTAATTTTTATAGAATTCCCATCCTGGAATACAGGTCTCCACAGGCCTAAGTATAGCTGGTGAAGACTCCCTCTTTTGTAAGAGGATGCACCAGGTTTGCACAGATGGTACAGATGACGTAATTCCTCCATTAGGAATCAGTTTTTCCTTGAAAATCCAGGGAGGCAGCAGCTCTCTGAGTTCCAACACTGCTCTACAGTGAATGTATTTTCATATGGCTCATGTTAGGCTCCCTATTTTAATTCAGGAAAGCTCCACTTTCTCCTATAGTAATTACTGAGTTGGAATCATATATAAGCCACAGTTTTGTCTCAAAATGTATGATCAATGGAGAACAATCCCAACTGTGTAAAGAATTATGTTACAAATGCTATTCACTAATTCTTAACCTAACTGGAATACTGAGATGTTAACTACCCATGCTCTCCCTTTAACTTCCCCCGTCTTTCCAACCCAGAAAAAAAATAGATACATAAATAAACAAATGAAAATTAAATTTTAAAAATGTTAAAAGCAAAGGCAGAATTTACAATTGAGAACAGTAAATACTATAATAGGGAAAATATTCTAAATGGCATACCATAGGAGTTAATCACTGTACTTTTACCCTCCGAAAATATGGAGGCAGTGGGTTCTCCCTACTCAGGTACAGGTAGGCTTCAACAGAAAGAGAGAAACTTGATCATACTTAAAACATCAGAAGCAGCATACAACCTTTACACGAGTAACTCAAATTCATAGTTTTAGTAAAAATTATTTATCAAAGTACTGATACTCACTGACTCACATCAACTGATGAGAGACTTAAGACAAATTCAAGTTCTGCTAAGTGTAAAGTTACTTAATATGTGATGGGAAACTAGTCTGCCCAAAAGCTCACTCCTACTTAACTGGCTTTGTCACTGGCACAGCAAATAAAGATCTCCAACGTACCTCTTGTCCATACTTCACCGAGTGATCGGAGGGAAGAAGCTCAACATCACCCTCCACCATGGCCCCTTCCAAACACTCGTCTAAGTTGCGATAACCGTTTACCTGAAGAGGATACTGGCCGAAGGTCTCATTGTTACAAAAGGGTTTTCCTAGGCAAAGAGAGAGACTTTTTAAAAAAGACATCACTATGACTATCTAAAGCCTATCTTCTGGCTCCACAGAGACAACATTTTAAATTCAGCAACTTCCTGATAGCTGGTTAGAAATGCACTTACGCCTTTATAGCAACCTCTAGTGAGCCAGTCAATCTAGACACTGAACAATGAAAACCAGTAACACTGGAAAAAGACCAGGGGCTTCGTGGCTTATGCCTGTAATCCCACCACTTTGGGAGGCCAAGGTGGGAGGATCACTTGAGGCCAGGAGTTTGACCAGCCTGGAAAACACAGTGACACCCCTGTCTCTACAAAAAATAAAAATTATCCGGGTGCAGTAACACACGCCTGAAGTCCTGGCTACTCAGGAGGATAAGGTAGGAGGATTTCTTGAGCCCAGAAGTCCAAGGTTACAGTAAGCTATGATGTTGCCACTGCGCTACAACCTGGGCAACAGAGCAAGGACTTGTCTCAAAAAAAAAAAAAAAAAAAAAATGCAAAGACAACCAGACATTATGTACTTCCTAATCAAGAGTTTTCTCACCATCTGTGAATAGTCTTGCCAAAAAAAGCCTTAGCTAAGTCTAGTCAAATCTCTAGATCCAACTACCAATTTATAAGAGGAGGAATAGAGAAGAACATGGGGATATGTTAAAATATGTTAAATATGTATCAGAGGACATGCAAACAGCAAAATTTCCAACTGTGGGAAATGCTACAGAACAAACAACCCAGTTTCTCCAAAAAATACATTTCAAGGAAAAAACGATGGAGGGGGAGCCTACAAATATTCAGTCATAAATGAATCACACACTGGGGTCCTGACTAAAACAAACTCTAAAAATAAATTTTCTATTTTTAAAAAATTATGAAAACAAATTAGAAATCTCAACACTGACTAGATATTTGATAGTTTAAAATGCTATTTTTCAGAGTCATATTGGTATTGGGTTATGTTTTAAAAAGAGTATCAGATTGGTAAGAGTGGGGTGAGATGGGGAATGACTGGCTGTGGGCTAAGGCTGGGTTCATGGAGGTTGTAAAATTGCTCTATTTGAATGTATTCTAAACTCTTCATAATTAAAAATAAATTATGTGCCTTGCATGTAGCTTAGATAGATAAGCCTCCAGAGTGAAAAGCCTCTAGTCTAGAAAAACATTTTTGGCAGTCTCACTCAATAAAACCTTTTGAGATTAAGTATTATATTAGAATAAGCAACACAGAGAAAACCGAGTAAAATCACTATCTGACATTAATGTCAGATTTGGGCTGTGCAAGTATTAATATGACAAATCTGAGATAAAGATTGTGCACATTTTACAGATGAAGAGACTGAGGATCCAGAAGCTCCCATAGTTTATCCACAGTTAAACAGATACCAAGAGGCAGAACCAATATTCAGAGCTGAGTACTGCTGACTCTCAAGCCTATTCACTATACTGCCTCCTCAAAGGGACACAGTAATAAAGATATGATCAAAGGTCTAGAATTAAAATTCAGAGCAGAGAATTTACCTTCACGAACCCCTTCAGTCAGGAAAGTACCATAGAACAGCTGCACCATTGGATTTTCAGATTTGTTCCTGGGACTGCTGCTTTTAGGAAAAGGAGACAATTCTGGATTGTTTGGATTAAGATATGTGCTACATAAAATCCAAGCATCATTCAAAAGCAAAAATAGTGCATTTTCATCAACCCCCAAAGAGCCAGGTATGATCTAAATAAGTAACAATTAGTTCAGTTCAAATATTTATTGAACACCTTCTTTCGAGCATTGTGCTAAACTCTGAAGACACAAAGACAAGAAGGCCCAATCCCTGGACTTAAGGAGCTTAAAGCCTAATAGTGGAGTCACACATGCAGACAAATATGCTTTCAGTATATACATCTATATCCAATGATAGATGTATACAAGGTATAGAAGCAGTATAAAGGTAAGAATGAACTCTGTTGCATAGTTTTACAAATAAATACAAAAAATTTTTCTCCATGGTACAACAGAAATAAAAAGTTTCTCCTTACAAGTCCTTCTTAAATTGCTACGTTGAGTTGCCGTTTCCAAAACTATTTTATAGTTACAATGCTTCTACCTAGAATTGAAACCATTTAAAACACAGATTTCTCAGAGGGATATCCGTATCGTGCCCTAAGTTTCACTTCTCTCAGTGACTGAAATGACTATAACCTATCCTCTACACATTCTTAGTAGACCTCAAAAGGGATCTTAAATTTAAGTACCCATATTATACCATCATGTTCACAACAGAGGTTGATTTGTCCTTTTTACAAATACATTTTACAGCACATGCTGAGTTTATTAACAAAGTTAACAGTTACAGTCCTTTAGTTAGAAAAAAAAAAAAGCTGCAGGATAAGATGACTGGTACATCCTCAGAGGGGAAAGCTGAAGGCGACAGGGATACATGATGAGGACTACCTCAGTGGTTATCCCAGGAGGTATGGTTAAAAACCAGCAATTTCTAGTTAAGGAGAGTAACTTTCCAGCATATAATTCTCACTGGCCCACTGTGAGTCGGAAGGATGTACAAACAAACCCTCAACACTCACTTAACATTAACAGCTAGCTGGAATGCGTCCTCTAGCCAATCCAGGAGCTTGTGTGTGAATTCACTCACATCTTGCTATAAGAGAGGCACAAATTGCATAAAAGTTAGATGCAATACTAAGAGAAATTAAAATTTATCCTTATCCCACCAATGAATTAAGATTATACTACTATAAAAGCATTTCTTTTTTTCTTTTCTTTTTTTGTTTTGAGACAGGGTCTCACTCTGTCGCCCAGACTGGAGTGCAGTGGCGCGATCTCAGCTCAATGCAGCCTCCACCTCCCAGATTCAAGCGATTCTCCTGCCTCAGCCTCCCAAGTAGCTGGGATTACAGGCACATGCCACCATGCCTGGCTAATTTTTGTATTTTTAGCTGAGACGGGGTTTCACCATGTTGGCCAAGCTGGTCTTGAACTCCTGACCTCAAATGATCCACCTGCCTCGGCGTCGCAAGTGCTGGGATTACAGGCATCAGCTATTGCGCACAGCCTGAAAGCGTTTATTTTTGGGGGCTGAATATCATGAAAACATAGGAACACTGAAACCCAGCTACTATACATAAAAAAGAAGGTGCATTAAGCAACCTGAAAGTTGTAGCTAGAAGGAAGCTGGAACTCTACTACTTCCAGCCACATCTATTTATGACAAAGAAAGAAAAATAAACAAAATCTTCCAAGTAGGACTTTTTAAGAAAAAGGCCCAAGGAACTCTAGAACAATACAGAGATCTGAATAAAGAAAGAAAACTTCAATGTTTTGAGAATTTTGTAGAACTGTAGGACCTTCAAATAGAGAAAGAAAAAAAATCATATGAGGAAGAAGATGATCTAATTAGTGACAGCTTTGTTTTTGTTTTTAAATTATTTTTTCAGAGACGGGGTCTCACTCTGTCACCCAGGCTGGAGTACAGTAGTGCAATCACAGCTTATTGCAGCCTCAAACTCCTGGGTTCCAGGGATCTTCCTGCCTCAACCTCCCAAGTAGCTGGGACTACAGGTGCGTACCACCATGCCCGGCTATTTTTTAATAGGAGGTAGGGAAGGGAAAGTCTAGAAGAGAGAAGTTGCTGAGAAAAGCTCCGAAAAGCTCCTGAACTCAGGTTTAGATAGTTTTAAAGATACTATTTCCATCTGGACCATTCCAAGACAAAGGTGCAGACAAAGGACTACTTTTCTTGGTATCCCTTTTGTTACAGCTCATTGAGGTATTTTCCAATCTCCTCCTTTCTACATCAATAGCCCCGGTATAATTCTACATTCTTTCTACTACTATTTCTTCTTCTCTTTAGAACTGCCAGCCCCCGTGCAACACACGCACACTCTCTCACACACACATGCTTTCTCTCTCACCACCTGTTCTGTAGGCAAAACAAAAGTCAGAAACGAGCATCCATAGTCCTGCTTAGTCATGTTCACAGCTTGTTACGCAGTTGAAATGAAGCAGTACCGCATTAACACTGACAAGGCATGACTTCAAACTCAAGAACAAGGCTTCTTTTGTACCTGCTGTTCCTCAGATGATCGGAATGCTCCCTTTAATAGATCCAGGGCTGCAGACGGGTCTACAAATTTTCTATTTGATCCCATCATTAGAGCAAACAAATACTGAAGCTCTTGCATAAACATGATATTTCTCTTTTCCTGTAGAAAACACAGTACATGTACTCTTACAATATCTCATTTAGAAAATCAGAACGTGTAAAGAAAAAAAAGTTGTCAATAATCATGCCCTCATTTATATTTACCTAGATCTAGGTCAAAGTCACAGGGCTATGTGTGTTACAGGGACTCTGGTAAGGACTGTACTCTAAACTGAAGAATAACTATGTAGAAGCCAGAGACAGCACTGTTGGAAAAACAGAAATGTCCACTTTCTGAAGCTGCTGCCCTCCTTCTCATGAGGAAAATGCATTGCGCCAAGGTGAAATCCTGGGAAGGGTTAAATTGCTAGGAGGAGGCTACGACCTTTGGCAAAAACAGAATAAAATAGACTAAGGCGGCTCAGGTCTCTGGCATCAGGGCATCTCTCCAGCATCACATTGCCTAAGCAGCTCAGGAAGAGAAAGGATACAACAAACACAACAGGTATTCAGGGTCTCCCCACCCACATATTCTTGGAGCTGTTTTTCTCATTTTACTCCTACTTAATTTTACATTTTTGCATACCCTTATATGTTATCCCAAAAAAGGAAAATGAGCCATTTAGAAATGAAAACAAATAATTAGCACAAGCCAAAGAGTATCACGGATATCAGCTTTAGGCAAAAATCTAGAAGCCTTAGGGATGAAAGGGACTAAACAACAGTGAAGAAATTCCTTGACACCAACTTACTGTATGACTTCGACAATTTTCAAGTACATTTTGTGGCAGACTATAACTGAGAACAAGTCTTCGAAATTCAGGCAATTGAAAGAGAGACTGAAATAAAGAAAGAAAGGGATTCATAGCCTTTCCTGAAAATAACTGCAGCAACATATGTATTTTTCACTTCAAATATTTTATTTCATATTTAAAAGTATGCAAAACTATCAACCTGGCAATTTGACTTATGTTATTTCTAAGGAAATAATGGTTGTGCACAAAAAATTAGCTCAAAGAATATTAATACTTTTAGGTAAAAAATAGAAACAACCTAATGTCTAACAAAAGGAGTAGCTTTTGTTTTGTTTTGGTTTGGTTTTGTAGAGACAGGGTCTCCCTATGTTGCCCAGGATGGTCTCAAACTCCTGAGCTCAAGGGATCTGCCCGCTTTGGCCTCCCAAAGTGTTGGGATTACAAGCATAAGCCACCAAGCCCAGCCAAAAGAAGTAGTTTATATAAACTATACTACATTTATACAATAGACTATTAAGCAGTCATTGAAATAATATTGTAAAAAGTGTTTATAAAATGACCTACTATATAAAGTGAAAATGAAAAAAACAAGAGCTATGTGTATCAACATGGATAAACCTCAAAAACACATTTTGAGTGAAAAAAAGTTACAGAAAAAAAGTATTATACTGCTTATATTAAGTTTAACAACATGTAAAACAATACTACGTATTGTTCAGGGATACATCCATGTGTGGTTATGACTGTGGGAAAGGGAGGATGTCACAACAGGAACTCAATAGAACAGAAATTTGTAACATTAATTTTTTAAGCTAGGTGGTTAGTATAGCAGTGTTTACTATTCTCCACTCCTTGTCATAGTATTGTATTTTTTAAAAGTTTAACAGCAGATGGTAGAACTGGAGAGAGGGATTCTTTTTATTATTTGCAAATCACATTTTTCTACTATGAATACCTTTCATAAGTTAATTTTCTTTAAAAATATCTCCTGTATGAATATACAACTCCTCATCCCAACATGCTCCTCAAATGAAAACCCTCTCAGGCCTGCACGGTGGAACTCCTGAAGAAGCATCCTAGGTAGATAATAGGCAAAACTTTGGAATTAGAACTAAATAAAACAGCTTCTTGGTATTCTAAAAGCCCCAGGTATATTTCCTAATGTCAACCAAAGAATCCAAGTGTCGGTACTGACTAGAGCCCACGTGCACCTCTCTGGCTTCCCTCACTCTAACACAAGCCCTGGCGGGATTCAGCCAACAGGGTGAGTGTTCAACCGGACTGAAGTGTAAACCCAGGTCATGCTGCACCAAAGTTCTCTCTGGGACCAGGGCTTGGCTGGTGAGCTGTATCCTCTGCCACTCTCTTCTCTTCCACCTCACCTGTCTACCTAACACACTTGCATTCCTACTCTGCTGGCTACCCTGTGACATTCTTGAGTTTCTATTCTGCTGTGAGAAAAATGGCTTTACATTCTCAGCCATTTAACTCCACCTCTTCACCATCAGGAAAATCGGGCTTTGCCATTATTCTTAAAAACCACATTAGGCTGGAAGTGGTGGCTTACGCCTGTAATCCCAGCACTTTGGGAGGCTGAGGCGGGCAGATCACCTGAGGTCAGGAGTTCAAGACCAGCCTGACCAACATGGAGAAACCCCATCTCTACTAAAAATACAAAATTAGCCGGGCATGGTGGCATGCCTATAGTCCCAGCTGCTCGGGAGGCTGAGGCAGGAGAATCGCTTGAACCCTGGAGGCAGAGGTTGCCGTGAGCCGAGATCGCACCATTGCATACCAGCCAGGGCAACAAGAACGAAACTGTCTCAAAACAAAAAAAAAGAAAAACAACAAAAAAGAACACATTAAGTGTGAGCTAATACTATTCACATCTCCCAATTTATTCCTTACCCAACCGCTGCTGCTTCTGTGTTTTCTGCGTCACTTCATTATTACATCCTCCTCCCCCAGTCACCAAAGTTTAGAACTGCAGAAAAATCCTTGAATCTTTCTCCTCGCCATTCACATCTAGTAAGTAACAAGTCCCTTGGCCTCTGACTCTAGGTGCTCTTTATAACCTAACTGCTTTCTCCCCATCAGCACCCCATCAGCTGCTCTAATCCAACTCCCATCGCCGCTCACTTGCACATGGTCTCTCTGCTTCCAGAACTTCCCTCCACCCACTCACACTTGCTCACAACTGCCACGCAGCTCCTTCTAAGTACCTCGCTAATATGGCAAAAATGAAGCTCCCGATTCACTGAAGACTGTCATCTAGTAACAGCTTTCCTCACTCTCCCAAGTCCTGACATCCTCCTAGGTGACTAGAGTCAACATCCAATCCCTGAGGACATCCTGTCAGTGCTGCCTTGAGAATATATCAAGAACTCCAACTCTTTTCTATTTCCAGGGCTACCAGTCCAGTCCGAGTCACCATCACTCTTCATGGATGACAGCCATGGGTCTCTCCCTGTGCATCCTTGCCCCTCCATCCTCATCTCGCCACAGGAGCCAGAGGGAGACTCTTAATACTTGAGCCAGAGTTGATCAGTCTGCCACTGGGGACTTTCAGTAACTCCCTGTCCACTCAGACCCTCCTCTCCAGTGACCCTCCCTTTGCTCTTAGCATCCAGCCACTTGGACTCCAGCACGTTCCCTGAACACACCAAGCCCATTCCCACCATGAAGCCACTGCTCTATGTGTTCCTCTACCTGGAATGTTTTTTTATCCCAATAGCTGCCTGGTTCACTCCCTTTTCAGTCTCATCCCCTTCCCCACCACAGTGAGGCTCATCCAACACCACAGTTAATACTGCAACCTGTTCCCACCTCTCCTGCAGTTCCAATCTCCCTAACCTTGCTCTTTTTTCTACTGGACCAATCACAGTCTAATGTATTATACACATTTTATTCAGCTAGTTCATCATTCTGTTAGTTTTTAGTTTACTGTTCATTTTCTATCTCACCTCATGAGAATTTACATTCCATGTGGGCACAGTTGTCTTTGTTTTGTTCACTCCTACATCAAGGGCCTAGAACACTGCTAGACATAGAGCAGGTGTTCAATTGTTTGCTGAGGGAACTCGCATGCATCCAGTATGGAGATCTCTCGGCTTCTTGGGCATCCCATCTCTAGTGACACATTCCTCCACTCCATCTCTATCTACATCCACATCCCAGGCTGCACCCAAAAATACACCAACACATGAAAGGTGTCAGTTCGCAGATTACACGTTCAGAAAAGCTCACTCTGGGACCATTACATGTCTTCTTTGTGTCCAATTACCTGCAGGATATCTGTTCTTTGACTTCAGCAGGGGCCCAAGCAAATTGATCTCTTTCCTGGCTCCCTAACAATCAGTTCCTTCCTATCTTCATTTCTTTCTCCATCTAGCTTTGATGCTACGGTCTTAACTACCCTTCATTAAATTCACAGAGTGCCCTTTTGTCCTTTGATCACATACCCAGCAAATGCTCCAAATTAAATGAGTTGAGTTTTCCATGTAAGAGGTTCAAAGTGCTGTCAAGAGGATGTCCTGATAGAAACTGAACATTTTCGTATCACCACACATTTAAAGTCAACAATTTCAAGCAGATCTTCAAATTTTTGGAAATCCTACTACTGTACTCTGGTGCCAACTGGTTCTCCCACCATCTCCAACAACTATTTCAAACTTTCACTCCCTTTAAAATCTGACTCTGTCACTTCTCCACTGTCTCAAAAAATAGCTGCTAATTTCACAGAGGAAAAAAAAAAAGACTAGACACTACTTCAACTCTAATTTGCAGTTATCATTTCTTCCTCTTCCCTTCCCATTACTCTCCTGCCCTTTTCCTTGTTAAGGCCGACTCCTCAGATATACTTTCTATGCTGTCTGCTCATGCTGTCCCAGAAGCCTTACTCAGCTATCTTCTCCATCTGCTGGCTCTTGTCCACCCTCCACAGGAGTGAAGGCTAATGGTGGGGGGGCGGTGGTTGTGAATCCAAGGAGCATTATCTTTCTCTCTCTCTATCCTTTCAGATAGGAAAGAACTGACATGTTCCACATTATCTTCCTATGTTCTATTCTCAACACAGATGCCAGTGATCCTTTTAAACTGGAAGTATGATCATATCACTTCTCTGCTCCAAACCTTCCAATACATTCCTATTTCATCTAGAATTCCCAAATCTTCATCATGACCCCAAGCTCTTCCACTCCACCTCCACCACCTTTCCTATCCCACTGCTATCAGTTCTGGATCACTCCGTCTTAGCTATTTGCTATTTGTCAGACACATTAAGCAAGCTCCTGAACCTCAGTCTGCTTATTTGCTGTTCCTTGTCTGAAATGTTCCCTATGTAATTAAATAGCACATTCCCTGGCCACCTTCAGACCTCTGCTCAAATTCCCGCCTCATCAGAAAGGCCATCCCTGACCCTCTGCCCTCTCCAGCTGAACCCTGTCCAGTCCCCCAGACTCATTCATTCATCTTTACACTTGTCACCTCCTCATGTTTTGTTTACTGTCTGTGCCACTCTTTCCAAAGTAAACCATGAGAGTACGGGCTTTGTTTTAGTCACTGCTGTTTCCCCAGAGCCTAAGACAGTGCCAGGCACATAGAAGCTGGATGTAGCAGATGTGTAGAAAGGGAGAATTCCATTTTTTGGCTTGAGCAGCTGGGTAGGTGCCATGTACCATGATGGAGAAGACTGCTGTGGTGAGCACCAAGGGTTGCATTGGGGCTATGTAAGTTTAAGATGCCTGATCGATACTTCTGGAGAGCCACTACCCTCTAGTGAATTCATTCACTCCCTTGGTTTTATTGCCATCTATATGGTACTAATTTCCAAAACTGTATC